>NC_000001.11:48038683-48341713 GCF_000001405.40 Homo sapiens
TAAGCTTGGTATTGTGGGGGAAAAATGAGATTTGAGTTATTTCAATTCAGTTTCTGCTGTTCCTATGAACAGAATTTATAACAAGGTCATTAAATATTAGTTAACATTTATTGACTACTTACTTTGTGCCAGGCACTGTTTTAATAACATTACATGAAGTAACTCATGTGTCCTCACAATAATCCTATGAGGTAGGTACTGCTATGAACCTATTTTACATATAAGAAAATGCAGGTAGCCTTGGACAAATGACATATGTTCTCAGGGTCTTGGTTTTGCATCCATTACATAGAGAAATGAACTATATAAAATTGCTCATGCATGGCCAACACACGGTTGGTGTGCAAGAAGTGTTTGTTGAATCTCAGTCTGACACGAGTCTGACATGAGTAATGAAGTGACAAGGCCAAGGTTTTCTGACTCTAAACTTTGGTTCCTCTGCCACCCCATTCCTCATCCCAAGGGTTTTGCACAGCGTAGGTGAGCATTAAATGTGTGTTAGACGAATTCCAGGGTCCACTTTGGTGTGGTTGCCTCCCTGCACTTGACCCATAGGAAGGATGGGTTGGGCTCTCCTGAATTGGGAAGTCCCCGCCCGCAGACAGGCACTGCTTCCCTGATTCACAGGGCCTGATCTCCAAACGGAAAGTTTTCAGGCAGCCTCTGGGGACAGGTGGCAGGCATCCCCTGACAAAGTTTTTTTTTTCCTTTATGCTTGTGTCAGCCCTTGGGCAGGGTGGATCCCCAGCTCTCTGGGTGGTATGTGCAAGACCGTATCAGCTTGTCTGAGAGCCAAGTGTGGATGAAAAGCGAATGTGTCTCACATTGCTGAGTGGGCGTATAGCAGCCTGTGTTTGTGTTAGCGTGAACCAATCAGTCTTCATGCCCATTTCCTCCTAGATGTGTATTATCTGATCCTTCAGGAAAAAAAAAAAAAAAAATCACTCAGCTGAGGAAACCCAGGCTGGGAAGTTCTGACTGTGGGTATTTGGCCATGGATGTCCTGCATGTGCTCTTTGCAGGGAGATCTTTTCCCTAACATCCACTCCCTTCTGAGATTGCTGCAGAACTGGTGACAGGACCCTTAGGGTCACAATATCTGCAAAGGCTCTGGCTTTAAATGGGCTCTGCAGGGAGGAAACAGGGAGAGGAAGCTAGCGCTGTGTGTAGGACTCTGGGGCGGGGAGAGGACAGAGAGGGAGGGTGCAGTCAAGCAGATGAGGAAAGCCAGTGGGGGTTCCCAGACCTTCTGTCCCTCCCAGCAGCATGGTAGTGCAGTGAGAGGTGTGTATGTCACACAAGCCTGGGACTTGCTGAAAGGTTTTTAGTGCAGCGCTAACCAGACAGGGACCCTGCTGCACTTGGAATGAGGGTAGGGGGTTGAGGATGGAGGTTGGGGGTTGGGATTTGTGTGTGGGTTTGGGGTGGGACACATTTTCAGTTTTAGAGTTCGACTGCTGGCTGAGGTCTCAGCCTGGCTCTCGGCCCCTCTCCTGAGCCTGACAAGGATGGATTCTAGGCCACCTTGGGGTGGGAGCTGTTCTCAGGAAAGCCTGGCTCACTGGACCTGTCAGACCCCCAGACCCTCCCCCAGCACTCCTTGAACCGCCCAGCTGGAGTATGTTTGCACAGCTGGGGATGGGGAGAGGAGTGGGTGGGGAGGGGCTGCCCTCTGGGACCTGAGGCTCTGGCCAGATCTTCTTCGGACAGTTGGAAGTGGCCCAGAATGATGGAAAGGGCTGTGCGGAGCCATGAGTGGATGTGGAGCCACAGGGCTGCTGCTTTCCAGCAGCAGGTCGTGGAGCTTCCATGTCCTTTTCTGTAATGTGGGGAGGATAACATACGTAGCAGTCTGTGGTGGGAGCTAAACCTAATCATTCACATAAGGAACCAGCCTAACGCCTGACACACAGTGGGAGCTTAAAATATGAGTTCCCTTTTGTTTCATCTTTTCTTTCTAGTCTGTTTCTTCTGTTTTTCATTCTGCAGAATCATCGTTAATTATTGCTGTATACATTCACTGAGTGGCACTGGCAGCAGGCAGTGTGGATGCTGTGGTGAATGAGATGGAACCCAGCCCTTGGAGCAGCCCACAGACTCGTGGCAGAGACAAGCAGATGAGGACAATCCATATAGTAGGCAGGAACAGGGACATCACAATCCCTGGAGCAATGCTGTGAGGTGCTTAATATGATCACTCTCATTTACAGATAAAACACTGAGACTTAGAGAAGTGAGTGAACCATGGTAGGATGCAATCTTCATTCGGCTCTGAGTCCAGGTTCCCAACTGTTTCCTCAAGGCTCTTTGCCACTTCCTTAGGTGTCCTTCTTCCCTGGGCTTCCTCAGCTCCCCTCAGAGCAATGATCATCTGCGTCCTCATTATTTGTTTGCTGAGCTCTTGTCCCTATCAGTCTAAAAGCCCTTCAGGAGCTGGAATCATGCCTGGACCAGGGGCCTAGCATAGGGTCTGTCACAGAGCAGGCATCAATGCCTGTTTGTTGAAATGGAACCAGTACAGAAGCACAACAGGGCAGCACTCCCCTCAACTTCAGCTCCCCAAAGGAGTGATGAGCAGAGTCTGTAATTCCAACAGTCACCCTTCCCTCTGGATTCGACCTCAGCAGCATGACCCCACCCTAGATGGTCTGGGTCTTTCCCTCCCTCCTTTCTTCCTGGTCCCACATTCAGGCCAACAGGATACACAGGGCAGGATGTGCAGTGGCCAGGCATGTCCAACCAAGTAGGCCAACCTAGGAAGTGAGGATGAAGTCCAGGGGAAGGAGAAATGCCTAAGAAAAGTTTGCATCTCTTAAAGCAGTAAGCAAAGGAGCTTAAGGAATTTAGAATTGGGACTAAGTGTTCAGAGAATCGGCTTAAAAAGCAGGAGGCTGAAAAAGCGTGCGTCTGTCTGTTGTTGGCGTCTGAGTGGCTGCCTCCCTTCCTTGTCAAAGCCCTGTACATGTTGCCCATTTGCTTGGGTCCTAGCAGGCCCTGAGGCCAAGGGAGCCTGGGAAGGAGCTACCCTGGGAAGGAGCTCTCCTTGGGGAGTGACTGACAGGTTGTCAGGCAGCAGACTCTTGGATGGGAACTTGGCTCTCAGGGCAGATCAGACAGCAGCTGAGATCCCAGGATGAATGGGCCCTTGTGATGGTAATGGGTGCTCTGAGGCTGCCTCATCTGCCTCTGCTCTGTCTCTTCTGCACACCCCCAACCTCCATCTTGCCTTCTTGTCCTCTCCCTGTTTACTGGCCAGTGATGTGGTGGGTGGAAGAGCCAGTAAATCCATCAGGCGGGGGAGGCAGGAAGACTTGGACCATCAGTTCATGAATCAGCCCAGCTCTGGGGCTCCTGTCAGTCGAACACAGCACAGCAGCATCTGGAGTTGGTGCTCCAGGGGCACTGTGGTAGGGAAGGAGAAGGCACCTCCAGGACCAGACAGACCTGGCTCAAATCCTGGCACCTCCACTCACCAGCTCCGTGATCTTGGGTAAGCAACTGGACTTCTCCAAGCCTCAGTATCCTCCTCTGTCAAATAGGGATAATAGAAACTGCCTTGCCTAACTCACAGGTTGTTGAAAGGATCAAATGAGAGAAAGGGTTTCCAAATTGCTACCAGTGGACATTACCGTTATTGCCAACCATGCAGTGGGCTCAACCCAGAATCCAGCTCAAACTCAGGTCTCTTGACTCCCAGAGTTTGGTTCTTGCCCTGTACCAGACCCTCATATTGATCTAGCCTAGGTTTTAGCCTGGTCTGGAAGCAGGGTGATAGACTTGATGACCTTGGGTTGACCCTTTCTGGGTCTGCCTGATTCAGCTGGAGAGGTTGTAATAAGAATTGAGCCCCGGTGTGTTGTGTAAAACTGATTAAACGGCTGGTCAGTAAATGTGACTGATGAAATTGTATCTCCCACTGAATCCCTGAACAGATAGATCCCTAGAGACTCAGTGTAAAGGGTGTGTCTTTCTTGCGGAGCAGTGGTGGGGGGTGACGGGGGAAGGGGTGGGTGTTAGGCATAAGGGAGGAGGCAAATATATACTCCAGCCCTCAAGGAACTTGCAAACTCTTTGGAGATGTGGGACACCTATTTAAGAGATGTTAGATAAAAATACAGGGAGTCCAAGATCTCTTGTCTGGTCTGTTCACAATAGTGCCCCCAGTGCCTCGTGCACATAGTCAGCATTCAATAAATATCTAGACACATGAAGGAATAAGGCAAGTGAATGGCACAATGTTTGTATGTTATCTGTATGCCCTTTGGGACTTTTATGCCCCTGGGAGATTTGGGTCAACCTTGGTGTGAAGCTCAGATTGCTTGGTTATTCTGCAGGTGTTTGTCTTGCTTCTCTGTTCCTGCTCCTGGGGATCTGCAGCACCCTTTGTGCCACGTCAAACCATAGAATCAGACATAAAGCTTTGCCTTTCTCCTTTATCCACAAAAATTTGATTGCCCTGGGGATTTTGCCATGCTTTGTCACTCGACTGAAGATTTGAGGGTGTCATGGGGAGGGATCACAGGTTTTGCCAACTTTATAGACTGCCCAGTGGATATCTACCAGCTCCTTTCTCACTCCAACCTGTGGCTTTTCTTGCAGGGAGAACTACCAGTCTGCTTTCCTCAGTCTCAGAAAATTCCAAGGAATACAACATTCTCCATTTTTTCCCTTCCACATTAATCTTCCCAAGAGGGTTCTGGGCTCTTTGAATTCCCAGATGAGTTCACCGAGGGCAGTGAACCAGATTCAGACTCAGGATAGAGAAGCCCTTTCTAACACTGAGAATTATCCAGATTGCCTAGAGGTGCTGAGCTCCCTGTCAAAAAAGGTGTGCCAGCAGAGTGAGGTTGCAGAGGAGCCCCAGGTGTGCAGGTGAAGATTCTCAGGTACTTGTGGGTTGGAAAGTGTATGAAGCCAAGCAACAGGAGAGCTGGGTTTATGGCCCCAGCTGTCTTAGTAACACTCACTATGGGTCTGACTAAATTCCTACCTTTGTCTGTGCCTCACCATGTCCTACCTGTGTCTATGTCATCGTTTGTTTGCACAACAGTCTCCTGCACAGCAGGGGCTAGGCAGGTCTGAATGGGTGCTCACTTAGGATCAGTCACTGCAGCTCTAAGAGACTGTGATTTCCTGGTATCTCAAGAGTAGAAGGTGATTTTTTTTTTCTGCAACAGGAATTGGGTGTCAAGTTTGTGGGAAATTGAAAGTGAGTGACTGAATCTTCTTATCTTTCTGGCTCTAGGCCCAGCTGGGGCTCTGCCTGGCTCTAGCAGATGGGAAACGGTCCTTGGGTGAGGGGAGCTGGCCTCAGACCCTCCTCTTGTCTGTGGAGAAAATGAAGCAGGCTCTCAGCATCCTGCATGGAGTGGGCCCAGCTAGGTGGGGCTGAGCTTCCTGATCTGTGGAGGCAGAGGAAAGGAACGGCACGGACCAGTGTGGCTTCTGTGTTGGCAGCTTGTAGGGAGAGCATCTTCTGCATCTCTGTGCAGCCCAGGCTCAGGGAGGAAAGCAGTGCTGTTGGAATGGGACTGGAATATGGATGGAGCCTTCCTCTTACAATGCAGACTTCATAGGCTCTTAATATCCATCGTAACAAGGCCCAGTATGATCTGCTCCCTGCCCCCTATAGTGGATTTGTAGTGTGTCAAGTTAGCTAGGTTGCAACTGGGTTTTCCAGAGTTGCCTTCCCTGCATAGAGTCAGGTGTACAAGGGGCACAAGAGACATTTTGTGGGAGATTTGGAAGGACAAGAACAGCAGTAGTATTGACACTCAGAAGGGCAGTGCAGGGCCCCAAGCATTGGTGCAGTCACACCTGTTAGCATGGGAAAGCAGCTGGGCCTGCAGTTCCTCCACCTCCTGCGGTATTTTCCCTTGGCCTCTTCTCCTCCTGCCCTAAGGATGTGTTCAATTCCATGGTGAAAAGCTGCTTCTCGTGGAGTTTACCCTCACAGCCCAAGTTGGGAATTTGGAGTTAGTGAGACCTTCAGGATTCCATCTTCCCATCCATCTTTCCTCTAATTGTCTGCCCTTGTGACTTCAGGCCTCAGCATCAGATCCAAGAAAACAGCCTCAGATAGATGGTTAAACCACCCCCCACAGCTGCATCAGGTCAAATCCCTGGAATAAAGCCCTTATTATTCTGATCACCCCTAGCAGTTCTGCTTCTCTCATTAAAACTTGACCAGCACCTTGCCTCTCCAGGATCCTCTTGTGCTATTCTCCCTGGTGTTCCCTGCATGCCAGCTGCTCTGGCCTTCTTTTCTTTCTTTATTATTATTATTATTTTTTGAGATGGAGTCTTGCTCTGTCGCCCAGGCTGGAGTGCGGTGGCACAATCTCAGCTCACTGCAACCTCTGCCTGCCGGGTTCCAGCGATTCTCTTGCCTCAGCCTCCCAAGTAGCTGGGATTACAGGCACCCACTACGAGGCCTGGCTAATTTTTGTATTTTTAGTAGAGACGGGGTTTCAGGCTGGTCTTAAACTCCTGACCTCAAATTATCCTCCCACCTCGGCCTCCCAAAATGCTGGGATTACAGGCATGAGCCCACAGTGCCTGGCCTGCCCTGGCCTTCTGTTTGTTTTTTTTGTTTGTTTCCTTGAACATGTGAAGCTCCTTCTCACTGCAGAACCTTTGTATGCACGACTCCTTCTTGCTGAATGTGATCCTTCACACTCCTCTGCCGAGGAACTCCTGCTTATTCGGCAGATCATAGGTCTGTTTTCTTTCTTTTTTTTTTATTACTATACTTTAAGTTTTAGGGTACACGTGTACAATGTGCAGGTTTGTTACAAATGTATACATGTGCCATGTTGGTGTGCTGCACCCATTAACTCGTCATTTAACATTAGGTATATCTCCTAATGCTATCCCGCCCCCATACCCCCACCCCACAACAGTAGCCGGTGTGTGATGTTCCCCTTCCTGTGTCCATGTGTTCTCATTGTTCAATTCCCACCTATGAGTGAGAACATGTGGTGTTTGTTTTTTTGTCCTTACGATAGTTTGCTGAGAATGATGGTTTCCAGCTTCATCCATGTCCCTACAAAGGACATGAACTCATCATTTTTTATGGCTGCATAGGATTCCATGGTGTATATGTGCCACATTTTCTTAATCCAGTCTATCATTGTTGGACATTTGAGTTGGTTCCAAGTCTTTGCTGTTGTGAATAGTGCCGCAATAAACATACGTGTGCATGTGTCTTTATAGCAGCATGATTTATAATCCTTTGGGTATATACCCAGTAGTGGGATGGCTGGGTCAAATGGTATTTCTAGTTCTAGATCCCTGAGGAATCGCCACACCGACTTCCACAATGGTTGAACTAGTTTACAGTCCCACCAACAGTGTAAAAGTGTTCCTATTTCTCAACATCCTCTCCAGCACCTGTTGTTTCCTGACTTTTTAATGATCGCCATTCTAACTGGTGTGAGATGGTGCTAAATGTCTCTCTCTCTCTCTCTGATAGACCTTCGCAGGTTTGTGGTTTTTTCGTGTGTATGTGCATATAGGGTGTGGTCATGTGTATTATGTCGGCCTCCCCAGTAGACCACAATCTTCATGTAGTCGTGGGCCACAACTGACTACATTCACCTTATATAGCCTGGCCTAGGAGAGTGGTTGACACATGGTAGTTCTTTAGTGATGACTTATTTAATAATTGAATGAAAGATAGAAGAAGAAAACAAAGGAAAAAGAAAAGAAAAGAAGAGAGGAAGAGATAGGATAGAAGGAAGAAAGAAAGAAGGAAAGAGGTCCTATTTATCATCTAATTTCTAGCCGCTATTGCTTCCCCAGAGCACCTTCCAGGGCAGGCTGGGCAGCAGCCTCTCTGTGTCTCCATTATACATCCATTCTTACACTGAATTTTGAGTGTGTCTTGGTTCCTTTTCTCCTAACTAGACCGTAAGCTCTCTGGGGTAGGGACTGAGTCTGGCACAGGGCAGGAGTGCAATGAATGTGTGAACTTGTGGAAAGTCTGGGTATTTTAGCATGGCATTCCAAGTCGTTTACCATCAAGCTCTGGCTCACCCTCAGGCTCATCTCTTCCTGTCCCCAAACTCTTCCTTGTTCCCTGAACAAGCCACATTCCCTCCAAGGCTTTGTGTATGCAGTCACCTTGGATGGCCTCCCCACTTCTTCCTCTGGCCAACTTCAGGCTATTTTTCAAGGCCAGTTTTAGAGCATCTTCCCAGGGCTGGCCAGAGGGTGGGAATGCTGGCAGGATGGTGAAGGTGTACTTGGGCTGAAGTGCTGACTGATTTTTTTCCCCAAGGGGTTTCTTTCTCGCAAATGCTTCCCAGTGATTCAAAGGCTTTCCAGAAACAAGAGTGGTCACTGGACCTCAGAATAGAAGGGAGGCTCCAGTAAATGAACTGGACATTGTTTCCCTCTCCCTCCTGCTGGCATTTCCTCCACTCCACCCCCAGTTGCCCTGACACACACCTTCCTTCTATCTCCTCTCAACTCAGTGGCTTACCCCTTGCACAGGGCTTGGAGTTAATTTGGGATCACTAGTATCCCTGTCTGTGGTGTGGAGTTCTGGTCCTTATACTTCATTCATCCGTGTTCATTCGTTTTGAATGAATGGAGAATGGAACATTCTATTCCTGATCCTTCAGACAAAATGTCATTATGGTGATTCATGGACTCAGAATTCCAGAACGAATTCCTTGTGCTGGGCACTGGGAATACAAGATACTCAGTTTCTGACTTGGTGAACTCTCAGGCTGACTGGAAACAGAGACAACTATAGCCTGGGTTGATAGATGGGATCACATGGGTCTGTGGCACAAGGGGCGACAAGGGAGCCTTTTCAGAGGATGTGGCATCTAAACTTACACCTGAAGGATTATCTGACTGGCCAGACAAAGGAACAGCGAGTGTCCTAGGCAAAGGGGTGGGGTTCCAGACACAGAGCACAGCAAGGAAGGCCTGGAGGCAAAAAAGAAGGGCCCATTCCAGGTACTGGAGGACTGCAGTGCAAACTGAGATGGAGGAGGATGAGGGTCCCCTCCTGGTGAGGGTGTCCACTAGGAGATGAGGGTGGACACGTTGGCTGGGATCACACCAAAAAGAGACTTAGGGAATCAGGATAACAAATTTGAACTTTATTCCGAGGGCAATGGAGAGCCATGTTGGGTCTTGGTCTATCTAACTATAAAGCAAAAATAACAACCCTTGATTTTATTCTGCTGTGAAGGACAGCATTCTAGTGTATCCTCTGCTGCTAGCTCACTGTGCGACCTTGGACCTGTTCTTCTCTACCCTCATGTCAACCCTCCCCCACTTTCCAGCTCCAGGCCCCTTCAACTATTGAGTAAGGCATTTGGACCAGATGATTGTTAAGATCTTCTAGCTCTGAGATGCTCTAATTCTAGGATATTCTGTATGATTAATTAATTAATTAAATAACATTTACAAATTTTGTGCCAGGCATTTTAGAAGACCATGATCCCAGTCTGCTGGAGAGGCAGATACACAAATCCATACCCATAACACAAAGCAGAATGAGCTCAGAACTGTCGGAGCACAGTGGAGCAAGTGATTCATTCTCCCTCAGGGATCTGGGGGCGGCTTCAGAGAGGAGGCAGCGGATGATCTGGGCCTTGAAGGATGCACTGGGGGACAAAGATAGGGCCTGCTTTGTTCAGGGAGAATGAGTCACTTGGGGGCTAGAGACAGGTAGCCAGATACTCATGGGGGGTCCTGAATGGCTGAGGGGTGTGCTCTGTCCTCAGTAGGGCACGGGGAAAATGTGGAGGACCTGGGAAAAGGAAGGTGGCTGGAGGAGGAGGGTGAGCTCGCTCACTCTATCTATGGGAGACTAGAGTGGAGTTTGTTTTATTGATTGAAGTCAAATTCATGTGGTGCATACAGGAAAGGGGTCATTTCAGAGCCCCATCTATAAGTCAGACTGTGAGGCAGGTACTGAATACTTGATCTTTCCTGTTTTAACCCTGACAACAACGCTCCAAAGCAGGAATGGGAATTCAGCTTTCGACAGGAGGAAACAGGCTCGATGGTGAAGTACTGTGTCCCAGGTTACACAGTCAGAAGGTGGCGGAGCTAGAAGTGCACCCCCATCCCCACCGCCCATGGGGTGCCCACCTCCAGAGCTGTGACCCTTTTAC
Source organism: Homo sapiens (assembly GCF_000001405.40). Classification (NCBI taxonomy): domain Eukaryota; kingdom Metazoa; phylum Chordata; class Mammalia; order Primates; family Hominidae; genus Homo; species Homo sapiens. Next base: position 48,048,823 of record NC_000001.11, read on the forward strand.
AGGCCGCTCTGGCTGCTTGGTACCCAGCCCTCCCTGGACCCTGAGGCAGATATTTTCCACTGGACCCAGCACCCGTGTCCAAGGGCTTGGTCCAAGACATTTCCCGCTGGCCTCTGGTGATGCTGGGGTGTGGAGAGGAGTGAGTGCTCGAGGGGAGAGGAAGTGCCTTCCATCTCTCCTGTCATGGGACACCCTCCAAGAATGGGCACCAGGCTCCCCACTGCCCCGGGTGGGGATAAACTCTTGAACTCTCTGCAGAGATAAAAAGCACTATCTTCTCCCAGCCCTGAGTGTTAGCAGATGGGGCCGCTAGGGCCAACCTCCAGCTGCCTCCACCCACACTGTGAGGAAAAGCTGTCTGAGGAGGGCAGGAGGGGCTGGTCCCTCAGACTCTGCCTCCATCCGGAGCTGCGCGAGCACGGCCATTCAGCACAGCCCCTGCCCAGCAGGGAGGACCCAGAGGTGAGCGTGCAAGGATCTGAGATGAGTGTTCACATCCTAGTTCTGCTACTTTTCTGAAATGGGCAGAAGATGGGCAAATTACTTCTGTGAGCCTTAGCTTCTCATCAGTAAAAGGGAGCTGATAACTCCTTCTAGGTGCTAAATGATATTATTCTTATAAAAGTGCCTAAATGAGTGTCTGGTGCATAGCACGCCCTTTGCAAGCAGATCATCTTCACAGTGTTGGGATGCAGTGAAGTCAGACTGTCCAGGTCCAAGTGCATCTGCACCTCCAGCTGTGTGACTTTGGGGAAGTTCACTTCAACTTGGGGCCTTGGTCTCCTCTTCTATAAAATGAGCGTTGTTGAGAGGGTGATGATGAGTTCACATAAAGCATCTAGGATAGTGCCTGCCATGATGGCAAACACTATGGAAGAATCAATTATTTATTATCAGCATAAGTCTGTGGTCTACCTTCTGACTGCTGAAGCCCCAGTGTCTTTTGCTTTCTTTCTCTTCCCCTGGGCAAACTTTCTCTCTCACATTCACATCCTCTCTTATGTCTCCGGAGGAAGGATGCTCTGTGGCTCCCTTAGCAGCAAATGTGGAGGAATTTGAGGCTGATGGGGACACAGCCTTTCTGGCCCAGCTTAGTTGAGACCATGAAGGCTGCCTCCTACTCCCTCTGTCCCATGCTGGAGAATGGAACATTCTATTCCTGATCCTGCAGACAAAATGTCGTTATGGTGATTCATGGACTCAGAATTCCAGAAAGTCCAGGCTGAAAGGGGCCTCAGAGGGCATCCTCCCTACTCCATGGCCTTGCCCTTGTCTCTCCACCTCCCCGATAGAAGGCACTAGATCTCAATATAAGCCCCAGGGCAGCAAGACTGATCTAGCTTCCCCATTATTCCGCTTGGGAATAATGCCCAAGGACCACTAGGCCTGAGTCTCACAGCTCCAGGCCTGGAAAGGAGCCTACTTGTCCCGTCACAGATCACAACTGGGCGGGCCAGCTCTGAGCCTTTGCTATTTGAAGGGATGTTTTGATAACCTCTTACCGCTCCTCCCCAACCCTGCAAAGCCCCACCTGATCACCCCACACTCTGGGCCTCCTCTTATCTCCTTACTCTAAGCTCCCCATCCATTACTGTCGGCTGGCAACACAAGTTTTATCTGAGCCTCTGTGGAATGGAATTGATTTCTGTGAATAATTGGAATAGCTGGCTAGTGACCCAGTATTGCTGCCACCAGGGTAGTTGGAGCTTCAAAGCTCTCATCCAACTCTGCCTCTCTCTCTCCATTCCCGTGGCTGTTGTCTGGTCCAAACCATCCTGACCTTCTGCTTGGATCATGATTACAGCTTCCTAACTGCGCTGCCTCTTTCTGATTACCCTGCACCCCATCATCCACTCCAATCTGTCCTCTACATAGCGGCTAAATAGATCTTTAAAAGCTCAAACCTGCCTAGACAGTAACGCCTTTCTACCTTGGCCTGCCATTTAGGGGTCTTTCTGATGGAATTCCAGCTTAACTTTCCAGCCTTACAGGTAAAAATTCACCTTCGTGTTCCCTAAGCATCAGTCAAAGGAGGCCTTTGCCCAATCCACTCCCTCAGGTGTATTCATTCATTCTGCCAACCACTGTTGAGCACCTACCTTGTCCAGTGCCTCCATGGGGCACTAAGAATACAGACAGGGATTAGGTGTAGACCTTGTCCTTAGGCAACATGTGGATTTGTGGGAGATGCAGATTCAATTGCAGTGGTGTGAAAAGGGCTTTTAGAGAAGTCTAGGGTTAGAGGGATTGGGGAAGGGGCTGTGAGAGCCCTAACCCAGCCTGGGTTTGGTGGGGAAGGTTTTCTGGAGGAGAGAGCATACAGTGAGGCCTCAAAGGATGAGAAAACTGGCCAGACAGGCAAAGGAACCTTATCTATTAAACAGTACTGATCTCTTTAACCAGACCAATTCAAATGTTGCTTCTTCCAAGGATTCTTCCCAAATTGGCAAGACCTACATAGCCCTCCCTCCAGGCCTGGCTTCATGGGCATGCAGCTTGTGTCCTCACATAGGACCCTGCACTCGGTTTAATCCTCTGCTGTTGTTGTCTTGAAATTAGTAGTAATTTTTGAACAAGGGCCCCACATTTTCCTTTTTTCACTAGGCCCCTCCAATTTTGCAGCTGGCCCTGCCTCCCTTAGGTCTTGTCACTTTTGACCTTGTATTACATTTGTCCACTCAAATGCCATATCTTTTGCCTGGTGAACACCTGCAATTCCAGGTGGGTCTGACTCATCTCTGTCCTCAGGGTCCAGCACAGAGGCAGGCACCCAAGAGACATCTGTAATGATGTTGGTGAGTGAAATAAGACCCTGCTGAAACCCAGCCATTTAATCAAAGCTAGGGTAGCATCCCGTGGGAAGGGGTGTGGCCCAGCTTGCACATGCTCCAGGAATTCAGGGGGGAAGAGATGGCTTCAGCTGGAGACAGCAGGAAGTGGTCCCCAAAGGACCCTCCACTGCTCTCCTCTTGTCAAAAGGCCCTGTAAACAGCGCAAAGTCCTTTCCGATGTGTAGTTTCACTTCTTCTAGCTGTGCAGGTCCCCTTCCCATCTCATTAAGCCCCTCCCCAGGCCTCTGGGTGTAGTGGCAAGAAGCTGGGAGGTAGGATGACAGCATCTTAATTTCCCTGCTAATTACAAGTGCTGGGAAGAGGGGTGCTAAATGCCAGGTAATTACCCAGGAGGAGACACGCGCCAGACTCCTGGCTGCTCCCAGCCCCAGGAATTTTGCTTTAATGGTTTTTTTTTCTTCTTCCTTTATTAAAAAAAGAGATAAAAAGAGTTAAGACCCTGGCCTTCTCTCTCCTTAGGCTTAGGAGGTAAAAAAAAAAAAAGGAATCTTTCTCCTAAACTTTTTCCTACCCTCTCCTTATCAAGGACCTAGATTTAGATGCTAAGCACTGGGTTTGCAAAGAGAGTCTGAAGAGCAGCAACCTCATTTATGCTTGAGTTAGGCTGAGGGTGTGGAATGGGATTGGAGCTGGTGGGAAGGGGAGCCCCAGCCCTCTGCGCTGCTCTGCTCACTACCCCAGACATACAAGCACACACACACACACACACACACACACACACACACACCCCTCCACTTTTGAGAATGGGAAACTGAGCTGCTTGTATTGTTTAGGATTGCAGGGTATGAGGAGTCAGGGAGGGGTCCCCTCTGTCGGCTCTCACTCCCAAGGGCAGGGGGCAGAGGAGGGGGCAATGTCACCCAGTTGCTTGGCCTCAGTCCCACACCCTGATGCCTGCCAGCTTCAGGCACAGCTTGAAAGGCTCCCAACAGGAAGCTATTAAGTTGATGAGCATTCTTGTGGTCCTGGATTGATACAGCGACGCTCTGTTTTGTAAAGCTGTTGTAATTTCCATAATAACATTTTCCTCTTCTTAAATAAACTTGGACTCTAGCCCGAAGAATGTGGCTGGCTTTGCCTGGGGAATTCAGGACCTGAGACTATGGAAGGAACACCCCGTTAAGGTGGGAAGGGGAAGGGAGAGTCACAGCTCCTCCAGCCCAAGGGCTGGGACTGCAACAGGCCAGTGGAGTCCAGGTCTGGCAACAATCTCAGAGGGCTCCATAACTTTGCTCTGGGCCTGGCCAGGGCTCCTGGATATATTCCTTTTATAGCACAAGGAGGCAGCCTAGTACAGTGGTTAAGATTATAGACTCCAAGTTTTGGTTATAGGACCACTATGTACTACTTGTGTGATCTTAGGTAAGTTACTTAATTTCTCTGTGCCTCAGTTTCCTCACCTGAAAAGTGTGGATAATAATAGTATGTAACATACGCTGTGAAGATTAAATGAGGTAATATATGTACAGTAGCTCATGCAGGCATGTGCTTAACACATCTTTAAAATAAATGTTCAGAGATGACCATGTCTCAGATAATTTTACAGTTCTAAGTATCCCAGGTTCCAGAGTCAGGGAAAAATAAAGTCTTAGCATTTTTGACTCACCAAACTATGAAAGTCTTAAGATTATTTGAATCACTGAACTACGACAGTCTTAAGATTATGTAGTAATGGAATCAAATAATAACTTTCAATGTGGACTCTTAGGCTATGAAAGAGAATGATATTCACATCTTGAGGCCTTAAAGGTCAGACTAGCTAGCTGTCCAGGATCTGCTCTAAAATCTCCATGACTGACAGCCCATTACCTCCTAAGGCTGCCCCTGGGAAGTTATTGAATATGGAACCCAGTTTTGCCTCCTTTTGTCAGCCCCTGTTGGTCCTAGTTCTCTCTGGCCACCAGAACTCATCTGCTTCCTCCTCCCACGAGAAACTGGGGAGAGATGGAGACAGCACCCAAAGCCTGCTCTTCTTTAAGCTGTTTCCTCTCAACTGGGCTTTCCATCGTGCCATTGCTGGGCTACCTTGGCTTGGCCAAGCCCCATCTCCTATTGTCGCAGTGTGAATACCAGGTAAATATGCCTGTGGCAGGGCTTAGAGGGATTTCTGTCACCCTCCATATCTCTTAACCTGGTCCAGGACCAGGCTCTTCCTGGCAAGTTAGCTTCCCTGGAGCTCAACTCCTGGAGCCCATTTCAGCAAATAGTTCCAGGAGTGAGCATGCGTGTATATGCATGTGTATGTGTGTGAGCCTATGTACGTGTGCCTCTGAGTAGAAGATTGGAAAGGGATTTTTGAGGCTGAATCTCAGAATTTAAGACTATCAAGACTAGAGAGAAAAGGAAGGAAGTACAATGGCTGAAGTTCTCCCAGTGGAGACTGGCCCAGTCCTCATCATGAGGGCACCTGCTGAAGTGGTCAGATGGGCAGTAGGCTAGCAAGGCCTTTGTCTTATGTAGCCTCCAACGGGTCTGCAGAACGTCTACAATATCCCATTTTATTGTTTCATAATTTCCCCATATTATTTCCTTTCAGAAGAAGCAAACAGCCTGCAGATGGGACACTTATTCACCCCTGATGCAAGTGTGACTGTGAGTTGAAGGCATTTCTCCCAAATGTAGCTTGCTGGGCACCTGGTGAGCATTGGGAAGATATGAAAGGCTGTATGGGTGTGTCCTGCACAAAGGTGTCTGGTGAGGGGCAAGTTAGGGCTGAGATCCAGCCAGAGCTCTGCTCATAAGACACACTCCCCTGGCCTGGGGCAATGTCCAACCAGAGGAAGGGGCACTTTTTTCTAATGCAAACACTGGTGTCCCAAGGTCTAGCAGCACACAAAAGGAGGTGGGTGGAGTGGGTGATAAAATAAGGGAAAATGCAAGCCCAGGAATATAGGAGCTGGGAAGGGTGAAATTTATCTGGCCTTTTCCTGAAGGCTTGCATGCTTCAGGCCTCCCCAGGAAGACAGAGCACAGGACTGACCCAGACCCAGTGCCTTCGTGTAAGAGCTCTAGTCCAACACAGGAAACAGACACCCAACCAACCATGAGGAAAAGCTGTGGGAGCTGGGGGTCGAGGGGTGGTCTCCAGATGCTCCCCAGCTCCAGGCTGTGAAGGATCAACAGGAGGACATCGGGTAGGAGGGCTGGGGTGGGAGGCCTAGGCAGCATGGTGACACTGGAGGGTAGGGAGTGATTCTCAGCTCCCATGCAGGGCTCAGGGTGAGGAAGACCTTTAGCACCCACTTGATGCACGAGTAAGTGACTGAATGCGGGTACATGGGTGCCCGTGGGGGAACTGGAGAAAGGTGAAACTGGGGAGGTGGGCAAGGCCTGGATCTGCAGGGTCCCCTGGGCTGTATGTGAAGACGCTCAAATGTTTCTCTTATTGGTGACAGGGAGCTATTGAATGACTGATGAGATCCGTTGTAACAATCATTCTGGCAAAGGTGTGGAGATGGCTCAGAGGATTGAGCTGGGAGCAGGGTGGCCTCAGCCACATGTGCTACCATGGCTCTGAGCAGGGTGAGTAGGCCTGGGCAGAGTTTGGTGCAGAGCCCTCAGAAGGCTGAAGAAGGCAGGGCTGCATGGATGCAGAGGCACTGTGCGTGTTCCCCAAGCCTGGCTCTCACGGGTGTGGGGCTCCTTCTCCACCAGCAGCAGTATTTCCTGCCTGGACCCTGAGCCTGCCAGTCAGAAGCAGCATCTGGTATCTCTCCCAGGCTGGACATGAGCTTGGAATCCAGGGACCACCTGAGTCAAACCAGCAGCTCTGACCCCAATTTCAGGCAGGGGGTGATGTCACACCTCTTGGATTCTGTGGAGGAGGAGCTGGAGGCGATGGGGGCCACATAGAACAGAGAGCAGACAGTAGGGCAAGGCAGTGGGGGGCACTGGGGTCTGAAGAATAAGAAAGCCTGGGGCAAGAGGATGCTGTTTGAGCCCAGCTCTGCAAGGCGACTGTGTCCAGGTCACCACTCCCAATCCTGCCCATTGGGAGAACTCATAGAAGGAACATCAACCCAAGGAAGGGGTACAAGCACCTCCGCAGCCCCTTCGTTTTTCTGATGGGGATTCTGATGTCGAGGGTTTTCTAGCCTGCTTTGAAGAGGCATGTTTAGAAAAGGAGAGACTCTGACACCCGTAGAGGGCCGTGGGGTGGGGGTGTACTGTAATTGACTAGGGGGTACGCAGTGCGCACAGGAGGCTGGGGCTAAAGCCGAATGACTGTTCTTTCCTCCGTATTTCCTGTGGCCTGGCATTCAGGACCCTTTCTGTTGAGTCCTCTCCTGTTTCTGTGTCCGCTTCTCTACCTTAAGCTCCTCCTCCCCACACCCCCTGGATCCCAGCTCCTCCCTCTTCTCCAAACAACTCCCTCCCTCTTCTGCCTCCACCTGCTGCACATCCTGTGTCCCCGAGGCACCCTTTCCCACCTGCTCTCAGCTCAGGTGCCTCTGTCCTGGCTGGCCTCCCTTGCCCTGTTGCTGCCCTCTCTTCCTGCTTCAACTTCCAGCCTGAACCAGGTCTCACCCTTTTCTTGTAGAAAACCTTGTTTCACCTTGAATTGTCATTACTTGTGTCCGTGTGATTGGAGTCAGATGGGCTGGTTTGAAGCCCTGCTCTGAAGAGTGGTGGAAATTTGGGTGTGGTGCTTAACTTCCTCATGACTCCATTTTCTCATTTCTAAAACCAGATTCTTGAATATGGGCCTTGTAGACAGGGTGTCCATCTGTCCTGGCTTGCCTGAGACGTCCCAGTTTCTGCCTGTTGTCTCTGTGTAATTATTAATAGAGTGCCCTTTTACTCACAGAAGTGTCTTAGTTTGTATGATAAATTATACGTTCACTCTACTCATAAAGCTCTTACGAAGATCAAATTAGATGATACCATGAGATAATCCACGTAAAGTTTCTCAGCAGAGTGCCTGGCATAGAGTAAGTGCTCATTAAATCTTTGCTTTTGTTATTTCTCTCTCCAGCAGACTGAGCTTGTTGAGGGAGGGACTGTGTCTGATTCAGTTACAATTACCAGATGAGAATGGCCAATTATGAGAGAATTCAGAGTACAATCAAGTCCAATAAATGCCATAGTGATGCTGAGGACAACTTTGTCTCTCTTTCATGACTGAAAAGCATTACTGCAACTTTATTACCCACCTCCTCTTTGCACTGTGCTGTGGCCCAGGAGCACTGAGCAAGGGAGCCACATATCTTATGTACCTGCTGCGTACAAAGCGTTCTTCTTTCCGTCATTGAGTCCTCACATTCAGCCAGAGAGGCAGGTCTAGTGCTAAGGGACTATGGCCATTAAAGAGCAGTTCTGTTTTAGGATTATAAGAGATAGGACTGGGAGTGGTGAGAGGTGAACCTGGGGCGTTTGCAGGGAGCACATGGCTCAGGGCGTGTGAACCACAGGAAAGGAGCATGTCCTGTTCTTCGAGGGCAAAACCCATGGAAGGGTCTTAATCCAGGAGTGACATGGCATAGTCAGATCTGTATTTCAGAAAGATCTTTGGGCCAAGTGTAGGGGCTCACACCTGTAATTCCATAATTTTGAGAGATCGAGGCCAGGAGGATTGCTTGAGCCCAGTAGTTTTGAGACCAGCCTGGGTAACACCGTGAGACTCTGTCTCTACAAAAAATTTAAAAATCAGCCAGGTGTGATGGCTTGTGCCTGTAGTCTCAGCTACTCAGAAGGCGGGGGTGGGAGGATCACTTGAGCCCAGGAATTTGAGGTTTCAGTGAGCTATGCTTGTGCCACCACACCCCAGCCTGGGCAATACAGTGAGACCCCATCTCTAAAATAAATAAAGAAAGATCTGGTGTGGGATGAACTGGAGGGGTGTGAGGCCAGATGGGAGATGACCATCATAGTAATCTAAATGGGAGATAATAGGGGCAAATGAGCCAGAGAATTGTCTAAGATATTGGCTCTCATAGAGCTTAGCACCATGCCTGGCACACATGTGGTTATATTAATTAATAATATTCATTATGAAAACAATAGTAAGAAGAATACTTATGCCTATTTATTGAGTCTTATGATGTGTGATATAAAGTACTTTATCCACACTGTTTTGTTTAATCCTTGTAAACTATCCTATCAGGTAGATGCTTTACTATCCCTATTTTACAAATGAGGAAACTGAGGCCCAGAGAAGTTAGGTGCTATGCCAAAGGTCACACACAACTGGAGAGAAAGAAAACTTCAAGGCACAACTGTCCAACTCAGAGCTTATGCTCTAATTAAGCCACCACACCAGCGGCCTTGGAGGTATTTCTTGGGCAGTCCTGGGCACTGAGGAGAGACCCAGCAGGAGAAGCCTGTGTCAGGCTGGCCTTGGAGGAGAGAAGGAAGGGGTAAGTTTATTGTGTAATGGGGTGTCTGAGTGAGAAGAGCTCCTGTGGAATTTCCAGGGCAGTTTCTGTCCCTGGAAGTTTCCTCCCACTGATACAAGCCAAGGTAGACCTAGGGGAGGGAGAAACAGGCAGGAGAGGGATCCGGCAACCTCCCCCCACCCCAACAGGTTTTGGTTCCCTGGTGCTTCTAGGATCATCTGTCTTCTGGTACCAGCTCCTTGCAGAGGAGCCATCTTGTTTCCTCCAGAGACCACCATCTCTCTCCTAATTGGTGGAAAATTGGTTGCTAACTGTCAGGAAATTGCCGATTTTCCATCCATTACTGGGAGGACCAGGGCTGTGTAGCTGTGGGGGACTCTGGGTGGGAAGCAGACGTTGATTAGGCCTTGTAGTTAACGATTAGGTTTGTGGACCTCCTCAGGCAGTCCTCCCAGGCTGCTTATTAACTCCCTGTGAAGACCCATTGGGCAGGAGATATTGGTTAAATGGAACGCAGAGCCACAAAAGAGTTACTATTCATTAGGCCTTGGTTGTGGGGAGGGGGGAGACCGGGGAACAAACTGTGGCCTCAATCCAGGAATGTTAAACAGCCCCATAAGCTGGCAGAGAACTTTATAATTGCTGCTATTAAAATATATGTATTTATATAGGTGATTTGTTGGAGGAAAGAATTTCAGCATTCGGGTGAGATCCCTGCTATGATTTTACCGAGGATTAAGTTGTTAGGGACTAGATATTAATTAACGCTGAGGGCCCCAATCCTTTCCTAATTAGCTCATGGAGTATAATTTGCCTGCAAATGCTACTGTTACAATCACCTTGAATTTGTCTGGAGCTCTCCTCCAGTGCGTCAGGTGGGATTTACCCCATTACATGAGCAGAAGGGAGGGGAGGGGCCAGGAGGCCTGGGCTCCACTCCCAGCCCCTGCTCCTGATTCATGAGGAAAGGGTCTTTTTCTGGCTTGTCGCCTACAATGAAGAAGTACTTAAGGGAAGGGATGCGATATGTCTGAGTAGCCCTTCTCAGCTGGGACACTGAGACCCATGCTGTTGGTGAACAGTCAACGCAGGACTGAGGATGAAAATACCTTAATGCCCATGCTCTTCTGGGTTCTCCACAACCTGAGAGATCTAAAGGACTTGCCTAGGGGAAGTCAGAGAGTTCTTCTATGGGGCTTTAACTTCAATTGTCCACAGGGCTCCTTTCTGAACAGCAGGAAATGAGGGCTTTTGTCAGTTTCTGTGACAGGTAGAACCGTGCACCCAGCAGTTCTCACCTGCTAGTAAACCCCAGGTGGGCCCCTCTGTCCTCTGACCAGTCCATCCCTATTCCCTGAAAACCATGTGGCCATCAATACTGGTTCATGCTCTACCTGCTCTAGAAATTCTTCTCTTCTGCTCACCACCTTCTCTGCCTAGCAAACTCCTACCCATCCTTTAGCACCTGATTCAAATGTCCCTTCTTTATTAATCCTTTCCAGATTGTCCCAGGCAGGGCTAATTAGGCCCTTCCCTAACTCTGCTTTTCATGAATCCTCTGTTCAAGCCTTTAGCTAACCTTGCTCTGCAAGATGGCTGTTAATGCCTTGGTCTCGCCTATCAGACAATGAACTTCTTAAAGGCAGGGGCCTGACAGTGTCTAATCAACTTGAAATCTGCACAGCCCAGAGCAGAGTAGGTGTCGAAGTTGGTTGAGCTTAGTTTATGTTTGGCTTGTACAGTGTCTTCAGGAAAGGGCTCCTGGTCCTTTGTCCCTGGTATGAAGAGGAAAACAGACTTTGAGAATAGGTGGGGCCCTGGTCCTTGGTGTTCTCTGGGGCTGTGAGGTCTGGATGCTCTTCTCAGCCCTGGCATAGGTGGTTAAGAGGGAGTCTTATATCCCCACCTTACCCTGGGCTTCTGGGCCCGGGGAAGGGGCAGGTTGAGAAGTCAAAGCCTGTATCTTTCTCTCTTTCTTTCTGAGATCCCTAACACAGACCTGGGCATACAAATGGGGTTTGGCAGGAGGAAATGAGGCTGCATTGCACTGTATCAATTGGCCATGATGCAACCCACAAAAAAGACTGAGAACAGTTGTTCAAACACAGGCCTATAGGCCAGTGATCTTGCCTGTAGCAACCTGGGCTAGAGACTGGGGATCAAAAGCAAGGGAGGTGCTGCTGACTGTGAATATAAACAGGTTCAAGAAGGGCTTAAAGAAATTCCTAGATGACAGATCCCTAGCAGGTAACAGGTCATTAATAACCATGAAAGATGATGATGGTAATAATAATAATAATTAATAATAATAGCTTCAAGGGAGCTTTCATACTTTTAAAAGCTTTTTTCCTACCAGTGTCTCATTAGATACTCACCACTGCTTTGGGGAGGGTGTAGATGCGCAGAAAGGTGAAAGGACTTGCCTGAGGCCACACAGCTTGTTCAGGTTGTTCAGGGCAAAGCTGGCACTAGATTCAAGGGGCGTTCCTGACTCCTTCCCCAGGACTTTCTTTGAGGGTGGGGTAAACTATTGATAGGAGATATTGGGTGTGTCCTGAGCCTAGAGCCTCATTCCTGTCCTCCTCTTCCCATTTCAATGGCCCCAGTCCTGCATCATCATACGGTTCCCGTAAACCCTTCATTCTAAGGTGTTCACCGTGGACAGCAGAAATCAGCGTCCTAGCCCTGTCACTGATTTGTCATGTGACACTGAGCAACAGTCTTCTGCTCTCTTCAGTTTTCCCATTTGTGCAAGGTGATGGTTGGATATTCTGGGAAGTTAACCTTTCAGATCCACTGATTCCTCTTGGTAAAATGGGATGGTGGAAGTACCTGTCATGAGGTGTAATTGACACATGCATGTAACCAGCTTAGCAATATGCCTGGCACAGAGTGAGCACTCAACATATGTAAGTTTTGGGCAATATCTGAGAGAATAGACCCCAAGGTGAGACACTCCAGGTTGTTATAGAACAGGCTGGGGAGAGAATTGTGTCGTCTTCGGGTGGTTGGTCTGCTGTTCCCCTGCTCAAGGGTTTTCAAGCTGGGTTCTGTGGACCCTATGGGCTTCTGGGGAGTCTTCCTCAACTTTCATCTTTGCAATGGTCCCTTAAAACATTTTTGGTGATCTGTATTCTTACTAGAATCTGGAAGGGGCTATTCTGTAAGCGGAGTGAGGCTTTAGAAGTTTTGTGAGTTCACCAGATGCATCCCATCTTAACTGTGTGAGAACATTTGTTCTGAAGCTAGTTTATCTTATTCTATCCTCGCATTGTCCTGTAATTTGCTCTTGAGAGGAGCACTTGTTCTAAATGACAATCAAGGTCCCCCTTGGAGAGTGAAAGGGGCCAGTGCTGCCACCTACAGACAGAAAGGTGATTAGATTCATTTCATAAAGAGCCTGGTTAAAGAGCAGCAGAAAAAGCAAGGAGAGCTTTTGTCAACAGCCCCAAAAGTCTCCCTCACCTTATTACCCTACTATTTAAAAATCTATCATGTTTACCACTATTATCTTCAGACATCTTACATTAACAGAAATCACTGATTGCAAACCAGGATGCATATAGTGCCATTTCCATTTGGGGGGCCACCACTGGAGCCCTGAAATCACCATGGCACCTTGTATAAGAGATGAGATGATTCTGTATCCATTTATTGATTGGCTCAGTACATATTGTATCATTGCTTTAGTACTGGATCAAAATTGTGAAGGTCTTGTATCTTTGCAGAATTTGCAAAACTTTGGCTTAACAGATTCCATTGGGATGGGATAATCTAAATGTAAGTACCAAGAATTGACCAAATGGGGAATTCTTACTCTTGAGGTTTAGTGAGCTCACAGGAGTTTCCTCCAGAGTTTTCTTAGGCCAGTAGGCAGATGCAATCTGTCCAGTGTGGGGAGCCAGGAAGAGAGATCTGATCTCTGCAATTCAGGGCTCATGGTGAATTTGAGATTTACTGCCAACTTTCCTTGGCCACAGAGATTGTGAACAGGAAGTGAAACTTGGGCCAGACAGCCTGGGGGTGCAGAGCTAATATAGACTGAGGAAGGCAAACATGTATAGATCATTCGCAGGGCAACCCATGCTAAAGCATCACTACAAATCCACTTATCAAATGTTTTCTCCATTCATCAAAGGAAAAAACAGGAGCTCAGAGTGGGGAACTGCCCTGTGCAAGGCCCCCAGCAGATGGAGAATGGAGTCAGGACCAGAATCCAGGCCTTCTGACTCCTTACCATATGCTTTCCAGGGAGACTGGCCTCCTAACCCTTCATTCCCTGTAGACAACCTGACATTGCAGGTCCTTCTCCACTTCAGAGTTTATAGCTAGTTCTCTTGAAGACCCACCTGAAGTAGCAGTCATGGATACAGACACAGGACAAAGGTTCAGGAGCCCCCAGAGTTCTCTCAAACATTGTCTCTACTCAGATGCTCCTGATGCCTCCTGTTCACAGTAGGTGACCTCCTGGAATAGGGCCTGGCTCCCTACCCAAAACTCCCTTTCCTGGAGGGCTATGGAGATGAAGCTTAATCTTTAATGAACTGGCTTTCAGTTTAACGGCTCCCTTGGCAATGATTAATACCCAGTGACCTAGTCTGGCATCTAGTGAACCTGACCAGGCCTGACTCAGGAGAGTGTTGGTGGCCTTCAGGCCCAAGTGTGGGCTCATATGCAGGTGGAAGAGGCTTGACAAGTGCTGGAATGGCTTCCTACCTAAGAATATATTCTCTGTCCTGTGCCTGAAATTCTGTTATTTAGGTGGTCATTCCTCAGACGTAGGGTATCACAAATGTACCTGGCAAGAGGAGCTAGTCACATAAGTTGTGTTTCAAATACTCCTTGGGCTGTCGTTTGGCAGTTCTGGTGTCCAGCAGCTCAGAAGAATTACAGGATTCATGACTTTTAATCCCAGGTTAGCAAGCTGATGAAATATCACCGGATCTGCAGTGAAATTAGACTGTAAGCTTCTTGTGGGCAAAGACAAGGGTCTGGAGATGTATAGGGAGAGAACACAGATTTGGAGCTGGAAAGGCCTTGTTGCAAAGTCCAGCTCTGATAGTCACTAGCTGTGAGGACTTGGGCAAGCCTCCCTAAGCCTCAGCTTATTTGTCAACCAAATGGAGAAAATAATACCTCTCTCTAGACTCTTCAGAGAATGAAATGAGAAAGTATATGTAAAGTGTCTGATTATTACAGAGACACAGACTTAAGCCAGGCACAGATGCTGTTCCTTCCTTCATTTTCTCTCCTCTTAAGTTTGACTTAGCTGACCCTTTGTAGTGAGGAAGAGAAGATCTCTGGTTCATCTGGGGAGAAGAATTTTTCTTATGTACTTTGGGATTTTTACAAGGATGGCCTTTCTCTGTGAGACTGGACAGTTAGCCAGATGTCAAGGCTCCATCCTATCCTACCTGTTGAAGCATCTGGAACCATTGAGCAGGGCTGGGTCCATCGCCCTCAGTATCTCCTTGCCTCTTCTGATGATTATAAACATTGCAAACTGAGAAACTGCATTGGTCAGAGTCTGTCACAGTCTCCTGCCTCTGTTTTGCGTCTTGATACCAGCCCGCATTAACCATGGGTCTGGCAGCAACTCCCTCCCTCTGCTGCCTGATGGATGCTCTCACACGTTGGCACCTCTGGCATGGTGTGGAGATGTGGCATTTCAGTTCCCTGCCTAGGCTACTGCAGAGTTTGTATCCTTCATCTTGAGAGGCATGACCAGGAGGGACACCAAATGGAAAGGTGCTATTCTTCCCTCTATGCTCCAGTGCCAGGTGGCACTGTCCCTGACTGCCTGAACGTGCCATCCTCTTTCATGTTCCTGTGTCTTCCTCTTCCTCTTGCCTCTGCCTGGAATGCCTTTCCTAGAAGCTCTGTCTGGAGAGCAGCTCATCATTCAGCTCAGGAACATCTGATGGGCAAGGACAAGGGTCTGGATGGGAGAGATGTGTGGGAAAAGAACACAGATTTGGAGCTGGAAAGGCTTCAGTGCAAAGTCTGGCTCCAATAGTCACTACTTTCCACTACTCTGTGTGTATCTATTTACCTGCCCATCCCTCTTACAGTCTGGAGGCTCCACGAGGAGCCCCCCAGTCCTGGCCTGGAGCTCAGTGCCCAGGACTATGTTCCTGGGACTGCTGAGATGAAGTCATGTGTGAAGGCAGGAAAGTAGCTTCTGTGACCTCCCTCATGAAGACAGATCGGGAGCTAGGGTTGGAGGTCAGGCAGGCTGAGCAGGGGACCACAAAGCCCCCAGCAGAAGCCATGGCCCCTTCTCTGTTTTGGTTTTGCTTTTGTGGGCTTTTCACTTCAGAAGTTAATCTAGTTAATGCCAACAATGTCATTTAGGCAAGCCAGCAATTTCCTTTTGCCCTTTATTTAACAAGCCCTCACCCCACCCCAATCTCTATAATAAAGGCATGCAGGTGGGTAATTACAGAGGTGTAAAGTGAGGGTGCTGGGCCAGGGCCAGCTGAGCATTCTGGAGCATCTGCTGGGGAGGGTCCTGGGAAACTCCGCAGCTCCGCTATTCAGTTTCAGGTAGGGACATAGAGTCTTAGAGAGGGTGAGGCATTTATACAAGGCTACATAGCAAGTAGAAGGCAAAACCAGGACAGGATCCAGGTCCTTTACGCTTAGCTGAGGTCCTTTCCACTCCTTAGTGCCAGTACTGTCACCGTACCTGTGTCCTGTGGAGCATCCCACAGATGTGCCTGCTGTCTGTCCATCAATCCGTCCATCCGTCAGCCCGTCTCTCCATCCATCCATCCATCTATCCATCCATCCATCTATCCATCCATCCATCCATCCCTCCCTCCATCCACTCATCCACTCATCCATCCATCCATCCATCTATCCATCCATCCATCCATCCATCCATCCCTCCCTCCATCCACTCATCCACTCATCCATCCATCCATCCATCCACCCACCTATGTATCCTATAGATACTTATTGAGGGCCTACTACATGCTAGGCACAGTGAATAATGACCACGACTGCAGCAGCTCTGTGATCATCACAGAGATGATGATCTCAGGTCACAGTCTCACACTCAACCTGATGGAGGCATGATGTGTGCACCGATTATTTTAATAGAGAGTGGCAGGTGCTATGTCAGATGTGAGCATTGTGTCTCTGTGGGAACACATACAACTTCTCAGAGGAGAGAATATGGCAGTGTCGTTATTCTTGAAGGACAAATAGTTGTCTGCAAAAGGTGGTGTGTGAGGGCAGGGAAAGTTTTTTAAAGAATCTGAGAAGATATTTATCCAAATGTTAACAGAGTTCATCCCTGGGGACTGGGATTTACAGGGTAGTGGCTGCAAGGAGGTATAGGACAAATTTTACTTTCTATTTTCTACCTTTGGTATTGTTTGAATTAGAGTGTGTATATTAGCATTTTAATAATGCTATAATTTTGAAAAAATAGTATAGTGTATTTAGAGAATAAAAAATGTGACAAGTACAGAGTGCTGGAGGGGGAAAGGAGAATATGGGGTCAGCTGGGCTTTATCTAAGAAGACCCTGAAATGCTGGGCTGAGGGGTTTGGGTTTTAACCACAGGGGCCCATGGCTGTGAGGGTAGAGGCCACATCCACAAAGCCTAGAAATGTCTGCACATAGTAGATGCTCAATTAATCTATACCTGATGTTGAATGAAAGGGGAAGGCCACATAACGTGGAGTCATCTAAGGTCAAAGAAGAGGATTGTAAAGGTGTGGTGCTTTGCTGCCATGTGTTGGTGACAGTGGGGAACCCACTACGGGAGAGTGTGAACCTGCAGAAGTGGGTAGACTGGTATGGAGAATTCTATAATGTGAAGAGAGAAAAGAATGCTGTGGCTTCTTCTTAGATCAGAGGAGTGTGGAATGGGTCAGATCCAGGGACCTTGGCATAAGTTGGCAACCATAGGACATACTTTTTTATAATAAGGAAATACCCCACACAGAGGCTTCTCTAGACTAGATAAAAGTTTTTGGTGTCCTTTGTGGCTAAAACCTGATCAAAGCAGGCTACTACCATCTTTTGCCTCCCAGATAGTGTCTTCTTCATTTCCCCAAAGACATCTTCAACACAGCAGAGGAGGGGACATCCTAAAAAGCAGCTCTGACCCTGCTGCCTTCTTGCTTGAATCCTTCAGGGTAAATTAAGTCCCCTTGCCCCAGCTTAGGAGGCCTCAGTGTCCTGTTCCTTGCATATTTCTCCAGCCTCATCTCCCATGCTTTCTTACTCAAACCCTACCTGCAGCCAAAAGTGTGCTATACTATTAAATGTATTTACTATTAAATATGCTCAATATACTTACTACTTAAAGCACCATGACACCTCATTGACCTCACTATTTGCATACCTATCTCTCTCCTGCCACACCACCCATCTCCCCCTCCTCCCTGATTATAAGCTTCTTGATGCCAGGGACTATTTTTTTGCCACTCCCAGCACTTTGCACAGCAGCTGGAGCATACTGGGTGTTCAGTATTTGTTGAAATAGTGTGTGAACAAATAAAAGGGCCCTTCTGCAATGATTTCTCTTGTGAAATAAAATATCTTATCACACTTCTACCTTCTCTTTCCTCAAGATGCCAAGAGGGTCTAACATCCCTGAAAGAGACAGCCTCTTGCCCTGGAAAGATGCCAGAGAGGGAAGCAGGAGACTTGAGTTCTGATCCGGATCTCTCTGCCGTTGGGTGATCCCCTGCCCTCCTCTGGACCTCAGTTTCCCCATCTCTACAGTGAGGATAATAATCCTAGTG
Source organism: Homo sapiens (assembly GCF_000001405.40). Lineage (NCBI taxonomy): Eukaryota > Metazoa > Chordata > Mammalia > Primates > Hominidae > Homo > Homo sapiens. Next base: position 48,066,772 of record NC_000001.11, read on the forward strand.
CTATTTCCCCATAGAAATGTTGTGAAGCTCAAAGGTGAGACCAAAATCACTCATTGGACAAACTCCAGGCAGGGTGGGAGTGTTGGCTGGGTAGATGTGGTCATCTGCCAAGTGGCCATGCTGAGGCTTTGGGGGCTCTACTCCCACCACCAATGGGGTCCTTCTCAGAGACTTGCACTCTCTTCTTCCAGCTCACTCATATTGTGGGGCTCAGAGAATGTTAATTATTAGGGCCCAGCCCACATGGAGGGCTTAAGATGAAAGCAAGCTCAGAGTGTAAAGTCTAATCAATGCCCCACACTTGGCGTCAGGGCCTCGGCTTGGTCTGCTTGGAGATGGATCATTAATCTAGACACTCCGACTTGGAACACTGGGCACAGGAAGTCCTGAAACATTCCTGACCACCCACAGCTCAGCCTGTCAGCCCCATGAGGCAGCCAGTCCTGCCACTGACTTGCAGAATTTTACCATCTCAAAGTTAGATCAGACTCAAAGAGCAGCTGGTCTAGACTCCCACCCAGGGCAGAAGTACAGGTTCTGTTTGTACACTCGCCATTGTCCAAGAGCTCATTATCCGGAGTGTGTGTGCTTGAGGAGTGGCGCTGGACTTAGAGTGGACAGATGCATGTGACTTGAAGCCCTGCCTTCCCCTTCTGTAAAAGTGGGATGAGGTTATTGACCTCACGGGATCGATGTTAGAAATAAATTAATTTTCTTGAAAGTGTTTTATTTCAAGATTTATGAGAATGATATTCACATGTGAGTTGCTATTATCATTCTTGACATTATAAGCTCCTATCCCTGGGATATATTAATTTCTTCATCCCCAGAGTCATCTTCTACAAAGAGTGGCTTCTCTGGTTGAACACTTTATGACCCCTAGGGGGTTAAATATAAAGTAAGGACTCCCTTGCCTTGCACCCAAGACCCTTCTCTCCCTCATCAACTGAATCTCTTGCTTCTCCCCACCCATCAACTGCCCCCTGAGACACAGCAAACTGATCTTTTATAGCTGTTAGCTTGGTGCATTGAAGCTCCCATCCCCTTTTCTCTGAGAGAATTTCTACTCATCTTTCAAGGACTTGCTTCAAATGTTCTGTCTTCTGAAAAGCCTTTCCAGTTCCCTATCAAAAACCTCTGGTGAAGTTATTTGTTGCTTCCCCTGGCTTCTCATGACATGTAGCTCTTACTATTATGGTACCAGAGTATAGTATTTAGGTTTTAGCTATTTTTCTTCTTGAATGAATAAATAATATTAAAATGCAACTTTCCTGGGGACTGGCATTTTAATTATGGTCATTGGTTCCTTGGCATGATTTTTTTAAACAGCAGAGTACCTGGGCTCTGGAAAAAATAACTCTAGAATCTAAGAGATCTGGGTATGAATCTATTAGACTCAACCTCTTCAAAGCCGTGTGACCTTGGATGTCATTTTATCTCTCTCAGTCTGTTTCCTCATTTGAACAAAGAGGAATTTAACAAAGCCTACTTCTTAGGGTTCTTGTGAGGATTATAAGAGTTATCTACACTGAATAGTAGAATATCTCATCCTGAGGATATCAGTCATGCTATCTGGGTCCCAGCTCTGCCTCTCTGGCTCTCTCTCTGTAAGATAACATGATCCGACTATCTCTGCAAGATAACATTTCTCAAGCTGTGATCCTTGGTCACAGAGCTCTACCATACAGGCCATGGCTTTCTGAGAGGCCATTCTTGGCCTGTATCACACAGCTTCATTCTTACTGATTTCTTAGGTAGTCTGGTTTGTAAAGGCCCTTTGCCTCTGATCTCTCATGATGCCATGATTTCATGAGTGAGGCAGGTAACTAGAAAGAATTGTGATGAGGGAACAAGGAACGACAAGGGACAAGAGGTTGAGAGACTTGCCTGGTCATGTCCTAGGCCATGGTTTGAGAATCCCAGGCACCTGGGGAGGTAGAGAGGACAGAGCTTTGTCTATCTTTGCATATTGCCTTACTCATGCCTTGCATGGTGTCCAGCAAAGAATAGGTGTGAAGTGAGTATCTGCTGAATGGAGACCAGGAGAGTCCACAGGAATAGTTCTTCAGACCAGATAAACTGAGATGATGCCCAAACCAACCAGGCCTGTCCCAATGACTGTCTTGGGGAAAGACCCATTGAATTCACTCACTCAGCCTAGAAGACTCAAATTCCAACCTCAGTGGCCACTACAGCAGATCACATTTTCACATTGGGATACAGAGACTTCCTAGAGAGGTGCAGGTCTGAGGAGAGAAAAGGGCCAGAAGAGCTTCCTGCTCAGGGAAACTGAGGTAGGCAGCAGTTTCCTGAGATGACACTGAGCATCTCAGAGGAGGCATCAGGAGCATCTGAGTAGAGACAATGTTTGAGAGAACTCTGGAGGCTCCCGAACCTTCGTCCTGTGTCTGTATCCACAACTGCTACTTCAGGTGGGTCTTCAAGGGAACTAGCCGTAAACTCTGAAGTGGAGAAGGACTTGCAAGGTCAGGTTGTCTACAAGGAATGGAGAGTTGGGAGGCCAGAACTCCTCCCAGAAAGGAGCCCAGGAAGATCATTGATGGGGACAGAATTCCAGAGCCGAGGAGGGCAGCAGGCAGAGATCCTGGGGTTTACAAGAAAGAAGAAACACGAAGAGCATTGGGGAATAAAATGAGCCTTGTCAGCCACCCTCATCACTGACATTGTAAGCTCATAGAGAACAGGACCGGGGCTCCGTGTGGTTTAGAGGACAAAACCTGGGGGCACTCCGCTACCAGCATGGGCTCTGCATTGTGCTTTGCAATTAGTGGATGCATGAAAAACACTCCTTGAACTCAATTTCCCCTCTTCCATTTTACCCCTTTATTTTAAGCTCAGATCTTCCTCCTCCAGATGGAGTTCTCCCATCTGATTACAGAAACTGGAACAGTGAATACAGAAATCCTAGGATGTTGGAATTTTAAGAACGTTCCACGATGCCAAGAAAAATAGCTCTGTGATGAACCAATGGCATCATGATGGCAGATCTGGAAAATACATTCGACTCTGTCTGAGTCACAATCTTATAGGACCACAGAAACCTTGAGTTCATCCAGTCTACTAGATGGAGAAGTGGAGGCCCTGGGAGGGGCAGAACTTTCTGGTAGCAGAGACAGGTCTGGAACCAAGGACTGGCCACTCACCCGGCTCTGATCGGATGCCAGGCCTCAGCTGTCGGGCTCTTCTAAGAGCTGTCTGACATGTGTAGCTTTACCTTATCAGGAGGAAGGAAAGATGACAGGGGGCAGTCATTCCTGGCCAAGCATCCATCAAGACCCACATAAATATTTTCCCAGCATCTGCATGGCTGGCATCTAGTTGGCTAGGTTCCAGGTGACAGTAAATAATTCAGATGACTGGTTACTTCCTGGCCACTTTCTTGGGTGTGTCTTCTGACAACTGTGTTTTCTTGGAATGAATGTTGATGAGACCTTGATAAGGGCAGTATGCCAAGCCCTTCCTGGACTCTCTGATGGCATTTCTGGTCAGGAAGAAAGTACCCTTGGGGACTTGATGTGTCAGCGTGCTTGGGGTAGAAGATTACTTTCACTCAGTCTGAAAGGCCTTTCAAGTGGGGCCAGGAATTAGTTTCAGTGATTAGGGTGGGGTGAGGTTAGAGACTCCGGAACAAAAAAGTCAGAAGAAATCAACTCAATTGAGGTAAAATGGGTAAGTTTGACCAAAGGCATGTTGGGGTCTTGGCAGAGAAGTTGGTGGGGGAAGACAAAGGTAGTATTGGAGCTGGCATAGCCTCAGGCTATCAGAGTGACCAGTTTTGGAGATCAAAGTTCAGGAGGGGGTGTGGTATTTAGGCCCCATCCATTCTGATGCCTCATCCAGGGCCTCTGACTAGGGTTGGCAGTGGGTATCTCAGGGACATGCATGGCAGTCTTGGAAGGCAGGTTCTCCACGTCCTGTCTGGTTTATAATAGGACGTCAGTCAGCGATTTGAGGAAACGGGAATAGAGTAGATAGCAGGAAACATCTGAAAGAGTGGCAGGGCTAGAGAGTCTCAGTGCAGTTGAACCTGAGACAGGCCTTAGGAAAATCAGACAAATTCTAGATCTCAGCCTCCAGTAGGAGGGGCTCATTATCCTCTCTGCATTAGACAGGGTGGGCTCAGGATCTGAGGAAGCGGGTCTAAGTGTGCGACGTGAAGGCTTTCAGTTCCTATACTTGCTCAGGGTGAGGGAACCAGGCTGGCATTGATGCAAAGACCAAGCCTTCTGTCACTGAAGGACAAGCACGTTGTGTCTGCGAGTGGATGAGGACATAGAATCCCAAATGGCGGGAGCTGGAAGGACCCATACCCACAAGGTCTTGCCTGGGCCTCACAATGAAATTATTGGGACCCTGTGTCCCATATGTCTTGATTTCCAGCCTCCAACCCCATATGGTTGCTCTTGGGACCCAGTAGAGACCACAGTTGCTCTACCCCTGAGAAAGGCAGGCGATGGGATTTAGGAGGCCCAATCTGACTTCCTGTATGTGGTTTTTGTTGATTAGGAATAGGACTCTTCAATCTGCAGCATGGACTTATCACCCAGGCATTTGATAAAACTGTTTTGAATCAGCCCATAATCTAAGCCTGTACATTCTCTAGGGATGGGAATTCCTAAATTCACTTCTTCCTAAACTACTGCATGCACATTTGTTCCGATTTTGAAAGGAAATGCAGAATCGTTGAAAACGATGGGCATTGGAATCAGATGGCTTGGGTTCAGGTACAGGTTGAACCAACTGTGTACTCTTGGTCATACCCCTGAATCTCATTTTCTTCACTGGAAAAATGGAGAAAGGGTCATCAGAAGGCTTACATGAAGTAATGTGCCTAAAGTGCCAAGTACAGTTCCTGGCACAAAGTAGATGCTTAATAAGTGATTGCTGACTTATGCAATATTTTGTTAAGCACATAAGACCTGGGCTCTTATTTTAGATCCACCAAAATCAGACTATGTGTCTTTGGGCAGCTGCCTCTCACTCTGAGCCACAGTTGTCTTCAGTAACATGGGGAAAATAATGGCCTCCTCACCAGGCTATTGAGAAGTTTTAATGAGATGCTTGTAAAGTCTCCCAGGCTCCTCCTGGTTCTCAGGTTTAGGGGAAACTGCCTTATCGTGTAAACGATTGGAATGTGTGAGCTCACTTTCCACATCCTAACGGATATAAAAGCCTCTGATTCTAGGCTAGAAGCATTCCCCTGCCCACCTCATCCTTTTTATATTTTTTTTGAGACGTATTCTCACTCTGTCACCCAGGCTGGAGTGCAGTGGCGCGATCTCGGCCCACTGCAAGCTCCGCCTCCTGGGTTCACACCATTCTCCTGCCTCAGCCTCCTGAGTAGCTGGGACTACAGGCACCCGCCACCATGCCTGGCTAATTTTTTTTTTTTTTTTTTTTTGTAGGGACGGGGTTTCACCATGTTAGCCAGGATGGTCTCGATCTCCTGACCTCGTGATCCACCTGCCTCGGCCTCCCAAAGTGCTGGGATTACAGGTGTGAGCCACCGTGCCCGGCCCCACCTCATCCTTTATTCCCCTCTCCCTAATTCAGGTGTCATCCCCTCTCACCAGGACGGCTCCACCTGCCCTCTCACAATCTCTCCCCTGCAGTGTCTCTTGCTCCAGCTGATTTTCTCCACAGTAGAAGGACACCTAGAAGGCAGAAACCTGACCACTCTGCCCTCCTGCTCAAATCCTCCTGGCATGGCATTCAGGGTTCTCCATATTCGAGCCAGGCCAACCTTTCCATTTGCTCTCCCAGATTCTTCCTTGCAGATGCACAGTTTACATTCACATTTACGCACATCCTCATTAGGAAAAGATGCCTGGGCTCAAAAGCCGTAGGTGTATATTCTGGCCCTTGTTTGGCCATCTGGTCACCTTATACACACTGTTTCCTTTCTCTGGTTCCTTATCTGGAATGTTAAGGATTGAACTAGATGAAAGCTCAGAGTCTCCTATAGTTTGAATGTTTGTGCTTCCTCCAAAATCCATGTTGAAACAGAATCCCCAATGCAACAGTACTAAGAGGTGTGGCCTGTGGGAGGTGATTAAGTCATGAGGGTTCTATTCTCATGAATGGGATTTGGCCCCTTATGAAAGAGCTCAGGTTGAAGGGAGCACTATCTCACCTTCTGCCTTCCACCATGTGAGGACGCAGTGTTCCTCCACTCTGGAAGACGCAGCAACAAGGCATCATCTCAGAGGCAGACAGCAACCTTTACCAGAGACCAATGGCAGTGTTTTGATCTGGGACTCCCCAAACTTCAGAACTATAAGAAATAAATTTCTGTTCTCTGATACTTTGTTATAGCAGCACAAATGGACTAAGACAGGGTCTTTCAGCTCTAAGGTATTTTAACAAAATTTGATGCCCTCTAGGGTGACCAAGAATTGTTTCTTTCTTTTTTTCTCTCACCACACATAGGAACAAATACACGGATTCTCAAACACTCACATGCAAACTCTTACACAAGTACACACTTCCTAATACATAAGGACATGTGTTTTCACACAGATATTCTCACATATGCACTTAATACTCCATACACTTAAGAACTCATGTTTTCTTATAAACACTCTTACGTACATGCAAATGCTAGTCTGTCTTGTTCTCCACTGAATCTCCAGCATCTAGAGAGCAGAGTAAATCCTCAAAACTCATTCCTGGAATGAACGAATAAATGACCCTCTCTGCCCACCATATTGACACAGGCATTCACACACATCAGTTTTGTATATACAAGAAATAAGATGTGCACACTCAAAAGTGTGAGTGAATGCTGACATACATTAAATATGCCCAGCACAATCACTCCCACCCACAGACTCACATTTTATATCTCCTTCAGGGGCCCTCCCAGGAGCTGAGCTAAGGGAGACCCTTTTCTCGGTCATGCTGAAAGTTTCCTTGTTGTCAGGTTTGACTCCAGGAACATCCAAGGACCTCGCTTCAGATGTCAGAGATAACACCACAACCTTCTATTTGGACAGTCCTTTGTAAAAGTCAAATCACTTTATCAGATGATATCCCACTTGATCCTCTCAGCAGACCTGAGGGAGGCCTTTGAGCTGGGGTTATCCTCTCCATGTTACAGACAGGGTAACAGAGACCTGTAGAGATTAGGTCATTTGTCCAAGGTCAGAAAGCCAGCTAGTAAGTGAATCACCCAACCAGAACCCACCCCGCCTGCTCCCCGCCCCCCCTTCCCCCGTCTCGGGCTCTTTCCGTTGCCTCTCCCAGTGACTGGTTTAAGAGGATTATTTATTCTTCAGTTGTTTTCGCCGCCTAATTTCTGTCTTTCTTTATCCTTTTTTTATCCCCCGTTTCCGCCTCCAAAGAGTAGAGTTTCAGTAGGGAGTAAGGGAGGCCAAGTTCACCATCAGAAGAAAAATCTAAAAGTATCTTTTCCTTGTAAATCTCAGCCAAAATTCCTGCCAAATAAAATGAGAACTTACCACACTCGCACGCACCCACCTTCACAAAGAACCAACTTAACTTGCAAAAGGAACAAAGTTAATAAAGTTAATATCTACTGCAGAGAACAGAGTAAGGCCCCTCTGGCCATGTAATTTGCCAACTAATTAAAAGTTATTCAGCTTTATAATTTCAAAAATTTGCATCACTTTTAGTTGCTTGGAAGGAATTGGTAATGTGCAAGCCTATTCTGGTCATTTTGGCTTTGGGCGAGCATGTGGGCCAGTCTGCACCATTTCTTTTCCACAAAGATGGCACTGTGGGAAGCCTGGGGGCTCCCTTTGGGGCTTTGTGGACGCACCTGTAGCCTTGCTGGCACCACTCTTTCCTGGTTCCAGCAGCCCTCAGGAGAGATGGTAAGGCAGTGTGACAAGATCACTGGCTTTGGAGTCAGGCTGACTGGTTTGAATCCCAGCTTTACCCCTTAATGGCTATATGACCATGGACAAGTTGTTTAACCTCATGGGCTTCAATTTCCTCATCTATGAAAAAGCTACTGATACCACTACCTTGGAAGGTTATTATTAGAATTAGGGCTAGCTTATATCCTAGCACATAGTAGATGCTCAATAAATGGTAGATACCATCAGATTGGTCAACCTAGCACTTGATTCTACCCTGTCTTAGGTTTCTAGGTGGAGGTTGTGTGGAGGGAGTAATAGGATAGTTAGGGAAGAGGGACAGAGGAGAACCAGGTTCCATGCCTGGCTGTACAATGGATTTGGGAAACTAACCCCTCTCTGGTCTCTGCCACCCCATCCATACATCTCTAAGGGGCTTTCCAACCCTGTGACCTGCATGTTGGCCAAGGATTAAGACTGGGTCTCCTCCTATCTCTACCCTTGGGTTAGAGAAAAGGCCAGATACACAGTATCTGCTCGAAGACAACCTAGCTGTTTGACTTTGTCCACTGCTGGTCAACCAAGTCGAGAGACATGGTAGATGCAAACTCAGATATACTCAGGTCAACTGTGTTCAAGGAAGGGATGACAATGTTATCTCATGTAACTGTTACATTGAATAAGCCAGACTCATGGGGGAATAATCAAGAAACAACTTTCATCAGTTATTCTGCACTTCTGAGTCTCTTTTGTTCTTTTTGATGAAATCTGGGACTTGCTTTATGACTCTTCTGTTTTCTCTTAGGTAATACAAATTTCCCCATCTGTCTTAAATCACAAAATATTGTTTCTGCTCGGTAATTAACTTGTCTAGGATACTACTATTACTCATCTTAGTCCATTTTGTGCTGCTATAGCAGAATAACTGAGACCGGGTAATTTAGAAGGAAGAGAAATTTATTTCTTATGGTTCTGGAGGATAGGAAGTCCAAGATCAAGGAGCTGGCATCTGGCGAGGGCCCTCCTGCTGCATCGTCCCATGGTGGAAAGGCAAAGAGAGGGCAAGAGATTGAACTCCCAGCCTCACGCCCTTTTATAATTGGCATTAATCCATTCATGAGGGTGGAGCCCTCATGGCCTAATTACCTCTCATTAAGCCCCACCTCCCAACACTGTTGCATTGGGGATTAAGTTTCCAACACATGCTTTTCAGGGAACACATTTAAACCATAGCACTACTGTTAACCTATTAACAATAATAGCAGTAATAAACTTCAAACTTCCTTTAAAAGCAAGATTTTTTTTCCCCTCACTACTTGCTTGGACCTGGAACTGCTGCTGGCCTGCAGTGAGAAAGAGGCTCAATCTCCTGCAGTGAGAAAGGGGCTGTTTCTTCTTTCTACTTCTCTGTCTATGTCTTGCTAACCATTGTGGATTTATATATATATATATATATATATATATCTCTATTGTCAGGAATGGGAAGAGAAAAAGAAGGAAGAGGAACAGGAGAATTTTTACTGGACAAGTATAGAATTGAAGATACAGGGTCTCTCTGAGCTTGGCAGGCATTAACCTTACTTCTTCTTTCATTTGGTATATTTGTGGGTTCTTTGGAAAATCCCCACCCCCAACTCATGCAGGTGATCCCTGATGTGGGTAAATGCATTTTGATTCTAGCTGGCTCCTTCAGATTCCTTCCCCAGCCCCTAGGCATCTTCCAGCACCACCTGCCTCTTTATGCTGAGGTCCTTCATCCCACTAGATGGTCCTCTGACAGGGTTTAGGAAGACTTAGACCATCTCTCTGTCGTGTGTTCCAGATCTAGTTCAAGAAAACACATCTGCATTCTCTACCTTGATAAACTGAGAATTTACATTGTCCCCAGTGCAGCAACCTCCCTTTATTCTTCTGTTGGGCAGCTGGTCAGCCGGCATCTAACCTTTTACATTTAGCAGTGGGAATCAGATTCTAGTTTACAGTATCCCCCAAATATAGGGAAAACATCATGTTCTCCAACTATCCCATTAAAGTCACTTTCCCCGGGCTTGAGTTAATGGAGGGAGTGGACAAAGACACACGATGTACTTACAGCTCTTTCCAGAAAAACCCTATCTAATCCCCCACTTTGTTCTTGGCCTCTCCCACCTCTTTTATATGCCAGAGTTGAGTAAGGATCAGCAAGGAACCTCAAAAGTAGTTTTTAATACAATCTTTTGCAGTTCTTACAGGTTGGTCCTACACTGTACTTGCAGAGGTGGTGTCCATTATCTTGGGGCCTCCCATGAAATGTGGACTAATGTAGTTTATGTTTTTTTTCCAAGGCAAAACTCTGAGGTAGATATTGCTACCTGTATTTCATGGTTGAGAAAACAGATTGGGAGAGGCTAAGCAACTAGCTCTAAGCATACAGCTAGTGGGGATTAAAAACCAAGTTAATCAGATCAAAACCTGAATTCTTTTCATCCTACATGAAGATTGAGCTTTACCTCTATAGCAGCTGGTGGATATAAAAATGCTTGAGGGCCTGCCACACAGCCAAGTTAAGCATCCACATCACAATCGAGTGTGACTGTCAGCTCCTTATTAATCTTGAAGCATGTTCCTATCCATGAACTCATTTGCTGGGACATCATCCAGGACAAGAACCTTCCCAATGCCCATTGAATTGCTTTTGAAGAACCCAGCAAATAAAGTCTTTCTTGTGCTTGACCCAAGCATTGATTACCTCTTTCATTTTATCCCTACGGTTTTTAGTTAATTTCTTCTGCTTTTCAGTTCTGCTGATTATTATGTTGGAGAGAGACCCTCAATTAACATAATCTTTATAATCACCAACAACATGTATTTAAAAAGTGTTCATTTGTTTGTAACATCTGCCTTTATCTTGTTCATCTCTGTGTCTGCAGCAGTCTTAGTACATATTATTACTCCATAAAGGGTAGTTGAATTAATTCATTAGCTAAACAGAGTTAATTTAAGGGTGGGTTAGAGTTGGGGAAGGAGAATGAGAAGGAGGGAAATGCGTACCTATGGGAGCTGTAATGTCAACCAACCATGGCTCATACTCCCAATTCCCTGGGCATGCCTGGGTAAGGGTCTGTTAGCTTCAACTTTCTCACCTGACCAACAGGGATAAGGGTCTCCGTCCTGTCAGCCTCACTGGGAGTGTAAGATGAACCTCCAACAAATCATCGAAGTAGAAAGACATAAAAAAGTATCACACATGTGGGTTTAGTCTGGGAAAACAAAACTTCTGACTCAGCCTGGGTCTCCTCAGACAGTGGGCTAGGAAGACCCAGAAAACCACTCTGGCCTGTGTGAGTTGCAAACAGAGGCTTCTACTTTCTGGGATAAATTATCCATGAGGCAGAGGCGTCAGGGCTGTCTGCTCCCTGTCTGGCCTCCTTTGCCATCTCACTTCATGAGGCATAAATCCCCAAGACTCCCCAGTCATTTCTTATCTGCGTCAGTGTTTATTTTTTTAAATTGTGTTCCGCCCTCTTTTCTCTGCTTGCTATTTTATAGGGATATGGGCCAGGAGGGCAGAATCCAACTACAAATCTCACAGCTCTCCCTGCTGAGACGTTGGGACAGAGGGAGTGAGCTATGGTGGTCTGAAGCGTAGATGTTCCAGCAAGGGCCAGAGAAAGTGCCTTGGGGTATTTCCTGAGAAGTGGGGCTCTGAGATTTGCTCTCCTGGTGTGCCCAGACCTCAGAATGCAGAATCCAGAGAGAACAGAGAGTGTGCTCATGAGAAAAGGACACCAGGTGTGCTATTGGACTCATCTCCATCACACCTAGCTGGGTGACATTGACTAAGCTACCGAATGTCTCTTAGCCTCATTTTAGTCTTTAATGGGCATGACAATAACTCTTAAGGTGATTGTGAGGATCAACTGGGATGACCCAGGCCACTGTGTCTAGCATACCACCTGCCATGGGAGGTGTGCAGTACACATCAATTCCTCTTATCTTCAGCTGTGATTGTGAAGTAATGCATTTATCATCTAGTGTTCCTCAAGACTCTTGAATGTAAGCTCCTTCTAGGCAGGGACTTTGTCTGGCTTGTTCACCCCAGGATCCCCATCACCCAGTAGAATGCCTGACATATTATCTGTGCTCAATCAACGTTGGCTGAATAATGAATGAAACCAAATTCTCCATATGATTTCCATAGGCACAGAGAAATTTCAATATGAGAACATTGCTACAGAGACATACAGACATTCGGAATCAGAAAGGGCTTTTGAACAACATGCAACTTGAGGTCTTCTTTGTTGACAGGAAGACGCTTAGGTTCAGAGAGGGAAGACACTTGGCCAGGATTCCACCAGATGTTAGGGCTGGAACCCAGCTCTTCTGACTCCCCATCTGATGTTCTTTATACTACATTATGCTGTCAGTCATGTCTTTAAGGTAGAAGAGAAGGGTAGAGAATTATGAAACAGAAAAACCTAAGAAAAGGAAAGCGAAGGGAAAGAAAGCATTTCCACTCAAGTTGAGAGAGAGACAGATAGTCAGAAAGACAGACAGACAGACACAGATATAGAGAAAGACAGAGAGACTCAGGACTGGGACCTAAGAGGAATTAAATCCAAAACATACTATGTTACATGACAGACAGCCTGAGTGTTACTTCAGAACACTGAGAACTCTCCCCTCATCGTGGGCTCAGCAGTGCCCTTGACCTTTATCCATGTGGGTCACAGCATGAGTAACCTTGGTAAAAATGGGGAAGCCTCAATTTCCACTAGAAGCCAACCTCTATTGCCTATTTCAGCCTGGCTAGCAAGGCTTTGTTTTCCTCATAACCTACACAATGGTGTCACTACTACCAACACTACCCTTTCCAGCAGTTCAATTACTACTATAAAAGTTCATATCTTTCTAATGCTTATTATGTGCCAGGCACTGTCCTAGTATTTTACATGCATTAACTCAGTTAATCCTCATAGCCACCATCGTTTTACAGATGAGGTTAAGTAATCTGCCTGTGATCATCCCATTGGTAAAGAGAGGAGCAGCAGCACAAAGGCCAGACATCTCTCTCGGGTTAAAGCCCAGCACAAGCTGTCCTCATGTCTCACTCTGGCCTTTCTCCTGCTATCCTTTCAGAGGTCACCTTGTTTTCACTGAATCGAAACAGATTCTTCCATTTTATTCTGATGTGCTTTAACCACACTTCCTACTCCTCCATGTCTGCAAATATCCAAATAAAATACCGTTCCAGGCCCTGTGCTAGGGGCTGGGAATGCAGATATGAGAAATGGTGCAGTCTAATAGGGAGGCTGACATTTAAATGGAACATTACAAAGTAGTTCTTTAAGTACTAAAGAGAAGCATGACCCCAGCACCTGGGGAGTTAGAATAGGATTCACAGAAGAGGAGGAAATATTTCATCTGCCTCTGAGTTGAGTAAATGACCACCAGAAGAGGGAGGGAACAGAGAGTGCAGGCTGAGACATGCTGGTGCAAAGCAGGATTTGGGGGGAACAAGTGGGGTTTACAATGGAGAGGGGCAGAACGTGAGACTGGAAAGGGCTTGAGGTCAAGATGTAAAAGATTTGAAGACCAGGCTAAGGGCTGGCTTTGTCTCCGTGATAATGCTTTATTGATAATGATCATGAATGACAGACCTGGCTGACCCCCATATTGACTGACACACAGAGGAGCTGATTGGCTGATAGAGGTATGTGTCAAAACTTCTCCATAGCAACAGGGAGTATATTGGAGCCATTTCTGTTGAAGGCCCAGCCCTGCTACGACAGAGAAAATTCTCTTTCTGCCCTCAATTTCCTCCAAGCTGAGACTTCCTTGCTTCTGGCTGCAGATGATGCTCCTGGCTCTGGGATACGTTGGGCCAAGAATTTCTGCCAGCCTTCTGGGCTTCTTATGAAATCAGACATTTGAACGAGGCCCCAGTTTCCCAACACACGCCTAAATCACTTCCACTGTTCTGAAACCTACTCCATGTATCCACCACTCACCAGAGCTAGAGGGGTCTGCAGCCAAGCTGGGAAGAATCAGACCTCCGAAACTCTGAACCGTGGGAGACCAGGTTCAGAGTTGCTAGGACTTGCTAGGACCAAGTTTGCAAAAGGCCAGGCAGTCCCACCCTTAGCCCTGGGAGGAGAACTTCCTAAATGTACAGCCACTAGCAGTTTAATAGCTCTGGGGCCAGCTCATGTACATAAACTCTCAGTTTTATTTTGATATTTATAGTCACTTGTAAAATAAATAACACACTTGATTGGAGGTTGTTAAGTTGGTGCTCACTGCTTGCCAAGGGCCTGGGAAGCCTGCTGGGGTGTGACCACTCTGGGCATTCTACAGAGAAGCTTGATTGCTCTTCCTTCCACCCTGAGTCCACAGCACTCTTTCCATGTGGTGTTGTTCCCACCTTAGACCTATTACTCCCTCTCATAGGCTCTCTCAGAGCTGGCTAAGGCCTCTCTGACTTCCTTGATTCCAGAGCCTCTGAGAGGGAGTAGGAGATACTCTGGCATCTCCCACTGAATTAGAAGCCTGGTGTTTTAGAATCTAAACATCTTTCAAGCTGAGATTATTAATGTCCAAGGATAGTCAGATTATAAATTGTGAGAAACTTGGAATTCTAAACTATCTGAAACAGAAATAGGGGGCACTGAAATATCAAATGATAAGAATTTCAGAAGTGAGGAGCTTAGTTTGAGTCTAGGCCTCTGTCCTCCATTAGGTTTAGATGAGGCTAAACAGATGTAGCTAACTGGTGTGTGTGTGGTGGAGGTAGGGGTGGGAAATGGCCAGGTAATGATTGGCAATAGGCAGGTAGACCTGGCTGAAGAGTGGGGAAAGGTGGAAGCTGCAGAGAGGAACAGAAGGTGCTGCATTCTCACTGACCAAATGTGTTCATAAGGACGTGAAAGATACCTATGAGGAATTTGGGAACCCTGGGGGCAGGAGCCAGTGAAAATTTGAGCTATTACTATTATGTAACCTCATTTAACTCAAGTTAGTTAGAAGTCTGGACTTTTAGGGCTTTAGAATTAAGACTCAAAGAGCCATGAATGGACTCATGCCTGTAATCCCAGCACTTTGGGAGGCTGAGGGAGGTGGATTGCTTGAGCCCAGGAGTTTGAGGCCAGCCTGTGCTAGCCGTCTAAAAAAATAGACGGGCATGGTGGCACAAGCTTCTAGTTGCAGCTACTTGGTGGCTGAGGTGGGAGGATCACTTAAGCCTAGGAGTTTGAGGCTGGAGTGAGCTATGATCATGTCACTGCACTCCAGCCTGGGCAACAGAGCAAGACCTTGTCTCAAAAAAAAAAAAAAAAAAAAAAAAAAAAAAAAAAAAAAAAAGAATTCAGACTCAAAGCCTTTTAGGCTACCAGATATTTAGACTAGAATCTAGACTAGTAAAGATGTAGATTAGAATCTTAGAATCCTAGAATTCTAGGATAATATAACTTAAGGGTCCTAGTAATGTATCTAGTCTTTTTCCCAGTGAAATAGGCTGGGGTTTGGAGACAGTCTGGGATAAAGAAGACCTACTGTGGGCTATTGCAGCTTTATGAGTTTCACAACATCCAAAGTTGAGCTGGACCTGAGGAGCAATGAGGGAGGGAAAAGCAGCAGCACGTGGTTACCATTAATGATAGATGTAAGACAGGATCTTGATTTAATACTTCTTAGTGCAATTAAAATAAAATTAAAAGAGATGCCCCACTTAATATTCCTACCTTATGCAGAGGGAACGGAGGTCCAGAGAAGGAAAGTAGTATGTCCAGTTTGGAATAATCAGTTAGTGACAGATCAGATCTGGATGTGGGTCCGTGTTGCTTGGCTTCCAGCCAGTTATTTCCTTTTCACTGGTCTGCTCCTCCTGGACTGAGATCACTCATTGCATTCTCTTGACAGCTTTATGGGAAGCAGTTAGTGTATCACTGGCCTGTTTAGAAAAATAAAGGACAATGAAGAAAGGAAATGGATTGTGTGATGGGAGCGCTGGGCAAAATTCATGAGTTAATTCAGGATGAGGCTGTGAATTTTACCCTTCTCCAGCCCAGTTCTGTTTTCCTGTCACAGACCAACTCCTGTCCTTGATGGGCTGAACTGGCTAGTCCCAAAGTGAGGCTTCAGTCTAGTCACAGACGGACCCTCGGCCTTGGCTGAAGACTGAGCCTTGACTTCGATAACAAAATAAGATAAAGCATTTAATGAGAAAATGAGAACACAGGCCATATTTCATACTGAGCAGAATACAGGTCATTTTCTGTACTGAGTCAGATCTTCTGGTGTAGGGGAAAGACAGCAGGCTCTAGGGTCCCCTGGAACAGAGCCTCCTGGTTTCATGAAGAGGGAGTTTCTGAGAAGAAGGCTTTTTCACTATGCACATTTCAGATTTCTCTGCCCCTGTAGATGAGAAGTGACATCTGATTGGTGAATTTGGGAAGAACTTTAGGGCATGTAAAGCACAGTTCTGCTACTTTCTTTATCTTGAGGGCTGTCTGTCTACAAGAAGCACACTTTCTGCTCTTGCTCTTGGGTCTTGTCCTGATAGCCAAGGATGGCCTCATATAGTGCTGCTGTGCTTGGTTGGGAAAGTCTGCCTACTTAGGGGGATGATTTAGCTGTACTATGTCATTCAGGATACCTTTTGAACCAACATCTCCCAAACTGCGGTAAAAGTTAATTTCTTTTTTTTTCTTTTCTTTTCTTTTTTTTTTTTTTTTTTTTGAGACAGTGTTTACCCTGTCACCAGGCTGGAGTGTAGTAGCAGAATCAAGCTTACTGCACCCTAGAGCTCTTGGGTTCATGTGATCCTCCCACCTCAGCGTCCCAAGTAGCTGGAAGCATAGGCACATGCCACCACACCAGGTTAATTTTTTGTATTTTTTTGTAGAGATGGAGTTTTACCATGTTGCCCACGCTGGTTTCAAACTTCTGGGCTCAAGTGATCTATCTGCCCATTTTGGCCTCTCAAAATGCTGGGATTACAGGCATGAACCACCATGCCCAGCCTAAAAGTTAATTTCTTGCTCATGTCACTGGAAGATGTGAAAAGGGTGCTCTGCTTCATGCAGTCATTCAGGACCCAAGTTCCCTCCATTGTGTGGCTCTGGCATCTTCTAGAACAGTGGTTCTCAACCAGGGATGATCTTGCCACAGATGGGGCATTTGGAAACGTCTAGAAACATTTTGGTTGTCACAACTGGAGAGTGGGGAATGCTACTGGCATCTAGTAGGTAGACACCAGAGATGCTGCTAAATATCCTACAGTATACAGGACAATCTCTAATAAAGAATTATCTGGCCTAAATGCCAGTAGTGCTGAAGTTGAAAAATCTTGTTCTAGGGCCTTCTTGGATCATTCAACCAGCAGATGAAGAAAAAGAGGGCGAATGGAGAATTATATGTCAGAGAATTTTATGGATCTTACTGGTAAGTGATGTGTAACACTTTTGCCCACATTCTACTGGCCAGAACTAAGTCACATGACCACATACAAGGAACAAGGCTGGGAACTGTGGTCTAATGATGGCCAGCAAGAAGAGGAAGCAGGTTTGCTGAGCGTCTAACCACTCTCTGCCATAAGACCCATTTGTCTCCAACTATAACCTGTAAAGGTGCTGTTTTGGCCTCCATCTCTATTCTCTTTTATTTCTTAAATCATTCAAATTTAATCACCCATGGATTAAAATACTGAGTAGGGCAAACTGCTTTAACTCTTTGGTCTTCCCTTTGCTAATCTACAACACAGAGTTAATACAAATGACCTCCCAGGGATTGTTGGGAGGGTTTCTCCTGCTCTGTTGCTCTATCTGCATTCTTAAAGGTGATCCCTCCTTCTTCCAACCAAAATAAGACTCTGAGGTACCCCATTCCAGAAAAGGAAGTTTCATCCTGATCATGAAACTCAGTTCTCAAAGAAAGAAAAATGAATATGTTTGCAGGATTCTGAGACATCTTGCAGTTACTCAGAAATTTTCTCTGAAAATAAAAATGGCTACAGAAAAGAATCCTTGACTGAGGGGTAGAGGGGCACTTGACTTCTAGTTCCAGTCCTGCCTCTGAATGGCATATGTAGGCTAGGACACATTCCTTCCCTGGATCTTAGGGCTCTTGTTAGAGAGTGGGCAAGGTGATTTTTCTGTAGCTCTAAGATCCACTGTAAGTTTCTCTGTTGCTTGAATTTCCCTCTCCCCCACCAAACTAATCTCTTTCTTGGCATCAGTACGCACTTAAAGAATAAGATCTTGTTTGTAAGGGAAGGGCACAGTGGAGGTGGGTGGTTTAATGACCACCTCCTCTCCTAGGGAACCAGTTTGCAGAGAGAAACCTTCAGGAGGTTGTCATAAATAACTAGACCCTTATCCTGACTTCCTCAGAAGGCAGTCAGAGCAATGATTGATGTAGCCCATTTGGGCAAGGTTGGAAGGCCAGGAGAATGCTCACTGGCAGATCTGCTTGTAAAGTTTCACATTAACCACAACTGGGCTGGGTGTCAGCGTCTCGGACATCCTTGCAAGGCTTGCTCAAGAGCCTCAAAGACGAGGCAGAGAATTTCATGCCAGGTTAGAAGTGAGAGGTCAGTTTATGGGAATGAAGAGTAAAGGATAAACTCTAGATAACAGTTCAGAGAGAGAACCTTCTCTCTGAACTGTCAAATCTTTTCACTTCCCTCGGCCACATCAGAAAATGAATAATTGTCTTGGGCCAAATATAAAATACATATAAAATACTCATGGTAGCCGATGAGCTAAAAAAGAAAAACTCAAAAAAAATCTCATAGTGTTTTAAGAAAGTTGACAAATTTGTGTCGGGCTGCATTCAAAGCCATTCCGGGCTGCATGCAGCCCATGGGCCTTAGGTTGTACAAGCGTGTTCTAGAGTTTCCTATGAGACCCTTACAAGGATAGTTTTTCTCCCATCTCTCTCAGAACCTCCAGAATACGGCAGGCATCATTAAAACCTACTCTAATTGACATGATGTGTGCATGATTTAAATATTTAATTACTTTTGGTCAAGAGTAAACAATTGTATGTTACAAATTACATTCATAGTAGAAAAATATGAGACATAAAAGAGTTTTCTATGTTTCCTTCATCAGCAACACTGAGTGCTGAAAGGAGGAGCAAAAAAGGGAAAAAGAGTGTGGTGGAAGAAAGCCTGAGACGAAACACTGCTGCCTTCCCTATCTGGCTGCCCCAACTCTTAATTCTCCCCAAAGAGAAGTCATTAAAGATTTACTGTCTTAGCTTGATAGGCAGCTTGAAGCTTTCTGGACCCATGGCTGCCCCTACCCACTTCCCACTTAGAAAGCCTCCTCCTCTCGCAAAGCCTGAGCCAGTCAGCAAGACTCCCTTTCTCCTGAGTTTTCTATCTGAGCAGGTGGTTGTTCTCCTGAGTTTTCTATCTGAGCAGGAGGTTGTTCTCCTGAGTTTTCTATCTGAGCAGGAGGTTGCCCTGCAGCTGCTAACAATCAGGGTCAGAAATCACCTTTGGAGGCAAATAAACATCCCAGGTATGCCTAATCTTCACCGAAGCTTTGAAGAACCACCCACTCACTGCCCCCCACCAGTCTGCACAAGAAGATAGGTCAGGAGAGGGACAGAAATTTGTTATAGTCATTTCAGAAAGCGCAATGTTTGTAGAGGGGATACTCCCTTCTCATGCCCATCCCCCTACTTCTCTCCTAACTTAATCTAAGTCGGGGAGGTGGTTCCAAGAGAGAGCTCTGTAGAGATTGGGAGCACCTACAGGAAGTGGGGACAGGGAGAGGTTCATTTCCTGGTTAGAAGTTTGCTGATGTTCAGAATTTGCAGGCCCATCCCTATTAGGGCACAGTGGAACTTAGAGGGAAAGTTCTAAGAAGAGCTTAGCCTCTCCAAAATTCACTGGAATTTGAGGGTACACATGAACCAGAGATTGAGATTTGCTGTTGCTTCTTTTTTAAAAAACAACCTTATTGAGGTATAATAGACATATTACACATATTCAAAGTGTGCAGTTTTACAAGTATTGACATGTATATACACATCTAAAGCCCTCACCACAATGAAGATAGTGAATAGACCCATCATCCTCACTTTTATTTGGTAAAAGTTTGCCCCTTTGTGATTACTCCCTCATCTCATCCCCCACCCACCCTTCCCAGGCAACCATTGATCTGTTTTCTGTTGTTATAGATTAGTTTGCATTTTCTGGAGTTTCATATAAATAGAATCATACAGTACACACTCTTTTCTGCCTGACTTCTCTCACTTAGTATCAATAATTTGAGATTTACTCATATTGCTGCTGTATGGTTTCTTCATTCCTTTTTACTGCAGAGTAGCATTCCATGGTATGTAAATACACTCATGTATTTATCCACTCACCTGTTGATGGACCTTTGAGTTGTTTTCAGTTTGGGGCTATTACAAATAAAGCTGTTATCCGCATTCATGTACAAGTCTTGTATGAACATATGTGCTCATGTATTTTTAGTTGGAATGGTTAGATCATATGGTAGCTGTAGATTTTGAGACCGCCAAACTATTTTTTCTGAAGTGGTTCCATCATTTTACATTCCCATTAGAAGAGTATCAAGTTGAGATCCTCGCCAACACTTGGCATGATCAGTCTTTTAGATTATAGCCATCTTAATAGGTGTGTAGTGGTTTTGTGGTTTTAAAATTGCTAAGGATGATGAGCACCTTTTCATGCGCTTATTTGCCATGCATATATATTCTTTGGTAAAATGTCTCTTCAAATATTTTGTCTATTTTTTTTATTGGATTGCTTGTTTTCTTTTTATTGAATTTGAGAGTTCGTTATAGATTTTGAATACAAGTCCTTTGCCAAATATATGCTCTGCAAATATTTTGACCCATTCTGTAGCTTGTCTTTTCATTTTCTTAATAGTGTCTTTTGAAGTATGAAGTTTTAAATTTTGATAATGTCCAATTTATCAAAATTTTCTCTTATGGATTGTACTTTGATGTTGAATCTAAAAGACTTTGCCTATCCTGTGGTCACAAAGATTTTCTCCAAAAAATGTTATAAATGTATGATTTACATTTAGATCTATAACTTAGTTTGAGTTAATTTTTTATATACAGTGTGAATTATGAATTGGACCCTCTCTTTCTGTTTTGTTTTGTTTGCTTACATACATCCAGCTGTGTTAACAACATTTATTGAAAACACTGTCCTTCCTTCCTTGAATTGCTTTTAAATCTTTGTCAAACATCAGTTGTCCATATGTGTGTGGATCCATTTATGGACTCTGTATTCTGTTCCATTGATCTATTTGTCTAGTTTGATTCTAATGTCACACTTTGATTACTTTATAATAAGTCTTGAAATCAGGTAGAGTTATCCTATCAACATTGTTCTTTTTCAGAACCGTTTTAGTTATTCTAGGTCTTTTTTATGATCACATGAATTTTAGAATCAACTTATCAATTTATGCCATAAGCCTGCTGGGATTTTGATGTGGAATGCATGAATGTATAGATCAATTTGGGGAGAAGTAAAATCTTAACCATGGTGAGTTTTCTGATCCACAAACAAAGAATGTCACCATTTATTTAGAGCTTCTTTGCTTGCTCTCAGTGATGGTTTGTAGTTCTCAGTGTATAGGTCTTTCACACCTTCTGTCTGATTTACCCCTAATTGTTTAATATTTTTTTTTGGTGGATGCTATTGTAAATATATTTTTAAATATTTTATTTCTGATAGTTTGAGTATCTGATATGGAAATACAATTGCTTTTTATATATTGACCTTATATCCTGCAATCTTGTTAAACTTATTAGTTCTAATAGATTTTTGCACATGCCGTTATTTTCTACATAGACAGTTACATCGTCTGGGAATAAAAAATGATTTTATTCACTCCTTTCCAACCTGGATTCTTTCTATTCTTTTCTTTCCTGACTGCACACATGGCTAAAACATCCAGAACAATGTTGAAAAAATTGCTGAAAGTAGACATCTTTTTCTTATTCTTGATATTAGAGGGAAAACATTTAGTCTTTACCATTAAATAAAATGTTAGCTGTAGATATTTTTATTGACTTTTTAAAATGAGAAAGTTTTCTTCTATTCCTAGTTGGTTGAGAGTTTTTATCCAGATTAGTTGGATTTTGTAAGGTTGTTTGATTTTGCTAAATGCTTTTTCTTGTCTCTGTTGATATAATCATGTGGGTTGTTTTTTTTTTCTTTTCAATGTGTTAAAATGGTGAATTACATTGATTTTTCTTAAAAAATTTAATTGTGATAAAAACCTTGCATAACAAACATTTTCTATCTAAACATTTTTAACTGTGCAGTTTATTAAGTATGTTCACATTGTTGTGCAAAAGATCTCCAGAACTGGCACTGATTTTCGTATGTTAAACTAACCCTGCATTCCTTGGAAAAACTTCACTTGGCCATAATACATTATCCTTTTTATCTATTGGATTTAATTTGTTACATTTTAATATGGATTTGATTTGCTAAAATTTTGTTTAGAACTTTGTATCTGTGTTTTTGAAAGATATTGGCTTGTAGTTTTCTGGTATTGTCATTATCGGGGTTCAGTGTCAGGGTAAAGCTGGCATCAAATAATGAGTTGGCGGGCATTCCTTCTTCAGTTTTCTGGAAGAGTTTGTGTAGAATTAGTGTTATTTCTTCTTTTAATGTTTGGGATAATTCACTAGTGAAGAAACTAGAGTTTTCTTCATTAGTGGGAAAGTTTTTTTTGTCTGTAAGTTCTATTTTATTAGTAGAGACCCGCTGACTTTCAACCCCTATCGCTTTGGCCCCGGAGCACCCAAGCCACGGTTCACCTACTTCCCCTTCTCCCTGGGCCACCACTCCTGCATCGGTCAGCAGTTTGCTCAGATGGAGGTGAAGGTGGTCATGGCAAAGCTGCTGCAGAGGCTGGAGTTCCAGCTGGTGCCCGGGCCGCGCTTCGGGCTGCAGTAGCAGGCCACGCTCAAGCCACTGGACCCAGAGCTGTGCACCCTGCGGCCCCGCGGCTGGCAGCCTGCAGCCCCACCTCCCCGCTGCTGAGGGGGCCTCCGGGCAGGATGAGACTCCCCGGGCAAGGGCCGTGCTCGTCCACCTCTGCTGTCCACGGCGACCCACCCTTCTCCCCTGCCCTGTCCCCTGGGCCACCCTTCATGCTGGCTTCTAGCGGGCCCTCTGCCGACCGCCTGCTTCACACCCCTCAGCGCTCCCTGTTGCCTGCGGACTCCACGGCCCTTCCTGGACTGGCCCTTGCTCAACTCCCAGCCACCATTGTCCCTACCACTGAACCCTTGCACAGGCCACTTCCTCAGACGAGACAACCTCTCGTTCACTCCCTAAAGCCCTCTTCAGGTGTCACCTCCTCCAAGAAGCCCTCCTCGCCACCCCCAGCCGGGTCAGAGGACCTTCCTCTGTGCTCCCTCGGTCACCTGTGCTACCTCTAACACCACTGACCACACTGTATCGTGAGTGTCCATTGACGTGACCAATTGCCCTGCCAGGCTGTGACGGCCTCAATGGTAGGGGCTGCATGTGATTCGTCTCTGAGCCCCCTGTGCCCACCCAGGGCCCGGCACAGAGTCGATGCTCAATAAATGTGTGTTGACTGCAAAAAACAAAAAACAAACAAACAAACAAACAAACAAAAAAGAAAAAAACAAGTAGATACAGAGATGCTAAGGTTATTTCTTTTTGACTGTGCTTTCATAATTTGTGTTATTTAAAGAATTGGTTTGTTGAGTTGTCAAATTTATAGGTATAAAGTTGCTCATAATATTCTCCTTTTTTTAATATAAGGGAATGTGTGGTAATGGCACCTGTCTCATTCCTAATTTTGTAATTTGTGTCTTTTTTCATATTTTCCCTGATCAACTTGGCTGGAGGTTGGTCAATTCCATTGATCTTAAAAAAATCATCTCTTGGTTTCATTGATTTTTCCCCCTACTGTTGTACTATTTTCTATTCCATTGATTTCTGCACTGAATTTTATTATTTTTTCTTCTGCTGTTTATTTTGCCATTATTTTTAATTGCTATGTCTTCAAGTTAGCCATCCTTCTGCCATGTTTAATATATCCTTAATCCTACTCAGAGTATTTTTCATCTAAAACATTGTAGTTTTCATCTCTAGGTTCTATTTGAGTATTTTTGAAATCATCCATGCCTCTACTTAACTTTTGAACATATAGAGAACAATTATAATAATTATTTTGACATCTTAGCTTGACAATTTTAAATCTGTTTCAGTTCTTGGATGGTTTTGATTGCTTGGTTATTCTCTTTGTGTTTTCTTGCTTCTTTGCATGCTTGGTTATCTTTGATTAGATGCCAGAAATGGTCACTTTTACCTTATTGGGTGGTGGATCTTTTTGATTCTTATAAATCTTCTTGAGCTTTGTTCTGGGATGTGTTAAGTTGCCTGGAAATTGTTTGATCTTCTTGGGTCTTGCTTTTATGATTTATTTGGCATATCTGAGCAGTCTAGGGCTAATTATGCCCCACTACTAAGCAAGATTTTCTGGGGTACTCTACCCAATGCTCATAAAGTATGATTTCATTCAGCTGTCAGAGGGGGGAATATGCAATATTCCCAGCCCCGTGTGAGCATCAGACAATGTTCTTTAATCTTTTCAAATTATTTTTCCTCCATCCTGAAGTGTTACTTCACATGCATGTGCTAATCAGGACTCTGTTGAATATCAGAGGGGGATGCTCTGCAGATAGTCAGGGCTCTTTCTCTGCACATCTCTTTCCTTTTATTACTTTGTCCATCCATGAACTCTAGTCCACTTGGTTTCCCTAACTCGCAGCCTTATTACCTCAGTTCAAGGATCCTACTGGGCTCCTCTCAGACTTTCTTCTCTGTCCCGTAGCCTGCATAGTCTCTGAAGGCAGCAAGCTGGGGCAGTCATAGGGCTTACCTAGTTTGTTTCTTGTCTCTTAGGGAGTAACTATCCTTTGTTGTCTTAGGTCTAGTGTCTTGAAAATGGCGTTTCTGACATTTTATCTTTTTTATTTTGAATGCAGGAGGGTAAATTCAATCCTGGTAACTTAATTGTGGGCAAAAGTGCAAATCTCCTGGCATCCAATTCTTACCATAGATTTCTGATGTCTGGAAGCATGGTGGAGCAACACACTTCTGAAGGGACAGCAGGTGCTGTAGTGAAGTTTTCCACAAAAGAAGAAAATGTTGTGCTCTTTGTCTACCTCACCAACTTCCCTTCAGCCCTTGGGGAGTGTAGAAGACCTCCATGTTCATCAGGGCTCCATTTTAAGGAGAGAACAGAAGTTGGAGGATAAGGTGGGAGTTCTGATTGATGTGGACCAGATAAGGTGACATCTGGCCAAAGAGGAAGCTGGGAGCCACAGACTGCTAATAGGATGAAGGGAGACACAGCTACCCCTCTGTGGGGTCATCAGAGATGGAGGGGGCTGGCATAAAGATGAACATCTGCGTCCAAAACCATATAACTCCATACACCACATCATCTAATAGGAGACCAACATATTGTCAGAGGCCGCCAGCAACAGAGGGAAGCAGGTAAAGCCAGTGTAAGATCAGGAGCCTTTTTCCACCAATGACAAACAGCCACTTATTTAGAGCGATCTCTGTTATTCCTCTTATTTTCCCTTCTTCCCTCAACATGAAAGGCACTAGACCCAGAAAAGAAAGGAGAAAATTAGAAGACAAGACCACAACCTTTTACCACCCTTGGTGTTTTTTTTTTCTTTTTTCTTTTTTTTGACAGTCTCACTCTGTTGCCCAGGTGCTGGAGTGCAGTGGCGTGATCTCGGCTCACTGCAAACTCCGCCTCCCAGGTTCAAGTGATTCTTGTGCCTCAGTCTCCCAAGTAGTTGGGACTACAGACATGCACCACCATGCCCAGCTAATTTTGTATTTTTTTTGTAGTGACAGGGTTTCTCCATGTCCCCTTCCCACTCTCGTAACTTGAGGTACAAGTCTGGCAAACATTGAAGCGAGACGAGGAAGTGCTATTGAAACTGGATATGAGATGGGAGTTGTGAACTAGACCAGACGGGACTTTTGGTAACTGATATCGATGGGAAAGCAATGGGATCTACCTGAAAATATCATTAGAAAATGATACTGACAGATAGGACAAATCATGGTTAACAGTTGTGGCTAGAGTAAACAAGTTGAACTGTTTATACCTATACCGCAATGGATTGAGGCTTCTCAATAAACTGGTTACATCTGATCTGCTAACAACAGCTGCTAAACATTGAAAGGGGTACTGTGCTGACTGCTGTATACACACTATGTC
The DNA here is from genome assembly GCF_000001405.40 of Homo sapiens. NCBI lineage: Eukaryota > Metazoa > Chordata > Mammalia > Primates > Hominidae > Homo > Homo sapiens. The sequence continues at coordinate 48,092,879 of NC_000001.11, forward strand.
ATTTGCTCTTCACAACCTATAGGATGGGCACTAGTTTTTCCCCCTTTTGGCAGATGACAGAAACCGAGGCACAACCAACTTGTCTAAATATAGATTACAGAAATTTCACATGTATCTCTCCAGTTCACAGGAAGTGTCATTCTCCTTAATCACTTTGCTCTTATCCTTGATGTTTTTCCAAACATTTTTGCTGATGTTGAGTGTTTTCCATTTCTCTGAGCTGTGTTGTCAGTCCATCTCCTGATGAAGCAAGGGCAGTTTGAATGCTGAATGGAGGTGGATGAGGAAGGGGAACACTACGTGAAAATATTTGTTTTACACAGATGAAATGTTGGATCAGAACGCACGGAACTACATCCAGGTGAGAGGCATCAAATAAATCACTTAACCTCTTTGTACTTTAGTTTCCTTATATGTTTTTATGGGCATCATGATAGTGCCTACTTCACTGGGCTGGCGCTGGAAATGAAGTGTGATTACAGATGAAGCTGTTAATCAGTGTCTGGCACACGGTCTGCTCTATCCGAGGATTAACCGTGTTTATTATCTGTCCTTTATTACTAGTTAAGTTCTCTTCACCACTGAAAGAAAAAGTCCAAATGAACCCAAACATATGAGTTTATTTTCTCCTCCACATTTTCGCTGCCCCTCCTTCATTACTCTATCCCCATCACCACCCCAAGAAATTAGATCTTTGCATAGCAGAAAACACTTTTCCCATTCATAAGAGAAAGAATGGGACTTTTTTTTTTTTTTTTTTTTTTTTTTTTGCTATTCCAAGAGAGAACCCACATTTGACACTGGATTTCCACCCAATTTTTCTAAGTGCACCTGTGGTTACATTGCTGGAGGTGTCAGTGTGAGGATTTAAGCCCAGCTGTATCTGACAGCTGGTTACCCAGATGAGAAACCCCAGAGTCCTCTTCCACCCTTTGCAGTGAGCTGCCTGGACCTGCAGGATCCCTGCAGTACCTTCTATGTGCACCAGGTGGCAGGTGCTGCATCGGAAACGCAGGTGCGGCAGCTGCACAACTGGTTCTACGGGTGGATCTGAGCACCGGGCTCACCTGGGAGATTTCTAATAATACAAATCCCCAGGCTCCGCCCCTGAGATTTTGACGCCGTGGGTTTGGTGTGGCGGCCTGGCATATGTGTTTTTATAAAGCCCTACAGGTAATTATGATTCAGCTTGGTGCAGGGACCTGCGTTTGGAAGCCGCTGCTTCAGAGTGTTCCAGAGAACGGCAGCCTCACGCAAGCATGAAGCGTTTAACTGTGCAACACAAATCAACAACCTGGGCTCCTAGAATTCAGGGTGAGGTTTCACAGAGTGTCAGAGTTGAAAAGGATCTTGGGGCTCACTGATGAAGCATTAGCGACGAGGAGCCTGAGGCCAGAGGGAACGTGCCACGGACAGCCTGAGCTACAGTGCAGGTCTCCTCCCTCCTCCGCAGCACTGCTGACCACGGCTTTCCGTGGTTATAATACTGTCACTTCCCCGCTAGCCCAAGGATCTGAAAATACTTTTGGTAAGCCACGGGAAGGACCCTCCTCCCTGAGTCAGTACCTTTAACTGCTGTTGGAACAACTCCAAGCCTCAAATAATTCAAAACTGTGTGAAACACGTTTTTGCCTGAATTAGGGTTCACACCGGGTGGCCTTTGTCCAGAGGCCATGTTTATTTATTTATTTATTTATTTTTATTTTATTATTATTACACTTTAAGTTTTAGGGTACATGTGCACAATATGCAGGTTAGTTACATATGTATACATGTGCCATGCTGGTGTGCTGCACCCATTAACTTGTCATTTAGCATTAGGTATAGCTCCTAATGCTATCCCTCCCCTTCCCCCCACCCCACAACAGTCCCCAGAGTATGATGTTCCCCTTCCTGTGTCCATGTGTTCTCATTGTTCAATTCCCACCTATAAGTGAGAACATGCGGTGTTTGGTTTTTTGTCCTTGCCATAGTTTACTGAGAATGATGATTTCCAATTTCATCCACGTCCCTACAAAGGACATGAACTCATCATTTTTTATGGCTGCATAGTATTCCATGGTGTATATGTGCCACATTTTCTTAATCCAGTCTATCATTGTTGGACATTTGGGTTGGTTCCAAGTCTTTGCTATTGTGAATAGTGCCGCAATAAACATATGTGTGCATGTGTCTTTACAGCAGCATGATTTATAGTCCTTTGGGTATATACCCAGTAATGGGATGGCTGGGTCAAATGGTATTTCTAGTTCTAGATCCCTGAGGAATCGCCACACCGACTTCCACAATGGTTGAACTAGTTTACAGTCCCACCAACAGTGTAAAAGTGTTCCTATTTCTTCACATCCTTTCCAGCACCTGTTGTTTCCTGACTTTTTAATGATTGCCATTCTAACTGGTGTGAGATGGTATCTCATTGTGGTTTTGATTTGCATTTCTCTGATGGCCAGTGATGGTGAGCATTTTTTCTTGTGTTTTTTGGCTGCATAAATGTCTTCTTTTGAGAAGTGTCTGTTCATGTCCTTCGCCCACTTTTTAATGGGGTTGTTGTTTTTTCTTGTAAATTTGTTTGAGTTCATTGTAGATTCTGGATATTAGCCCTTTATCAGATGAGTAGGTTGCGAAAATTTTCTCCCGTTTTGAAGGTTGCCTGTTCACTCTGATGGTAGTTTCTTTTGCTGTGCAGAAGCTCTTTAGTTTAATTAGATCCCATTGGTCAATTTTGGCTTTTGTTGCCATTGCTTTTTGTGTTTTAGACATGAAGTCCTTGCCCATGCCTATGTCCTGAATGGTAATGCTTAGGTTTTCTTCTAGGGTTTTTATGGTTTTAGGTCTAACGTTTAAGTCTTTAATCCATCTTGAATTAATTTTTGTATAAGGTGTAAGGAAGGGATCCAGTTTCAGCTTTCTACATATGGCTAGCTAGTTTTCCCAGCACCATTTATTAAATAGGGAATCCTTTCCCCATTTCTTGTTTTTGTCAGGTTTGTCAAAGATCAGATAGTTGTAGATATGCAGCGTTATTTCTGAGGGCTCTGTTCTGTTCCATTGATCTACATCTCTGTTTTAGTACCGGTACCATGCTGTTTTGGTTACTGTAGCCTTGTAGTATAGTTTGAAGTCAGGTAGTGTGATGCCTCCAGCTTTGTTCTTTTGGCTTAGGATTGACTTGCAAATTATGAGTGAACTCCCATTCACAATTGCTTCAAAGAGAATCAAATACCTAGGAATCCAACTTACAAGGGATGTGAAGGACCTCTTCAAGGAGAACTACAAACCACTGCTCAATGAAATAAAAGAGGATACAAACAAATGGAAGAACATTGCATGCTCATGGGTAGGAAGAATCAATATCATGAAAATGGCCATACTGCCCAAGGTAATTCATAGATTCAATGCTATCCCCATCAAGCTACCAATGACTTTCTTCACAGAATTGGAAAAAACTACTTTAAAGTTCATATGGAACCAAAAAAGAGCCCGCATCGCCAAGTCAGAGGCCATGTTTTAATAGCTCTGCAGCGCGGCCTCCCTGCCATCCATGACTGTGGGGATGCTCGCCCCTGTCTCCCAGCCCTGGTGCATCCCCAGCCCCATGCTCCAGTCTTCTCACGGTCCTTGGGCATATCAAAACGTCTCTGAGCCTCCATTTCTTCTCTGTGAGACAGGGGTGAGGATTACTTGAGAAAATGTTCAGCATTTCTGTGTGTAACTGTCGAAAAAAAAAACCAGAGCTTAGTTTTCCTCTGTACTCTGTCTTTCAACACTTTTAATTTGGACTCTAGCTTTGCAGAGGCAAAGGTTCTCAGAAAATCTATAACCGAAACCCCTAACTTTATACTCGAGCAAACTGGGTCCAGAAAGCTGAATGATTTACACAGGGAGTTACTGTGAGAGGAGAATTGGCATGTAGGTGTCCCGATGTCCAACCTTCTGCCCTTTCTTCCGTATCACAATCACGCAGTCCTGGGGCCTCTCCGGTGGAGCCTCTTACTATCATTATTCTGAGTAGTTCTGATGCTAACTGGTGTCTTCCCCTTCCTCCTTTCCTTTCAACAACATTTAGTGAGCACCTGTTTTATCTTGTGCCCTATACTTGGTTTCTGTTAGAGAACCTTGCCTTACCTACTGTAAGTATTAAATACATCTTTGACGGTGGTTTAATTAATCACATTTATTCATATATTTAGTGATAAGCACTTGCTTTGTGCTAAATCCTTTTTAGGGAGGCCGCGAGGAACACAAGGGGAGCAGATAATGACATGGTCCACAACACACTTAAGGAGTTGGCAGAGTTTGGGATCAGGGGATTCTGCGCGTGTGTGGATAATCAGCATTCAGGAGAAGGTGTAGTGCACGTAAGTACTGGTGTGTGCACCGTGGTGGCAGGAGGTCACTTTGGTTTGGGGCTGGAAGGCTGGGAAGTCAGACCCTGCACTTTCTCAGTGTAAACCCTTGATCCCCCTTCTCCTTTAGCCTCTCTCATGACTGGTTCTGCAGGCTTCTGTCCTGGACCTTCTCTTCTCACTCTATGTGGTCTTTCTGGAGCATCATCCATCTTCCTGCCTCAATAATCATCTAATTCTTGATGGCTTCTAAATCTGTATCTCCAGAGGAAAGTGTTTCTCTGAATCTCAGACCTTTACATCCCACTGTTTCCCGAATGTCACTGATTGCATAACCTGTCACTTGTACAGAACTGAACTCCTCTCCCCTCCAATCTGCTTCTCCTCAGTGAGCTCAGAAACCTGGAAGTGGTCCTTGACTCCCCCACTTTTCTTTACTGTTCCACCACCCCAGTAATAATGAGGTTCTTTAAACCCCAGAATCCTGGAAATCTAAACAGCCCTGTCACAGATTCCTTTTTCTCCAACCCACCTTTTCTGCCACTGTCAATCTCTGGGTACAATCAAGATTCACCAGCATTTTTGTAACAACTTTTTACCCAACTGGTCTTCCTATTTTGAGTCATGCTCACCTATGAGTCCTCCAAATTGGACCCAGAGAAGTCTTATATAAAATAAAACAAACAAATGGAGCCCCTCCATCACTTACAGCTCTTAGAGTGTCTTCCCTCTGCTCCTAAACTTCACACTCCTGTAAGTGGCCTCTGCAACCTGTGCTATGGATTGAATTGTGTCCTCCAGAAATGTACATTCAAGCCCTAACTCCTCATACCCCAGAATGTGAGCTTATTTGGGAATGGAGTTGTTGAAATGTAATTAGTAAGATGAGGTCATGCTGGAGTAAGGTGGGCTCTTAATCCAGTATGACTGAAATCTGTATAAAAAGAGGGAAATTTGGACACAGACATAGGAATAGAGGGAGGACAGCCATGGGAAGTGAAGGCAGAGATTGGAATTATGCTGCCACAAGCCAAGGAACACCTGGTGCTGCTTCCAGAAGCTGGAGGAGGCAAGGAAAGGATTCTTCTTTCCAGAAAGGCTTTGGAGGGAGCAAGCCCTTGCCAATACCTTGATTTCGGATCTCCAGCCTCCAGAACTGCGAGACAATACACTTCTGTTGTTTTAAGCCACCCAGTTTGTGGTAATTTGTTATGGCAGCCCTAGTAAATGAACATAAATTGTCATGATCCAAATACCAGGTATCTTTCCAGCCTCCTCTGCAGTCATGTGCCTCAATTCACCCTGTTATCCCAGGCACACTGGATTATGTACAGCTCTTGAAACACACTGTGCACCTGCACGCCTTTGCTCATACTGGTCTCTGGTGGAAGGCTCTTCCTCTTCTCTGTTTGCCCACCTTCTCCACAACTTCTTCCTTCTGCTCCTTCGGCACCAGATATGTGAACAACAATTCTTGTTCTGGCCTCCTTGAGAGCAGGGACTCTGCTTCCCTCTTCTCCATCCCTGTTGCTTTAGCACTGAGCTGACCTAGCATAATGCTGCAAGAATTGATCTGAGTTGGGTCACATGTTCTCCCACAGTTTATGATGTTGCTGGGTGGTGGGATTCAAAATGCTCATTCCTCCCTCCTCACTGGATTTCCAAAGAGGGGTTCACCCTGATTTCACCACCCACTAAAATCTAATTAACCACAGGGCATGAATTCTTCTTGGAAACCTCCAAACTGCCAACTTCTTCTCCCTCATGCTGTTGCCAAGGCTCTCGAGTGGGCTTGAAGGAAGGAAACGTGGACAAAAAGATTTTGCTCGTTTCTTTGAGGCCAATGCCTAATCACTGTCCCTCTTCAAGTGAAAAATGGGGAAAACACTAGCTAACTGTTGTTTAGTGACCCCAACTCCCACCCCTTTAAAATAAACACTCTTTTCAATTAGGAAGATTTGTCACCGGGGACAGTAATTCCATGTCCTACCAAAACAAACACAGTTGTAATTAGTTTTATCCAGGAAGAAAATTAACTCTGTTTATCTTAGCATAATTAATCACTGACCTCTTTCTGTCCGGGCAGCTTCGGGGAGGGCACGGGAGTGGGGGGTTGTGATCTACTGCACAGGGGCGTTCTGGGCTCCATCTATCTCTCGTGTTGGTTACACAGCTGTCTGCGTGAGTTATTTGAATTAATATTCCTAGCCAAGAGTTGTGGAGCTGCCTCAGAGCTAGACTTGGAGAAACCACTAAATAAGGCTATGATTTTATGGCTTCAGTCTGTGGAGAATTTTAGATGAGTACATATCAGATGGGCATTAAGACACGCGGCCGACACTGAAGTTTGCTTGGCTCCTTTCATGCCCTTCACCTTGACCTCAACAAGTCTTGAGAAAGGGGAAGGATCCTCAGGCAAAGGCATTGGTCCTTGGTTATGGAAGAGAGGCTGTTCTTGCAGTGAGGAGGGACAGGCTTTGGGGCTATGGTTTGGGTGTCAGTCTTTTTTTTTAAATTTTTTTTTATTATACTTTAAGTTCTAGGGTACATGTGCACAACATGCAGGTTTGTTACATATGTATACATGCGCCATGTTGGTGCGCTGCACCCATTAACTCGTCATTTACCTTAGTTATATCTCCTAATGCTATCCCTCCCCACTCCCCCCACCCCACAACAGGCCCCGGTGTGTGATGTTTCCCTTCCTGTGTCCAAGTGTTCTTATTGTTCAATTCCCACCTATGAGTGAGAACACGCAGTGTTTGGTTTTTTGTTCTTGCCATAGTTTGCTGAGAATGATGGTTTCCAGCTTCATCCGTGTCCCTACAAAGGACATGAACTCATCCTTTTTTATGGCTGCATAGTATTCCATGGTGTATATGCGCCACATTTTCTTAATCCAGTCTATCATTGATGGACATTTGGATTGGTTCCAAGTCTTTGCTATTGTGAATAGTGCTGCAATAAACATACGTGTGCATGTGTCTTTATAGCAGCATGATTTATAATCCTTTGGGTATATACCCAGTAATGGGAAGGCTGGGTCAAATGGTATTTCTAGTTCTAGATCCTTGAGGAATTGCCACACTGTCTTCCACAATGGTTGAACTAGATCCTCTAGCTATATGACTGTGGGCAAGATACCTCATCTTTCTGAACCATAGTAACCTCCTAAGTGAAAAACAAAAAAAAAAAAAAACAAAAAAAACAAAAACCCAGGATGTGTGTGCATGTGTGTAGTGGGGTCAGGGTTAGTAATATATATCCACAGGGATGAATAAGGATTAGAAGTGAGGTATGCTATGTCCCTAGCACAGGGCCTGGTACTAAATAGTAATTCAGTGAACACAGGTAGGTTTTGTTATTTTTGCATGAACTGACTGAGGTTCCGGGGGTGGAAGGACGCAATGAATGTCCTCTCTATTTCAATAGACCCACAACTCATGGAGACCCTACTGTGTGCTGGGCTCTGCATTAGGCCATGGAAATAAAAAGAGGGTTTAATCCTGGCTCCTGTCCTCGAGGAGCTCACAGCCTACTGGAGAGAGAGAGACATACCCGGATATTCTCAATGTGTTGCAACAAATGCTAAGCTGGAGACATGGGCATGAGATCCCCTGGTAGAGAGGTAAGCAGAGACTGAAGGGATGCTGATTTCACTTTTTCTGAGCCATTTAGTCAATGTATAATTCCTCACTTAATCCTCATGATAACTCTAAAAATAGGCATGAGGGAGGGGGTCCCAGGGAAAGGTAATTGAGGCTCACAGATGGTAAGTCATTAGACCCCAACTGCATAGCTAGAAAATGGTGCAGCTGGGATGTGAATCAGATTTGTTTGACACGGGAGCCTGTGCTTTGTCAGTTTTCACCTTGGAGGTCCTGGCTGGGTTTTAATGACTGGTATCCTTCCCCAGGACCTTGAGTCAGGAGCATTAAAGCAGCAAGGCCCTGAGGGCTGGTGTCAGGAGACCCCAGAGTTAACAACGCAGCTTCTTGAGCCTCACCTCAGGCTCTTCCATATTAAAATCTCTTGCAGGAGGATAATTTTAAGCAACTACAATACCTAAGGTGATTCTTATGTTCTCACCATCTGCTATAGTTTTAAAAAACCTACCTTTTGCTCATGATGTTGAGATAGCTACTCCCACACAAGTGTTTGCAGGTGGGTGGGGAGAGCATGTCCTCTAGGTAACAAGAAAAGAGAACTATGAAATCAAGGAGGCCCACATCCTGAACTGAGAGGGATGAAGAGGGGAGGTGAGATGGGCCAGGACCCCTTGAGAGTGGCCTAAATAGCTCACACTGGGGTGAGTGTCTCTGGATGCCAGAGGCAGAGTGGTGGACCGTGCACCTGTTGTGAGCACAGGCCACTCACTCCCTGTCCATAGGCTTGTAACAGTGGGTTCAGAAGCAGGAGAGAACTGCATAGGTACTTTCTTGAAGCAGAAGAGGGCTTCAGGCTGGGAGGCACATACTGCTCACTGTAGACAGGGAGCAAGGCAGCCTTTATTGATGCACAGGTTGCTGGGAGGTTGTGGGGCTTTTGTCCTCTCAGATCTAGAAGAGAACTGGAGCCAGGAAGAGTCAGTTTCTGGTGCTGTGAAGGACTCCAGGGAAGGAGCAACCAAAAAATACTGAGGGCACTGAGGCTGGTTTTTCCAGGCCATGGTGATGCCTGGTCCTGCAAGAGTGGTCACTCAGATGGCAGGGGGACTCCACACATCCTGAGATGGAGAGAGAAAGTGAGATGGGCTATCAGCAGAGGCTGAAGAATCAGGCAGAATTGTATTCTATGTCCCACCTCTGCCTCTGCCAGTGACAAGCTGTGCAAACTTGGAAACCTTTTTTTTTTTTTTTTTTTTTTTTTGAGACGGAGTCTTGCACTGTTGCCCAGGCTGGAGACAGTGGTGTGATCTTGGCTCACTGCAGTCTCCACCTCTCAGATTCAAGTGATTCTCCTGCCTCAGCCTCCCAAGTAGCTGGGATTATAGGTGCCCGCCACCCTGCCTGGCTAATTTTTGTATTTTTAGTAAAGATGGGGTTTTGTAACATTGGCCAGGCTGGTCTCAAACTCCTGACCTCAACTGAACTGCCCCCATCGGGCTTCCAAAGTGTTGGGATTAGAGGTCTGAGCTACTGGGCCCGGGCAAACTTGGAAACATTTTTTTCCTTCCTAGTGCCTCAGTTTTCTCAAATGTAAAATGGGAATAAAATATCTACCTTGTAAGACTTTTGTGAGGGTCTAATAACTGTTATATACATTATCTCATTTAATCTTCACAACAACCTTTAAAATAGGGATACGATCATTCTCAATTTACAGTTGAGTGAAAGTGAGGCAGTTCAGATGGCTTGACTAAGGTTACCTGGCATTTGAGTGGCAGAGCCAAGATTTAAACCCAGCTCTGTCTGATGCTAGACCCTTTGCTTCAACCATATTCTGTAATGTCTCATTTCTAGGAATGAATGAAGGAATGTTCACACATGTATCATCCAGCCTCTGAGGTGCCTCTGACAACCATAATTGCCTCCTCATGAAACCGAGCCCAGTTCCTCCTGTGGCTCTTCCTGCTGCAGCCGTGGGCCTTGCTCTCCTGGCTGGAAGCGCTGTTTTCATCTTATCTGGGGATTCTCATTGCTGACGGTGCTGGAGGCTGTGGGGCACAGTGGTTTCAAGCACAGGCTTTGGAGTCAGGCAAACCTGGGTTTCAATATGGCTCAGGAAGCTGTTGGGCAGGAGGACTTTTGGTGAGCAGGCACTGTCTGATAATGGTGTTTCCCAGGATCCCAGGTTTCTTGGGGGCACACAAGTAGGCCAAAGATGATCTGGGAACCTCCCAGAGAATTGCCTCATACTGTACTCTCCCCAAGAGGCTGCAGCCAAGAGAATAGGGGCCACGTCACGGGGGCTCATGATGGAGTCTGGGCTTTGTGGGAAAGGAAGTGGGGAGGGTCTCAGAAATGTTTTTACAATGTAAAATCTTCCAGTTAGAACTTTATATGCAGGATTTAATCAGAAGGAAATTTGGACAGGACTCATTTTTCTCATTGCTGCTCTAAGTGGCTGCTCTAAGCAGTCTGGACTGTCTCCCCTGTGGCTTTGTTGAGTTCAGTAAACATTTATTGTGCACATACTGTGTGCAGGCACTTTGCTGGGGATACAGGGATGAAATAGGGACAGTGCCCATGCCTGAGGGCATTGCCCTGAAGCTGGATGCTAAGGCCATCTGTGTGTGTGTCTGTGTGTCTGCATGTATCTCTGTGTCTGCGTGTGTCTCTGTGTCTGTGCTTCTGTGTCTATGTGTATGTCTGTGTGAGTGTCTGTGGGTCTCTTTTTTTGTGTTTGTGTGTGTATCTGTGTGTGTGTTCTCTGTGTGCCTGTATGTGTCTTTGATGTGTGTTTCTGTATGTGTCTCTGTGTGTGTCTATATGTGTGTATCTGTGTCTATGTATGTGTGTGTCATTTTGTTTGTTTCTGGGTGTGTCTACCTCTGCGTGTCTCTGTATACCTGTATCTCCGTGTGTGTGTCTGTGTGTGTGTATTTGTGTGTCTCTGTATGTGCGTCCGTGGGTGTGTGTCTGTGTGTGTGTGTGTGTGTATTGAGAGGGAGGGAGAAAGAAAGGGAGCGACAGATGGGTCAGCATGGAAGGTGTATCCTCATTCACAGCCCTGGGAGGAATCAGTCAATCCACCTACTGGTCAAGACCAACTCTGGTGGTGCCTGGCTGACAGTGGGAATGTGACTTTTCATTTAAGAATGGGTTTGCATTTCCTAGGAAAAGAATGTAGGAGTTGGAGTCTCAAGGAGTGTTTTTTTTTTCCTTTTGTGATTGAGAGAGCACAGCCTTGTGTGCATTGGCTGACAGTTACCAATCTGCGTGTTGGGGATAGCCACAGAGAAGAGACAGAGGGAACCGCAGACAGTGAGCAGGAGTCTGGTGGAACCAGTCTGCCTTTAGGCCCAAACCCCCAACTATGAATACCTCACCTTAGGGAGCTCAGTCTTTTGTTTGTTCATAAAAAACCAATCTGGGAACCAGAGGTGGACAGGAAAGAGGAGGCTGACCTGCTGCTCCCAGGTTAATGTGATCTTGGCTGGTGTTGACAAGTGTATTATGGTTCATAGCATAGCACAAACCCTTAGAGATTCCCCTTGCCCTCACCGGGGTCACCACACCAAACCAGGTATCTTCAGGAGTGAGGACCACAAAAAATTGGAGATCTCACCAGGGTGGGCAGAGATTTCTTTGTTAAAGTCTGAAGGAGAGAAGACTCAGGGGCATCTCTCTGGCTCCAAATCTCTGAAGGGCCAAAGGCAGAAGTGCTGGGGGAGTGTCAAGTTTTCATTTACAACAGGGACAGCCTGACAGTGGCTGCCTTATGTGGCAGTGAGTTTCAGTCAACAGTCAACAGAGGCCCAACGACTACTCACCAATGGGACCAGGTGGCCATAGAGGGCTGGGGAGGGCAGAGCAAGGACCCTGCAGGTCACCGCAGGCTCCTGCCTCAGATCCTCTGACTGAGGGATGATCTGGTGAAGGATTGGTGACAGACAAGGCCATTTGAGGCAGTGTTCATCATATCCTTGGGACATGTCAAGGCTACAACTTGACATTTATAGGCTGGTTTCTGCAGGAGAACCTACATCATGAATTGCTACCCATGGTGGAGGGGTGAATGCTCTGCATCTCAGGCCTTCCTTGCTCTATGTGGCTTCTCAGGAAAAGGAAAGAGAATAGGATGAGGATGAAAGAAAGCAGGGAGAAAAGGAAGGGGAGGGGCTCTCAGAAGATGGAACTCCAGCTAGTTGGGCACTTGCTCTGTTCCAGCACTTATATTCTTGGCCACATTGGATCTTGGTACAACCTTCTGTGGTTGCTTTATAAGTGATGGTCCAGGCGAACTCTCAGCCAGTGAAGTCCTAGGTGTGCCTGTCTGTCAAGCCTGTTGTATTTGGTGTACCCCATGGCCTTCTTCAGGTGGGCAGCACGGTGGCTCAAGCCTGAAAGGTCACTCAGAGTTCATTTCTTACAGCCCTCGCCCACTCCCTGCAGGCCCTGCCTCCTGCGATCCACTTGCCCTCTGCTTGATTTGTCCAATCTGTGGATTTATAGAAAAAAGAGTGGGGTGCTTGGCTCCCTCCTGTGGTTAGAGCAGTCAGAAGCTGTTGCTTGCAGGAAGCCTTGCCTTTTAGGAGTGCTAAAAAGATCACCACAATGGAAAAGATTTGGCAGAGCTAAGACATAGGGGGATATTCCAGGAATGGGGTTATCTGGCACATAGTAGGTACTCCACACAAGTCTAATGAATTAGTGAATGAAGTAGAAACCTGGAGGCAGGGGTAGGCTATTGAGGGAAAAAGGAACCAAGGCAAAGAGATGTTAAGGCACAGCATCCAATCAGGAAGGGTGCCAGCTGGGGCAAAATACCAGGCTCTGGACCCAGCTCTCCAGCCATCCCTGGGAACCCTGCACCAGCTATCTCCCCTGTGGGGCTAAAGCCCCCTTGTACAATCATGGGGTTGATGTATATGGGTGGTGCTCATTCCGGGCTGCACTTATTAATCACCTGGGAGGTTTTCAAAAATGATAACTGGGCCCTATAATTACAGATTTTGATTTAATAGGTCTGAGTTGGGGCCTGTGCAATGCATTTTTTGAAAGCTCCCAGGTGATTCTGGAGTGCCTCTGAGGCTAAGAACCAGGCGTGGGTTATTTTTCTGAATGCTTCCAGCTCATACTGCTTGTGATTCAGAGCTTTTTTTTTTTTTTTTTTAAAGAAATTTCACTAAATTAAATTTGTATCCTGTGCTAGTAGACTATGTTATTTCACCATTAGGACAATGGGCTGATATTTGTCACCAATAAATCTAAAGATAGATCTTGATGTTTGCAACCATAAGATGATCCCCACCATAGGCAAGGGGAATATGATTTATTCCCCATGCCTCTAATGAAATTAAGCGTGCGTTATAAAGAAAGATGCACTATTGAGATACAAACTAGTAATGACAGTTTAACTTTCAAATTGCTATTTTGTTAAGGCTACCATTGTATTGCTTCAGTGCTTAATGGTGCATTATTCATGTAGCAAACATGGAAAATCCATTGGGAGAGAAAGTGTAACACACTCAAGAGATGATTTGAGGCCTCTGGACTTTGTCACATCCCTAAGAACTATTACTTCATTCCCTTCTCTGTTTGTTCTCCTCTATTCTGTGCAAGAAGGTTAACACTGATGGGGGAAAAGAAAAAGGAAAAATAATCTACAGCATGGGTAGCTACACTTTAGATACATCACTTAGAGCAACTTGCTCCTATTAGACAAGTCCAAAGGGCAAGCATTACATTGAGGCATTTCTCAGATCTCTCCTTGCTGGGGAACATATTTTAGAATTCTGAGTTGTGTCTGTGCTGGCAGCCTTGGCTGGCCACACTTCCTTGCCATCTCTCCCTCCATCCTAACAGGCTCTGGCCTACCACTGTGTGAGCTAGAAAGGTTGTTAACATGGCTAGCTCATAGAGAAGTTGCTAACTGGGCCCAGATGAGACTGTTGCCAGATGACACAAGCTCTGGGTTGGATTAGCAAGAAACCACTTGGAACAATATCAGTAATAAGAACCACCATTGATTGAGTGCTACCACATGCCAGATGTGATGCTGCACATGAATAGTTGGACTGATTTTCTTTATCAGCCCAAGGCATAAAAATAGGTTATATCACTTTTGCTTTTCATTTAATTGCTTAAGGCCTATCTGCCAATCATGTCCATCTTCCTTGACTTTTTCAAGAACATTGTGTAGTGTAAAGCATTTGGTGATGTTTCCAAATGTACTCAATCTATCAGAGAGAATCTAATCTCGATTGTTAGGGGGAAGAGATTGGCTTGATTCTGTGCAAATTTATTTATTTATTTATTTTTGAGAGAGGGTCTTGCTCTGTTGCCCAGGCTGCAATGCAGTGGCACAATCTTGGCTCACTCCAACCTCCACTTTCCAGGTTCAAGCGATTCTCCTGTCTCAGCCTCCTGAGTAGCTGGGATTACTGGTGCCTGCTACCACATCTGGCTAGTGTTTGTATTTTTAGTAGAGACAGGGTTCCACCATGTTAGCCAGGCTGGTCTTAAACTCCTGACCTAGGTGATCTGCCTGCCTCGGCCTTCCAAAGTGTTGGGATTACAGGCATGAGCCACCATGCCTGGCCACCCCTGTGCAAATTTAGCTCCCTCTCCCAAGTAGTCAAATCTTGGGACATTTTGCAAAGGATAATCTTTGTGAGGCTTAAAGAATCCTGTTACAGCTGTTCCACATCTGTATTAGTCTGTTTTCACACTGCTATGAAGATACTACCTGAGACTGGGTAATTCATAAACAAAAGAGGTTTAGTTGACTCACAGTTCCACATGGTTGGGGAAGCCTCAGGAAACTTTGAATCATGACAGAAGGCAAAGGGGAAACAAGGACCTTCTTTGCAAGGTGGCAGGAGACAGCGAGAGAACCAGGAAGTGCCACACTTTAAAACCATCAGTTCTTGTGAGAACTGACTCACTTATCACGAGAACAGCATGGGTGAAACTGCCTTCATAATCCAATCACCTCCTACCAGGTCTCTCCCTCAACACATGGGGATTACAATTTGAGATGAGATCTGGGTGGGGACACAGCCAAACCATATTAATATCTTAGCGTGTACCTTGTGGTCTTTTGTTTGCAATAACTCAGAGATGCAACTGAAGTGTTCAGAGAAAAATAAAACGTCTATTTCAAGGTGATAAAACTTACAATGTTGTCAGATAGAAGCCACTGGCGGGTTCTCTTTTTTTTTTTTGAGACTGAGTCTCGCTCTATCGCCCACACTGGAGTGTAGTAGCGCGATCTTGGCTCACTGTAACCTCTGCCTCCTGGGTTCAAGTGATCCTCCTGCCTCAGCCTCCCAAGTAGCGGTACTACAGGTGTGTGCTACTACACCTGGCTAATTTTCGTATTTTTAGTAGAGATGGGGTTTTGCCATGTTGGCCAGGCTGGTCTTGAACTCCTGACCTTATGTGATCTGTCTGCCTTAGCCTCCCAAAGTGTTGGGACTACAGGTGTGAGACATCATATCCTGCCAAACCCACTGGTAGGTTCTCTTGATGAAAAAAATTCTAAGTTCTGTTTTGCCTGGCAGTCTATCATACATGTATACATAATTTAGTCTTCACAACAACTTTGCAAAGTAGATGACTTAATCTCATAGAACTTTTATTATCATAATGATAGTGAAAGTTTATATTTTCTTACCACTTTTTCTTTGTTCCAGGTTGTGCCAGGTTGTATATAAATAATAAATACTGGGCTGGGTGCAGCGGCTCACACCTGTAATCCCAACACTTTGGGAGGCCAAGGAGGGTGGATCACTTGAGGTCAGATCACTTGAGGTCAGGAGTTCAAGAGCAGTCTGATCAACATGGTGCAACCCCATCTCTACTAAAAATACAAAATGAACCGGGCATGGTGGCAGATACCTGTAATCCCAGTTACTCAAGAGGCTGGGGTGGGTGAATCACTGAAACCTGGGAGGTGGAGGCTGCAGTGAGCCAAGATCGTGCTATTGAACTCCAGCCTGGACAACAAGAGCGAAACTGTCTCAAAAAAAAAAAAAAGTGCTATTGCTAATCCTTACCATAAGACCACAGGTAGGTATTATTATTCCATTTAACAACTAGGAAATCAAGTCTCAGAGATGTTAAGTCCTTTGCCCAAGTTTCGGTAGTTTACACATTTCACAAATCACAGAGGTAGGATTCAATAGTACATCTCACCGACTTCCAAACCCATGATTTTCACTGCGGGAAGTTATATGCCTACAGATTTTTACCTGTCTTAGAGCAGGTGGGATGTGCTTTTCCAAAGGATCCATTTCTAAAAAGGTTAGGAAGTGCATTTCAGAGATGTTATGCAGGGAACTCCTGTCACAGGGAAGGAGGGGATGGACAACGTCCCTCCAGCTCATGAAGTGACTTGTAAACCAGCAGACAGTCCCATTGCTGAGCTCAGAGTCTGATGCAAAGAATATATCGGGAAAGATATTTGTTGAAGAGAGAACTTGTTCTGACTTGGGACTGATTAAATGTTAAAGAAAATACCCTAGGATCTATCAGAGGAGGGGAGGTTACTGTGGTCTGCAGCGGTCAGGAAAGGCAGAGGCAAATTTTGACTCGGGATATGAAAAACTTGCTTACTGCCAGTCATTGACGATAGGGCAGGATCCATCAGGTTGTCATGACAAGTTTTCCCATCACTTATGGGTTTCCAGGAGCAAATTTCTCTTTTCTCCTGAGTATGAACAACCTTTAACAACACTGCAGTGCTAGTTTTGCCTCTAGATGGCACTCATGTACTTTTACAGCTTTTACTGCTTAGCTTCCAAAGAAACAGCACTGGTTCTGTCCAATGTTTTCCCAATTTCTTTTTGTTGTATTTCTCTAGGTCATGGTGTCCATTTACGGTGAATGAAACGCCAGAGGACAGACACATGTTTATTTTATTGATTATTAATTCATGCATGTGTATCTTCTCTGAGGATAAAAAGAATTTGAGGCTGAACGACCAGTCTAGCATCCTGTATTACACATATTTGAGGCAGACAGCACAGGTGCCCTTGAGACAGTCCTTCTGATGCAAGAGGAACTTTCATTCTCTTTGGATCCTTGCACAGAGGGTCAGGCTTTGGACTTTGAGTCTATGAAGGGACAAGATTCTGACACAGCCCTGCCCTGGGGAAAAGAACCAGTTTTGTCTCAAGTGGCAGAGAGGTGGAGGAAATTTGTTTTCTTCAATTCCATATTTATTACTTTTTGTTTGCTCTTAACTATTCTATTATTCTGAGACACATCTAGGTAGACAGGATGGAGGTAAGGCACAATCATAAGCACTGTATTTAGGGAAGTCATGAGAAACTGTGAATTTGAAATTACCAGACAGATGTAACAATCAATAAACTAGGAACATAGGAATTGGAGGCGAGGCAAGGGTTGGTAAAAGATAAATGATATTATCCCAGGTTTTCTAAGCTTGGATAGGGGAGAATGAATTTGAGTTTGGAGTGAGAAGTTCTGGGAATGGGGCTGAGCCTGGGCTAGTTGAATTTTGAGATGGAGCAGAAGCATCTCTCCTTCCTCTGACCTTGCCCAGTATCTTATGACTATGTCTTTACTTAATAAATATACGAGCACCTCTCGTGTTTCAGGTATGGGTAAAGGCATTGAGGAAGTAGCTATGGATGAGGCAAACAAAACTTCTTCCCATGAGCTTGCATGTTAGTAGCAGAAGTAAAAATCCAATAACAAAATCATTTCAGATGATGGTAAATGCTATGAGGATGACAAGATAGAAAACCATAATAGAGAGTGATTGAGATGAGGTTTATTTAGATAGAGAAGTCATGGTAGACTTTTCTGGGGTGATGTTGGAGCTGAAACCTGAACAAAGAGAAGGAACCAGCTCTCTATTGATATTTGCAATTCCAAGGAAACTACAGTTAAAGGCAGTCAACTGCCCTGGTAATATCCTAGAAAGGCTTGAGACTGTATGCATAACAAAGAATGAGAATTAAAAGTGGGGGCCCAGACAGGAGGATGAGTTGAAGCTTTGTACATGCAAGTCGACTTGCATCATATCCCCATGTGCAGAATGGCCTTTAGGCAGTATTTATACCTTGGCAAAAGCAAACCAAACAGGCCATAACTTTGATTACATCAGACAAACAAAATAAAATAAAATAAAATAGAAGTTCCTTTTAAAAAATATTAAAGAAGCCATCTAGGAGAGCAGGTGTAGCTACTGCCTACCTGTGTAAACCTTTCCATAATCTGGCACTTTTTTGAGGGAGAGGTGCTCTAGAGAAATGACTGGTTTCCTGGTAGCTGATAAAGTTTGATGGTCTGTAAGTCTCACTCTGACTTCATCTTTCTTTTTCTTCAGTCTTAAATATATATCGGTAAAAATGATTCCAAGATACTCGAGAAAAGTGTGCAATGTTAAGGAAAGAAATTCAATATTAAAAAAACTGAAAAAAGTAAAGATACATTTAGAGAATAGGAGTTCAAAATCAAACAGAAACAAACCCCAAATACCCACCTTCTCTGCCAATAACATCAAAAAGGCAACACAGTAATAAAGATTAAGGAATTACAACAAATTACTGGAAATTAAAATTTCGATTATAAAAAACTTAATAGGAAATTGAGAAGATAAAACAAAGTCTCCTTCAGACAGTGAGCAGGTAGCCATCTGCAAGCAGGAAGAGAGTCCCCACCAGAACCAGAACCAGACCATGCTGGCACCCTGATCTCAGACTTCCAGCCTCCTCAGAACTGCAATGAAATAAATTTCTGTTGTTGAAGCCATCTAGTCTACGGTTTTGTTATGGCAGCCCAAGCTAACACAGATGAATAGATGGAAAGTTTAATAGGTAATTGGAATTTATAAAAAAATTAAGTGGGACTTAAAAACTGAAAACAAAATCTGAAATTAAGTCAATTGAGCACAGCAAAACAACAGAAATACAAGTAAATAAAAAGTATCCAAACTGAAGCACAGAGAAAGAATGCAAAACACATAGAGAAATGTAAAAGACATGAGGGTGTCAAAGGGGCTAAAGTAAGTATAATAATAATCACAGAAGGAGAAAAATCAGGGGATGGTGGAGAGGCAATATGTGAAGAAATAATGGCTGAGAATTTTCCAATACTTTATATAAATGGAATCATACAATATGAACTTTTTTGTGTTTGGCTTCCTTCACCCAGCATGATTATTTTGAGATTCATCTCTGTCATTTTGTGTACCATTTATTTCTTTTTTTTGCTGAGTAGTATAACATCGTACGTATATCCCATAGTTTATTTAATCATTCCCTCATCGATGGACTTTTGGGTTATTTCAGTTTTATGTCCATTATAAATAAAACTAACATAAATATTTGTTTATACAAATCTTTGTATAAGTGTATCCTTTGTTTTCTCTTGGCTAAAAACCTAGGAGCAGCAGGGCTAGATCATATAGTAGGTATAAGTTTAACTTTTAAAGACACTGCTAAACTGTTTTACAAAGCAGCTGTACCATTTTACATTACCATCAGTGGCCCAGGAATCTTCCACTTTCTTGCCAAACCTTGGTATAGTCAGTCTTTTTGATTTTAGCCATTTTAATAGGCTTTTAGTGGTATCTCATTCATGGTTTTAGTCAACGTTTCTGTAAAGACTAATGATGCTGAGCATATCTGCATTGCTTTGGTGAATTGTCTGTTTAAATCTTTTGTACATTTTTTATTAGGTGTTCTTATTGTTGAGTTTTGAGAGTTCTTTACACATTTTGTCCTTTATGAATGATATTCTTGGCAAACATTTCCTCTCAGTCTGTAGTTTGTCTTTTCATTTTTAAAACAGCGTATTTTAAAGACAAGTTTTTATGAAGTCCAAATTATAAATATATTATAAATATATTCTTTTTTGGATTATACTTTTGGTTTCATATCTAAGAAGTTTTTTGCCTCGTCCTAAGTTACAAAGGTTTTCTCTTGTTTTCTTCAAGAAGTTTCATTGTTTTACATTTTTAAAATTGTGGTAAAAACTAACAATATGAAATCAATCCTCTTAACAAAATGTTAAGTGTATACTATAGCACAATATTGTACAGTAGGTCTCTAGAGCTTTTTCATCTTGTGTAACTGAAATGCTATATCCACTGAACACCAACTCCCTATCCCCTCACGTGGCTAGCCTGTGGAAACCATCATTCTACCTTCTGCTTCTATGAGTTTGATTACATTTGATACCTCATAGTAGTGGAATCATACACTATCTGTTCTTCTGTGACTAGCTTACTTCACTTAGGATAATGTCTTCAAGATTCATCCATATTGTTTCATATGACAGGATTTCCTTCTTTTTAAAGGATGAATAACATTCCATTGTAAGAATATACCACATTTTCCTTATCTAATCATCGGTCAATGAACATTTAGGTTGTTTCCACATTTTGGCTACCGTGATTAATGCTGCATTGAATATGGGAGTGCAAATATCTCTTTGAAATCCTATTTTCAATTCTTTTGAAAATACCAGGAGTGGGACTGCTGGAACATATGCTAGTTCTGTCTTTTAATTTTTTGAGGAACCTCTATACTGTTTTCCAGAGTGGCTGCACTATTGACATTCTCACCAACAGTGCACAAGTATTCCAGTTTCTCTATATTCCCTCCAACTCTTGTTATTTTCTGTTTTTTTTTTTTTAATTGCCATTCTAACAGGTGTGTGGCAACATTTAATTGTGGTTTTGATTTTCATTTCCCCACTTATAGTGATGTTCAGCACCTTTTCATATGCCAATTGGCCATTTGTGTATCTTTGGAGAAATGTCTATTCAAGACCTTTGCCCACATTTTAATCAAATTATTTGGGTTTTGGCTTTTGAGTTGTAGGAATTTCTTATGTATTTTAAATATTAACTCCTGTCAGATGTATGATCTGCAAATATTTTATCCCATTCCAAAGACTGCCTTTTCACTCTGTTGATTGTTTCTTTTGCTGTGCAGAAGGTTTTTAGTTGGACGTAGTCCCACTTGTTTATTTTGCTTTTGTTGTTTATATTTTTAGTGTCATATCCAAGAAATCATTGGCAAGATCAATGTCATGAAGGTTTTTTATGATGTTTTCTTCTAAGAATTTTATGGTGTCAAGTCTTAGTCTTTAATTCATTTTGAATTGATTTTTTTTGTGTGGTGTAAGATAGGGATTCAGTTTCATTGTTTTACATGTCAATTTTCTCAACACCACATTTATTTATTTATTTATTTATATTTATTTTTAGGGATAAGGTTTCACTCTGTTGCCCAGGCTGGAGTGTGGTGGTGCCATCCTAGCTCACTGCAGCCTTGAAATCCTAGGCTAAAGTAATCCTTCTGCCTCAGCCTCCCAAGTAGCTGGCACTATAGTTACGTGCCATCATACCTGGCCAGTTTTTTTTTTTTTTGCTTTTTGTAGAGTTGGGGGTCTTATTATGTTGTCCAGGCTGGTATTAAACCCCTGGCCTCAAGCAATTCTCCCACCTCTGCCTCTCTAAGTATTGGGCTTACGGGCATGAACCACTGTGGGTGCCCAACACCATTTGTTAAAGATAGTCTCTTAGGGTGGAGCGAAATGGCTGAATAGAAGCCTACACCATTTGTCCTCTCCCTGCAGGAACACTAAATTATAACAACTAACTGCACATTAAAAGCACCATCACAAAAACCAAAACTCAAGTGAGTAACCACAGTACCTGATTTTAACATCATATCACTGAAAGAGACATGAAGAGGGCAGGAAAGACAGTCTTGAATTGGCAACACTACTGCTCCCCTATCCCCTGGGCAGTGTCTGCGTGGCATGGACAATCTGTGCTTGGGAGAGAGACAGCAGAGCAATTGTGAGGCTTTGCATTGAACTCAGTGCTGCCCTGTTATAGTGGAAAGCAGAACCAGGCTGTACTCAGCTGACATCCGCTCATGGAGGGAGTATTTGGACTAGCCCTAGCCAGAGGGAAATCACCCATCCCAGTGGTCAGAGCTTGAGTTCCAGCAAGCCTCACCACCAGCCTGGAGTGCTCCGGGGCCCTAAGTGAACTTGAATGACAGTCTGTGCCAAAGGATTGCAATTCCTAGGCAAGTCCTAGAACTGAGCTGAGCTCAGAGCCAGTGGACTGAGGGCAACCTACTGAGAGAACAGCCAGGGTGGCAAAGGGAGGGCTTGCACCACACCTCCCCCACTCTCTGACAGCAGATGCATGGTGCAGAGAAATCTGTGTTGTTGGGAGAGGGAGAGTGCAGGAAATGTGAGACTTTATATTGAACTCTGTGCTGCCCTGTCACAGTAGAGACCTGTCAGTATTCATCACTTGCTGACTGAAGAGCTCGTGGGCCAAGAATAACAAACAGTGATACCCAGGTAGTACATTGTGGGCCTTTGGCTCTGAGACATGCTGCTTTCAGATGTGACCACATTCCCAGCTGTGGTGGCTATGGTGAAAGACTATTTCAGAAAAGCAGGGAGTGGGGTAAAGTGAAGAGTACCCTGTCTTGCACCATACATACCAGCTTGACCACACTGGGATAGAGCAACAAATAGGCTCCTGTGGTCCCCAAGTCTAGGCCTAGTCTCTTGGTCAGCATTTCTGGACCTCTCTGGAGCCAGAGGAAACCCACTGACCTGAAGGTTGAGTCCAAGGCCTGGTAGCATTAATCACAAGCTGATCAAAGAGCCCCTGAACTTTAAGTAAAACACCCCATGGGCTGCTGCTGGTGGTGGCCACAGGGAGAGGCAATGTCTGCCTGTAGAAAGGGGAGGGAAGAGTGGGGAGGAATTTGTCTTGTGGTTTGAGTGCCAGCTTAGCTGCAGTAGAATAGAATACCAGGTAAATTTCTAAGGTTCTTGACTTTAATCCCTGGCTTCCAGACAGCATCTCTGAACCTATCCGGGGCCTGGGGGAACTTGCCAACCTGAAGGAGGGACAGAAACATCAGTGGGTTTGCCACCTGCTGATTGTAGAGCCCTAGTGAGAGGGGGAGAAAAAGGAAAAATTAGTTGGGCAGACAACTAAAGCTGGTCCTTGGTAAAATTCTTTTAAACAGAAAGACACCTGAAAAATCACAGTTACAGGCACAAATAGAGCAGCCTGGGGTAAAACCAAACTGCAGCTGCTGCACTGATAAGAAAGCAAAGTCCAACACAGAAGCCTTTTGTTCTTTGTGTGATTAGTGGGCTCCCATGAAAAAGTTTCCACCTCTTTTCCATGGGTACTTGCACAGGGAGGTGGGGGCTTACCCAAAACACATCCACAGTTGCACAAACAAGAGAACCTGCACTTTGTGCTGCCTAAAGATATGCCTGCAGCTCCACAGATGAGGGGAGTTGCACAGACAGTTTCACAGACAAGAGAAGTGATACAAATAGCTACAGAGATGAGGGGGAGTTTCTTATAAAAGCTGTTGGTGAGGGGGAGTTTCTTATAAAAGCTGTTGGATTCAACTGTAAAAATGGCAACCCTCTCAGGCCCCCCTCTCTGCTGTAGAGAGCTTTCTTCTTTTGCTCATTCAACTTTCACTCCAACCTCACCCTTTGCCTCCATGCTCCCTAATATTCTTGGTCATGGGACGAAGAACTCCAGGTGGTACGTCACAACAAGAGACTGCTACATTGTGGTGCATTGGTGAGACTATAACACTAGGTCCTTGAGTAAACTTAGGTGGTAGCCAGGTAGTGGTTACAGTGGGCCATGGGGAAGACCCAGTGCTGGGCTGGCTTCAGGTTTAAACCAACACAGTCCCAGCAGTGGTGGCCATATGTATCCTTCTGTCCTACCACTCCCAGTTCCAGGAGGTTGAACACAGAGAGATTCCGTTTGCTTGGGAGAAAGTAATGGAAAAGAACAAGAGTCTCTGCCTAATAATCCAGAAAAATTTTCCAGATCTTACCTAAGACCACCAAGTTGGCACCTCTATGAGCCTGCAAGAACCACAGCATTATTGAGTGTGAGGCTCAAGTCCCTTTAAATACCTGGAAAGCCTTCCCATATAGAACAGGCACAAATAAGCCCAGACCATGAAGACTACAATGAACGCCTAGCTCCTCAGTGCCCAGACACAGACCAACATCTATAAGCATCAAGACCATCCAGGAGAATATGACCTTACCAAGTGAGCTAAATAAGGCACCTAGGGCCAATCCTGGAGAAACACAGGTATCTGATCTTTCAGACAGATAATTGAAAATAGCTGTGTTGAAAAAAGTTAAAAAAAAATTCAAGATAACACAGAAAAGGAATTCAGAATTCTATCAGATAAGTTAAACAAAGAAATTGAAATTGTCAAAAAGATTTAAGTAGAAATTCTAGAGTTGAAAAATGCAATTGACATACTGAAGAATGCATCAGAGTCTCTTAGTAGCAGAATTGAACAAGCAGAAGAAATAATTAGTGAGCTTGAAGACAGGCTATTTGACAATAAGCAGTCAGAGGAGGCAAAAGAAAAAAGAATAAAAACCAATGTAGCACACCTACAAAATCTACAAAATAGCCTCAATAGGGCAAATCTAAGAGTTATTTGCCTTAAAAAGGAGGAATAGAAAGGGATAAGGATAGAAAGTTTATTCAAAGGAATAATATAAGAGAACTTCCCAAATCTAAAGAAAGTTACCAGTATTCAAGTAAAAGGTTATAGAACACTAAGCAGATTTAACCCAAAGAAGACTCCCTCAAGGCATTTAATAACCAAACTCCCAAAGGTCAAAGATAAAGAACAAATCTTAAAAGCAGCAAGAGAAAAGATACAAATAACATACAATAGACCTCCAATAAGTCTTGAAGCAGACTTTTCAGTGAAAATCTTACAGGCCAGGAGGAGTGACATGACATATTTAAAGTAATGAAGGAAAAATACTTTCACCCTAGAATAGTATATCTGGTGAAAATATCCTCCAAATATGAAGGAAAAATAAAGACTTTCCCAGACAAACAAAAGCTGAGGGACTTCATCAACACCAGGTCTGTTCTACAAGAAATGCTAAAGGGAGTCCTTCAATCTGAACGAAAAGGACATTAATGAGCAACAAAATATTATCTGAAGGTATGAAACTCACTGGTTATAGCACATGGAAAAATCACAGACTATTATAATAAGACAGTAATTGTGGTATATAAAATGCTTTTATCTTAAGTAGAAAGACTCTAAAAAATAAGAACCATAACAACTTTTCAAGACATAGTACAATAAAATATAAATAGTAACAACAAAAAGTTAGAGTTGGGAGGACAAAATTAAAATGTAGAGTTTGTATTAGTTCTCTTTTTGTTTGTATGTTTGTTTATGCAATCAGTGTTAAATTTTCATCAGTTTTTTTTAATTATTATTATACTTTAAGTTTTAGGGTACATGTGCACAACGTGCAGGTTTGTTACATATATATACATGTGCCACGTTGGTGTGCTGCACCCATTAACTCGTCATTTAGCATTAGGTATATCTCCTAATGCTATCCCTCCCCTCTCCCCCCACCCCACAACAGTCCCTGGTGTGTGATGTTCCCCTTCCTGTGTCCATGTGTTCTCATTGTTCAATTCCCACCTATGAGTGAGAACACGCGGTGTTTGGTTTTTTGTCCTTGCAATAGTTTGCTGAGAATGATGGTTTCCAGCTTCATCCATGTCCCTACAAAGGACATGAACTCATCATTTTTTATGGCTGCATAGTATTCCATGGTGTATATGTGCCACATTTTCTTAATCCAGTCTATCATTCTTGGACATTTGGGTTGGTTCCACTTCTTTGCTATTGTGAATAGTGCCACAATAAACACACGTTTGCATGTGTCTTTATAGCAGCATGATTTATAATCCTTTGGGTATATACCCAGTAATGGGATGGCTGGGTCAAATGGTATTTCTAGTTCTAGATCCCGGAGGAATCGCCACACTGACTTCCACAATGGTTGAACTAGTCTACAGTCCCACCAACAGTGTAAAAGTGTTCCTATTTCTCCACATCCTCTCCAGCACCTGTTGTTTCCTGACTTTTTAATGATCGCCATTCTAACTGGTGTGAGATGGTATCTCATTGTGGTTTTGATTTGCATTTCTCTGATGGCCAGTGATGATGAGCATTTTTTCTTGTGTTTTTTGGCTGCATAAATGTCTTCTTTTGAGACGTGTCTGTTCATATCCTTTGCCCACTTTTTGATGGGGTTGTTTGTTTTTTTCTTGTAAATTTGTTTGAGCTCATTGTAGATTCTGGATATTAGCCCTTTGTCAGATGAGTAGATTGCAAAAATTTTCTCCCATTCTGTAGGTTTCCTGTTCACTCTGATGGTAGTTTCTTTTGCTGTGCAGAAGCTCTTTAGTTTAATTAGATCCCATTTGTCAATTTTGGCTTTTGTTGCCATTGCTTTTTGTGTTTTAGACATGAAGTCCTTGCGCATGCCTATGTCCTGAATGGTATTGCCTAGGTTTTCTTCTAGGGTTTTTATGGTTTTAGGTCTAACATGTAAGTCTTTAACCCATCTTGAATTAATTTTTGTATAAGGTGTAAGGAAGGGATCTAGTTTCAGCTTTCTACTTATGGCTAGCAGTTTTCCCAGCAACGTTTATTAAATAGGGAATCCTTTCCCCATTGCTTGTTTTCGTCAGGTTTGTCAAAGATCAGATAGTTGTAGATATGCGGCATTATTTCTGAGGGCTATATTCTGTTCCATTGGTCTATATCTCTGTTTTGGTACCAGTACCATGCTGTTTTGGTTACTGTAGCCTTGTAGTATAGTTTGAAGTCAGGTAGTGTGATGCCTCCAGCTTTGTTCTTTTGGCTTAGGATTGACTTGGCGATGCGGGCTCTTTTTTGGTTCCATATGAACTTTAAAGTAGTTTTTTCCAATTCTGTGAAGAAAGTCATTGGTAGCTTGATGGGGATGGCATTGAATCTATAAATTACCTTGGGCAGTATGGCCATTTTCATGATATCGATTCTTCCTACCCATGAACATGGAATGTTCTTCCATTTGTTTGTATCCTCTTTTATTTCATTGAGCAGTCATTTGTAGTTGTCCTTGAAGAGGTCCTTCACATCCCTTGTAAGTTGGATTCCTAGGTATTTTATTCTCTTTGCAGCAATTGTGAATGTGGGAGTTCACTCATGATTTGGCTCTCTGTTTGTCTGTTATTGGTGTATAGGAATGCTTGTGATTTTTGCACATTGATTTTGTATCCTGAGACTTTGCTGAAGTTGCTTATCAGCTTAAGGAGATTTTGGGCTGAGACGATGGGTTTTCTAGATATACAATCATGTTATCTGCAAACAGGGACAATTTGACTTCCTCTTTTCCTAACTGAATGCCCTTTATTTCCTTCTCCTGCCTGATTGCCCTGGCCAGAACTTCCAACACTATGTTGAATAGGAGTGGTGAGAGAGGGCATCCCTGTCTTGTGCCAGTTTTCAAAGGGAATGCTTCCAGTTTTTGTCCATTCAGTATGATATTGGCTGTGGGTTTGTCATAGATAGCTCTTATTATTTTGAGATACGTCCCATCAATACCTAATGTATTGAGAGTTTTTAGCATGAAGGGTTGTTGAATTTTGTCAAAGGCCTTTTCTGCATCTATTGAGATAATCATGTGGTTTTCGTGTATCAAGGACACACACTAAGGTCAAATTATATGTCCTTCTGTCTGAGATCTTATCCTTGTTTCCTCTGTAATTCTTATTCTTTCACAAAGCTTTGTCAAGTTTTTGCAAGTTTTGTTGCAGTCCATGGTTTGGTTTTTGCATTCTGGTCCCCTTTGCTGAGCAATCTGTAGCCTGACTTTCTTTCTGCCTCTATCTGTGACCCTACAAAGCTCTCAGCCTCCTGTTATTGTGACCTAAGTAATAGTATGAACATATTCCTAGTAGACTTTCTGGAGAGGGAGGATGGTCTGGTATGCAGTCCTCTGCTTCCAGAAATAATGCATAATGGCCATTGCCATGTATTTTGGAAATTAAACTCAGCCTGTCTGAGCTTGCACAATTTACCTTGTTTGTGTCAACATTGCTGCCTCACCCAGGAATTGGTTCCCCTTATCAACTTTCAGTTTTATTGCATATGACCTAGCCAAATTCAGCTCAAATTTTGCATAAGTCACAAATATTCCTTTCAGGAAAGATTGCAGCAAGTCAGTATAAAAAATAAATATTAATTCTGTTCTCAATAGTGGATGTATTAAATGGGATTCCAGGCAGGGCCAGCAGGAATGTGAACTGAAATAATAAAGCAGTATATCTAAAAATGCAATGGAGGTGCAAGGAAAAGTAGATGCTAATGTCAGTCATTCATTTTGCTTTCCCTTCAGTTACCAGAATTTAATCTAGGTATGGCCTGAGTTCTTTCCTATGTTCTCTGTACTCTCTTCAGTCTAAGCTCTTAACCAATCCAAGCTCCTACCTCTTAAATGGAATCCCATTTTCTCTGGACTGGGTTACTGCTTGGTTCAAAATCATCCTCCATACTTCTTATCTTTGTCATCACACCACTTCAACACCTAAATGAAGTTTCTGCAATGCTCATTAAAATTACTCACAATCCCATCCTGTATGCTATTTCAGCTAGAAAGAGGCTTACTGAAGAAAATACACAATTTTACACATATTATACCTGCCCATTGTTGAGGAAAATGTAACTCCTGTTCTTCTAGTTTTTTGGTTGTCTGCCTATCATTGGCATCTACTAAGAAGGAAATGTGTCGGACAGTGGGTGGGAAGAAATGTGTCTTTTATTATTTCCTCTCTTTTCTCCTTGGATATTCAGGAAATGTTTCCTTTTCTGGCTGTCAGAGAAATAAGAACTCAGCTGAGATAATGGAGTGGAAATAAGAGTAAACAAGAATAAAAATTCAATTTCTCCAGCTTGCTTTAGAATCAGCTGTTTTGACATATATTTAATATTTCATAGTATATCATTGCAAGTGGAAGAACTTGCCGTTTAAAGAAATCTTTTGAAAAGTAAATGGTATAATCCCTCCATGTTTATATATTCTACATTATTATGTTTGATGCTATAAATACTATAGTAATCTAGGTTTTCTGGCTGATTAGTGAGCAGAATCAAGGTTCTTAAGTTTCTCTTGTACCAGAGAATGCAAGTAGGATGAAAGTCCTATTTCTGTTCATTCATATTTACATTTAACAGACTCAACATTGATCTTTTGCTGAGTAGTCTGGTAGTTTGGCTTCACAAACGTGAGACTAGTTCCATTTAATATACAATATTGAGCACATAATTAATATTTATCTTTTATACTGACTTGCTGCAATCACACAGCCAGCAAATAGCAGGCAAGATTATAATTTAGAGCAGTCTGATTCAATCCATTACGTCACTACTTTCTCAGGGTGCATCTGGGTTGTCACGTGGACCATGATGATATCAAATTTGGAGCCCTTCTTCTACTTCTTTTTTTTTTTTGGAGCCTTCTAGTAGGGGATTTTGGAAGTCAGTAAGATATGAATCTAGGATCTGGTAGAATGAAACAAATTGTTTGGGCAGTTACTCTTATTTAGCAGTCTGTCCGGGTTCAGGACATAGGAGCTCAGAATCAGCTAAAATTGCCCCTCAGAGTAGATTGGGCAGATAGGCTTTGTTATTGTTATTTGTTTTGTTTTTGTTTTGTTATGTATGAGCCTTGATAAACCTATTGTCAGAAATATTTTCAGAAAGGGCTTTGAGTGTGCTTTATTATGGCGCTACAGGAAAGGCTATTTGGAACCAAGTTGCATTGGGTCAAGGCAAGGAGTAGTGCTGAGGAGTCATTCTTAGGAATTTAGGAGGAGAGACCATGGCAGAAGCAGTGGCCACACATGAGACACCAGAAAGATACAAAGACAGCAAGCAGACCAAATTCCAGCAGGAGGACAGACTCCATAAACCAGTTCTGACTTGGGACAATCGGACTGGGTGAGCCTCAAAAATGTAAAATAGTGAAGTGGAGTGTCACACACACTTGGCTATTTCATAAATATCTCAAATTAGATAGTGGAAATATTAAAGGTGTGGGTGGAGAATTGAGAAAAGTCTGAGTTAGCTGGTAGATTTAACTGAAGCAATATGAAAAAAAATCTACTCTTTCTCAGGTCTACTTCCAGAGCTTAGGGCTTTCTGAACACAAGAGAGGGACTGATATGATGAGTTGCTGCTAAGGTGATTAGTCCCTTTCTGTTTCTAACAGAACTGCTCCAAGAAATTAGAATGGTGCCCTACAACATTCCATTTCCATAATGAGAAAGACTCAGTGTACTAATCTGCTCAGGCCTCCAATAGTACAGGACTTTACTAGCTTAGCTTTGGCCCTCCCTTCAAGAAACATCCATTTTACCATGCTTCTTATCTTTCTCACCATAGGGCACTCCAAAATGCAAATTCCTGTAGTCTCTCATTCCGTGGATCCTTTTATGCTTTTAGTCTTTCATTTATTTTTTCTACCCATTCTATCTGTTGACCCAGGACATTCATCCTGTTTCAGTTTACTCCACCCAATATTTCTGCCTTATTTATATAATTGTCTTCTTTCTTCCTTCCTGTGATAATTTTATTTTCCAATTTGGCTAGGCTATAGTGTCCAGTTTTTGATCAAGTAGCAGTTTACATGTTGTTGTGAAGACATTTTTTGGATGTGATTAACATTTAAATTTGTAGACTTTGACTAAAGCAGATTACCTTCAATAATCTGAGTAAGCCTCATACAGTGGGTTGAAGGCCTTCAGAAAAAAAAAACCGAAGTCTTCTGAGGAAGAAGAAATTCTGTGTCCAGATCCCCTTTGGACTCAAGGGTACATCAGCAACTCTTCCCTGGGTTTCCAGATTGCTGGCCTGCCCTGCAGATTTCGGATTTGCCAGACTCCGCAATCATGTGAGGCAGTCTTTTCAAACAAGTCTCTCTCTCCATATACACATCTTATTGGTTTTCTTTCTTCAGAGAACCTTTACTAACACATTCCCTTAAAGAAAACTTGACTCTGCCCCATGGAAACCACCTACCTTGTATGTGTCACTAATTGTTACTGCTTTTCCTCTCCCACCCTAGACCAAAGAGCCAGGGGGCAGTGTCAGCATTCTGAAGCTCCCTTATATGTCCTCAGAAAGCATGTTATTTTCTTATCAGGTAAAAATCCACCTTTCTTTGTTACTGAGGCTATCCAACCAAAACAGTGCACACTACTTTTATGCTTCTTGATTTAACAAAAGCAACCAACTTTCCTATCCCTTCCACTAATTCTTTCCAGATAATGTCTGGCTTTAGCCTATACATCTGGGACAGTGATATATATCTTGAAGGGTAATTGTCAGAATTAGAGCCAATGTGTATAAAATATTTAGTAATATGAGACCATTAGCAGGCACTCAATACATAGGAGTCAGCAATTATTGTGTTTCTATTCAGTATAGGTTCTTATATAATCATACGAGGCTTTAGTGACCAAAGGAAAAGCAATCCAACACCCCAGTTTCAAGATTGTTTGACCCTCATTCCAAAACCCTTCATCTGAACTCCTTTGGCCACTCATTACCATGGCAATGTCCTATAACACAGTAGTTTAAGAAGAGCACATGCTCCTTAAAGCTCTTCACCCACTCACCACAAACACATTTTATACATTTCAGTTAGAAAAATGGCTTACTGAAGAAAAACATTGCTTGCCTATTTTTAGTTTTGTTTCAACTGCTTTTGAAGAATTTGTCATGAAATCTTTGCCAAATGGTACTTCATAAGTTTTCTTCTAGGGTTTTTACAGTTTTAGGTCTTATATTTAAGTCTTTAATCCACCTTGAGTTGATTTTCACATATGGTGAAAGGGAAGTGTCAATTTTCAATCTTCTGCATATGACTATCTGGTTATCCCAGCACCATTTAATGAATAGGGAATCCTTTTCCCATTGCTTTTGTCAACACTGTCGAAGATCAGACTATTTTGACAAAGTCTCCAAAAGCAAGTGCAACAAAAACAAAAATATACAAGTGAGACCTAATTCAACTAAATAACTTCTGCACAGCAAAAGAAACTATCAACAGAGTAAACAGAGAAACTACAGAATGGGAGAAAATGTTTGCAAGCCATGTATTCAATAAAGGTCTAATATCCAGAATCTATAAGAAACTTAATAAGCAGAAACTAAACAACCCCACTAAAAAATGGGCAAAGGAGATGGACAGATACTTATTAAAAGAAGATATACACACAGCCAGCAAACATATGAAAAAATGCTCAACATCACTAATCATTAGAGAAATGAAAATCAAAACCACAATGAGATACCATCTCCCACCAGTCAGAATGGTGATTATTAAAAAGTAAAAAAGTGGGCTGGGCGTGGTGGCTCATGCCTGTAATCCCAACACTGGGAGGCCGAGCTGGGAGGGTCACTTGAGGTCAGGAGTTTGAGACCAGCCTGGTCAACATAATGAAACCCCTCTCTACTAAAAATACAAAAAATAACTGGGCATGGTGTTGGGCACCTGTAGTCCCAGCTACTCAGGAGACTGAGGCAGGAGAATCACTAGAACATGGGAGGCGGAGGTTGCAGTGAGCCAAGATCACACCACTGTACTCCAGCCTGGGTGACAGAGCAAGACTCCATCTCAAACACAAAAACCCAAAACAAGTAAATGGATAGCAGGTGCTGGAAGCCAGTTTCTCTCAGAAAGAGGGAAGTTACAGACATACAAGTACAGAAGGCTAAAGTAAACTACATCATGTTGGAGTAGTGTTAGAAAAAAAAGTAAAAAAAAACAGATGCTGATGAGGTTGCAAAGAAAAGGGAATGATTATACACTACTGATGGGAATGTAAATTAATTCAGCCACTGTGGCAAGCAGTTTGGAGATTTGTCAAAGAACTTCAAATGGAGCTACCATTCAACCCAGGAATCCTATTACTGGATATATACCCAAAGGAATATAAATCATTCTATAATAAAGACATGTGTGCACACATTTATCTCAGCACTATTCACAATAGCAAAGACATGGAATCAACCTAGGTGCCCATCAGTGGTAGACCAGATAAAGGTAATGTGGTACATATACACCATGGAATACTACAGAACCATAAAAAAGAATGAAATCATGTCCTTTGCAACAACATAGATGCAGCTGGAGGCCAGTGTTCTAAGCAAATTAATGTAGGAACAGAAAACCAAATATGACATGTTCTCACTTATAAGGGGGAGCTAAACATTGGACACTCATGGACATAAGGATGGCAACAAAAGACACTGGGAACTACTGAAGTGGAGAGGGAGGGAGGAAGGCAAGGTTGAAAAATTGTTGAATACTTTGCTCACTACCTGGGTAACAAGATAATTCATATTCTGAACCTTAGCATTACACAATATATCCACATGACATACTTCTTTTCAACATATTAATAAAGGTCCCAGCCAGAGCTATTAGATAAGAAAAAGAAATGAAAGACACCTAAATTGGAAAGAATGAAGTAAAATTATCTGTTTGTAGGTGACATAATCATATATGTAAAAACTCTAATGACTAGTAAAAAAATTTTAGAATTAATAAATTTAGTAAAGTTGCAGGATTCAGATTTTACATACAAAACACACTTGCGCTTCTATACACTGACAAAAATTGACACATAAAAAATTATGAAATAAAAGCCCATTTGAAATAACATCAAAAGGAATAAAATACTTAGGAATAAATGTGACTTGGAGGTAAAATATTTATACCTTAAAAAGTATAAAGCATTGATGTGAAAAAATTAAAGAAGATCTGAGTAGCCAAAGCAATATTTAGCAAGATAAAAGCTGACATCACACTCCCTGATTTCAAAATATAAAGATACAATAATTAAAACAGTATGGTACCACCATAAAAACAGAACATATAGACCAGTGGAACAGAATAGAGACCCCAGAAGTAAATTTACACATTTACTATCAACTGATGTTTGATAATGATGCCAATAAAAACAATGTGAAATGGAGAGACTCTTCAAAAAATGATGTTGGAAAAACTATTCCTGCATGTAGCATAAGTAAATTGGACCTTTATCTCTCATCATGTACAAAGATGAACTAAAAATGGATTAAAGGCTTAAATGTAAGAACCGAAACCATAATACCGCTAGAAGATACTATAGGAAAAAGCCTTTTGACATTGGTCTGGGCAATGATTTTTTAGAATGACATCAAACACAAAAGCAACGAAAGCAAAGATAAGTAAGGCTACATCAAATTAAGAAGCTTCTGCGCAGCAAAGGAAATAATCAAATGAAAAGTCAATGTATGGAATGGAAGAAAATATTTGCAAGTCACATTTCTAATAAGGGATTCGTATTCAAAATATATAAGGAACTCATTCAACTCAAGAGCAGAATGCCAAAACACTCAATTAAAAAACGAGTAAAGAGCCTGAATTTATATTTTTCAAAAGAAGACATGCAATTGGCTAAGAGGCGTATGAAAAAGTTCTCAATACCACTAATCATCAGGGAAATGCAAATCAAAGCCACAACAACATATCATCTTACACATGTTCTAATGGCTATCATAAAAAAGAAATAACAAATGTTGGAGAGGATGTAAAGAAAATGCTTGTATACTGTTGGTGGGAATGTACCTTGGTACAGCCATTATGGAACAGTATGGAGGTTCCTCAAGAAATTAACAATACAGTTGCCTTATGATCCAGCAATTGCACTTCTGACTACATATCTATCCAAAGGCAATAATACTGGTATGTTGAAGAGATATTTGCACCCCCATGTTCACTGCAGCAGTATTCACAGTGGCCAAGATATGGAAAAAAATCTAAATGTCCATCAATGAATGAATGGAAAAAGCAAATATGGTGTATATATATAATGAAGTATTATTCAGCCTTAAAAAAGAAAAAAATCCTGCCATTTGTGGCAACATGGATGAAACTGGAGGACATTATGCTAAGTGAAATAAGCCAGTCAGAGAAAGACAAATACTGCATAATCACATTTATATGTGTAATTTCAAATATTCGAGCTTGATATATCAAACTGAATTTTGTAAGGTGATCTTTGAGAGGGGATTTCCTTCACTTAGGAGTTTGACTGATACTTTGGTGTTCATGCTGCTGTTTATGGCTGCAGTGACTTACCTTGTCTTGTCTTGATGCTGCTGATGTGACTCACCCACTGTGAGTGAGCTGGTTGCTACTTAAGCTCTATCTTGCTGTCTCAGAGGCAGAGGGTAGAATGGTGTTTGGCAGGGGCTGGAAAGAGGAGCAAATGGGTTGATGTTTGTCAAAGGGCACACATTTTCAGTGATGCAAGATAAGTAAGATTTCGAACAATGTAACTATAGTTAGCAATGCTGTATTGTATACTTGAAATTTGCTGAGAGGGTAGTTCTTATGTGTTTTTATTCACCCAAAAGAAAAAGATAACTATGTGAGGGGATTGATTGAGGTGATTTACATGTTAGTTAGCTTGATTGTGATGATTATTCCATAGTATATATGTATACCAGAATGTCAAGTTGTACACCTTAAATATACACAGGTTTTATTTGTCAATTATACCTCAATAAAACTGTAGAAAGTACCAAATTGAATTTCGTAAGGTTATCTTTGAGAGGAGATTTCCTTCACTTAGGAGTTTCACTGATACTTTGATTTTCATGCTACTGGTTTATTGCTGCAGTGACTTGCCTTGGCTTGACTTTACGCTGATGTGAATCACTCACTGTGAGAGCTGGTTGTTACTTCAGTTCTGTCCTGTTCTTTTCTCACCTCACAGCAGCACTGGTTACCAAGGTGGTGTTTCTGAGAAATTGGAGGGAGCAAGGAAATGTTAAAAATCTGGATTGATTAAGTCATATTTGGGCGATTAGTCTAATACTTCTCTTCCAACTGGGCAGTGGCAGTCCCAGGTTCTATTCCGTAATTTAAAAAAATCTTATTTTCCTATTTTATTGACTCCTCTTTTGTGTCAAGAAGGGAAGTTTGCTGCTGGCCAGTTTTAGGAAAGTTCATTAAGATAAACATCTTGAGTCTCATAATTAGTTTAGAGGCAGATAGATCCTGGGAAAGGCAGATAAAGAAAATAAGTTTGCCTTCTCTTTTGTCAGCTTGGTTGTAGCTACTAACAGAAATGGAACTTAGGGAAAGTATGTCCACATTCAGAATAAGAGCAAAGGATACTAATTTCTCTTTAAGACAATGAGACAATGATTCGTCCTGATTTTTCCTTATGATCAGCATCATTTAAACTGATCTTCCTCAGATTTATAGTGCTGTCTTCTTCAGAGGCTTAGTGTCAATGGACTGCAGTATGATGATGTGGAGGCAGTTTATGACAGAAAAGACACATTTGTACTCTACTAGGGGGCATCTGTCTATATTATAAGGAGCATGTTTCTTAGAATAGCAAAATTTCTGGTCAGCTCTGATTGCCAGTGTTTCAGCTACACATTTTTATTTTTACTTGATCCCCCAAGAGAAGGTTATGTGGAGGATGCTTGTAATTCCTCCTCAACAAGAGGGAGAATAGGCATAGCTGCTACAGTCCTCTTTTCAGTAACTAGTTATAAAGCTATAAATAACAGTTACACTTAATACTCCCTGCTCCAGATTCCCTTTTCCCTCAGCCATTCCTCTCTATGTTGGGATTATTTTTTTATCTGGTAAAAAGACTCAAATCTGAATTCCTAAAGCATCTGAGTCTTTAGCGACCCTGCCTTCATTGCATCCCTGTGGTCTTTAATTAATATCTGCTACTGAACTTGAAGTAATTACATGTTTCTCAGAGAACTCCTTGGATTTTAGGCATAATTCTCTCTACCTTGATGGTGTTTATTTCCACTTGATAGCTGGAATCAATCCCTTTTTATTGACCAGTTGATTCAGTGGCACTGGGAGCCTAACTTGGCCAGGTGGCAGTCTCAACTTCCATGTCACCAGGACAGATGTTGCCTACTTATGTGAAGTCACTCCTTTCTTGGGAAGCCTTTTAGACTGACAGACCTCAGACTCGTGGGAGTGAGAAACAAGAGTATATAATAAATAGATTGTTGAATATGATAGTAAAAGAAACCACTCCCACTTTTATCTCTCTAGTCTTGAAATTATGCATTTTGGTCATGAAACTAAAAATCACCACATATAAGTCATCGATCCAAATAAAGGACTGCATTTTATGGGGTTTTTGCAGCCTTGCAGATGGTGCTTTTCAACTAGCAACATGTTTTTAGTAGGATATTCCAATGATCCAGATGAACAGCTGCTTCTATATAAAGAAATATATATATATATATAGTAATATTGGTCAATTCCCTAAGTAAGAGCTCTTCACTGTACTTTTTTTTGTGGCAAAATTAGTTCCTTGATCAGAAACCATTTTGCACAGAATAGCATAATGACAATACAAATGTTGTCATATGTCTGTGCTTGACGATGCTGGCAGAAGCGCTGCAGCCAAGGAAGGCATAGTCACATATAGGATAATTGTCTAATCCAGTGGAAAAAAATGCTCTTCTCTCTCTGGTGGAAGAGGTCCAATATAATCAATCAGTGGAGAATGCGTGCCAATCTGGGACTTAATATATAATCACTATCATTGACATTTGGGTAATGAGTTGTTTCAGCAGGCAGAGAAGCTGTGGGAAGAGAAAATCCATTTTGTTGACCTCATGCATAACCTCTAGCCCATCACCATGGCTGTTTTGTACATGAGTCCATTAAACAAGCACCAGAGTTGCTCAAAGAGTGACTGACATTCACAGGATGGGGCACCTTGTGATTCGACCATAGAAAGCTTCCTCTCCAATAGGCAACTTTGTATAATGATGTAAATAATTCATGACTATATCATACTTTGTGCTCATTCTGAAAGTTATATTAACACGTTTCCCAGACTTCATTTACTAACCTTTCAACTTGATTTATGCAAAGATTCTGACCAGCTGACAAACCCATCAGCTCATGTTAATGGGCTAGTGTATATGTTTATGGTCAATTAGTGTCTTATTATCAGGCATCTCTTTTTATTTGTATAAATTTATTCAGTACAAGTACAATTTTGTTACATGCATAGATTTCATAGTGGTGAAGTCAGGAGTTTTAAGGTATCACCCTAATAAAGTACATCATAATCATTAAGTGATTTATCATCATCCACTCCCTCCAACCCCCTCACCCTTCTGAGTCTCCATTGTGTATCATTCCATACCTGATGTCCATTGGTATACATTATTTATTAATAGCTCCCACTTATAAGTGAGAATATGTGGTATTTGTCTTTCTGTGTCTGACTCGTTTCACTAAAGCCTTCAGTGTCATCCATGTTGCTACAGAAAATGTGATTTCATTATTTTTTTATGGCTGAATGGTGTTCCATTTTGTATATATGCCACATTTTATTTCTCCAGTCATCTGTTGATAGACACTTAGGTTTAGTCCATACCTTGGTTATTGTGAATAGAACAGCAATAAACATATGAGTGCAGGTATCTTCTTGATATATAGATTTCTTTTCCTTTGGGTAGATACCCAATAGCGGGATTGCTGGATCAAATAGTAGTTCTGTCTTCAGTTCTTTGAGAATTCTCCATAGTGTTTTCCAAAGAGGTTGTAGTAATTTACATTCCCGCCAACAGTATATGAGCTCCCTTATTCCTGCATTCTTGCCAACATCTGTTATTATTTTTTTATTTTTATTTTTTTGAGACAGAGTCTCGCTTTGTCTCCCAGGCTGGAGTGCAGTGGGGCGATCTTGTCTCACTGTAACTTCTGCCTCCCGGGTCAAGCAATTTTTCTGCCTCAGCCTCCCGAGCAGCTGGGACTACAGGCATGCACTACCATGCTTGGCTAATTTTTGTATTTTTTGGTAGAGATGGGGTTTTGCCATGTTGGGCAGGCTGGTCTGAAACTCCTGACATCAGGTGATCCACCTGCCTCAGCCTCCCAAAGTGCGTAGTAATAGCTATTCTGACTGGGCCAAGATGATATAACATTGTGATTTTAATTTGCATTTCCCTGATGATTATTGATGCTGAGTATTATTTCTTATACTTGTGTGTCTTCTTTTGAAAAATATCTATTCATATCCTTTGGCCACTTATTAATGATATCATTCATTGTTTTAGTTGTTGTTCAGTTGTTTGAGTTCCTTATATATTCTGGATATTAGGCCCTTGTCACATGGATAGTTTGCAAATATTTTGACCCATCCTGCAGATTGTGTCTTTATTCTGTTGATTATTTCTTTTGCTGGGCAGAAGAGTTTTAGTTTAATAAAGTCCCATTTGTCTGTTTTTGTTTTTGTTGTATTTGCTTTTGAGGACTTGCTCAAAAATTCTTTGCTTAGGCCAATGTCTAGTAGAGTTTTTTCTAGGTATTATTCTAGGATTTTTATTGTTTCACCTTTTATGGTTAGGTCTTTAATCTATTTTGAGTTAATTTGTGTTACTGTTGAGAGATAGGGGTCCAGTTTCATTCTTCTGCATATGGCTATCTAATTTTCCAAGTACCATTGATCGAATAATGGTGTCCTTTCCCCAGCGTATGTTCTCATCAAATTTGTCAAAGACCAATTGGCTGTAAATGTGTAGCTCTTTTTCTGTGTTCTCTATTCTGTTCCATTGACTTATGTGTCTATTTTTATACCAATACCATGCGTTTTTGGTTCCTAGAGCCTTTTAAAATAATTTGAAGCCCGGAAATGGGATTCCTCCAGCTTTGTTCTTTTTGCTTAGAATTGCTTTGGCTACTTGGGCATTTTTGGGGGGCTCCATATGAATTTTAGATTTTTAAAACTTTTTTTTTTTTTTTTGAGACAGGGTCTTGCTGTCGCCCACGTTGGAGTGCAGTGGCGAGTTCTCGGCTCACTGCAGGCTCCGCCCCACGGGGTTCACGCCATTCTCCTGCCTTAGCCTCCCGAGTAGCTGGGACTACAGGCACCCGCCACCTCGCCTGGCTAAGTTTTTGTATTTTTAGTAGAGGCGGAGTTTCACCGTGTTAGTCAGGATGGTCTCAATCTCCTGACCTCGTGATCCGCCTGCCTCGGCCTCCCAAAGTGCTGGGATTACAGGCATGAGCCACCGCGCCCGGCCTTAAATCATTTTTTAAAATTTATTTTTATTATACTTTAAGTTCTGGGATGCGTGTGCAGAACATGCAGGTTTTTCACATAGGTATACGTGTGCCATGGTTCTTTGCTGCACCCATCAACCCGTCATCTACATTAGGTATTCCTCCTAATACTGTCACTCCCCTAGCCGCCCACCCTCTGACAGGCCCCAGTGTGTGATGTTCCCCTCCCTATGTCCATGTGTTCTCATTGTTCAGCTCCCACTTATGAGTGAGAACATGCGGTGTTTTGGTTTTCTGTTCTTGTGTTAGTTTGCTAAGAATGATGGTTTCCAGCTTCCAAGGACATGAACTCATCCTTTTTTATGGCTGCATGGTATTCCATGGTGTATATGTGCCACATTTTCTTTATCCAGTCTATCAGTGATGGGCATTTGGGTTGGTTCCAAGTCTTTGCTATTGTGAACAGTGCTTCAATAAACATATGTGTGCATGTGTCTTTAGAGTAGAATGATTTATAATCCTTTGGGGTATATACCTAGTAATGGCATTGCTGGGTCAAATGGTATTTCTGGTTCTAGATCCTTGAGGAATCACCACACTGTCTTCCACAATGTTTGAACTAATTTACACTCCCACCAACAGTGTAAAAGCGTTCCTATTTCTCCACAGCCTCTCCAGCATCTGTTGTTTCCTGATTTTTTAATGATTGCCATTCTAACTGGCATGAGATGGGATCTCACTGTGGTTTTGATTTGCATTTCTCTAATGACAAGTGATGATGAGTTTTTTTTCATATGTTTGTTGGCTGCATGGATGTCTTCTTTTGAGAAGTGTTTGTTCATATCCTTTGTCCATCTTTTGATGGGGTTATTTTTTTTTCTTGTAAATTTGTTTGAGTTCTTTGTAGATTCTGGATATTAGCCTTTTGTCAGATGGATAGATTGCAAAAATTTTCTCTCATTCTGTAGGTTGCCTGTTCACTCTGATGATAGTTTCTTTTGCCATGCAGAAGCTCTTTAGTTGAATTAGATCCCATTTGTCAATTTCGGTTTTTGTTGCCATTGCTTTTGGTGTCTTATTCATGAAGTCTTTGCCCATGCCTATGTCCTGAATGGTACTGCCTAGGTTTTCTTCTAGGGTGGTTATGGTTTTAGATCTTACATTTAAGTCTTTAATCCATCTTGAGTTAGTTTTTGTATAAGGTGTAAGGAAGGGGTCCAGTTTCAGTTTTCTGCATATGGCTAGCCAGTTTTCTGAACATAATTTATTAAACAGGGAATCCTTTCCCCATTGCTTGTTTTTGTCAGGTTGTAAAAGATCAGATGGTTGTAAATGTGTAGTGTTATTTCTGAGGCCTCTGATCTGTTCCATTGGTCTATATATCTGTTTTGGTACCAGTACCATGGTGTTTTGCCTACTGTTGCCTTGTAGTTTAGTTTGAAGTCAGGTAGCGTGATGCCTCCAGCTTTCTTCTTTTTGCTTAGGATTGTCTTGGCTATGTGGGCTCTTTTCAAGTTCTGTATGAAATTTAAATTAGATTTTTCTAATTCTGTGAAGAATGTCAATGGTAGCTTATTGGGGATAATGCCGAATTTATAAATTACTTTGGGCAGTATGGCCATTTTTGTGATATTGATTCTTCCTATCCATGAGCATGGAATGTTTTTCCATTTGTTTGTGTCCTGTCTTATTTCCTTGAGCAGTTATTTGCAGTTCTCCTTAAAGAGGTCCTTCATATCCTTTGTAAGTTGTATTCCTAGGTATTTTATTGTCTTTGCAGCAATTGTGAATGTGGGAGTTCACTCATGATTTGGCTCTCTGCTTGTCTATTATTGATGTATAGGAATGCTTGTGATTTTTGCACATTGATTTTGTATCCTGAGACTTTGCTGAAGTTGCTTATCCATTGAAGGAGATTTTGGGCTGAGACAATGGGGTTTTCTAAATATGTAATCATGTCATCTGCAAACAGAGACAACTGGAGTTTCTCTCTTCCCACTTGAATACCGTTTATTTATTTCTCTTGCCTGATTGCCCTGGTCAGAACTTCCAATACTATGTTGAATAAGAGTAATGACAGAGGGCATCTTTGTCTTGTGCCAGTTTTCAAACGGAATGCTTCCAGCTTTTACCCATTGAGTATGATATTGGCTGTGGGTTTTTCATAAATAGCTCTCACTATTTTGAGATACATTCCATCAATACCTACTTTATTGAGAGTTTTTAGCATGAAGGGATGTTGAATTTTGTTGAAGGTCTTTTCTGCATCTATTGAGATATTATTGTGGTTTTTGTCATTGGTTCTGTTTATGTGATGGATTAGGTTTATTGATGTGTGTATGTTGATCTAGCCTTGCATCCCAGGGATGAAGTCAACTTGATCGTGGTGGATAAGCTTTTTGATGGGCTGCTGGATTCAGTTTGCCAGTATTTTATTGAGGATTTTCGCATTGATGTTCATCAGGGATATTGGCCTGAAATTTCCTTTTTTTGTTGTGTTTCTTCCTGGTTTTGGTATCAGGATTATGCTGGCCTCATAAAATGAGTTAGGGAGGATTCCTTCTTATTCTATTGTTTGAAATAGTTTCAGAAGGAATGGTACCAGCTCCTCTTTGTACCTCTGGTAGAATTTGGTTGTGAATCCGTCTGGTCCTGGATTTTTTGGGTTGGTAGGCTATTAATTACTGCCTCAATTTCAGAACTTGTTATTGGTCTTTTCAGGGATTTGACTTCTTCCTGGTTTAGGCTGGGGAGGGTGTATGTGTCCAGGAATTTATCCATTTTTTTCAGATTTTCTAGTTTATATGCATAGAGGCGTTTATAGTATTCTCTGATGGTAGTTTGTATTTCTGTGGGATCAGTGGTGATATCCCATTTATCATTTTTTTATTGCATCTATTAGATTCTTCTTTCTTTTGTTCTTTATTATTCTGGAGAGTGGTCTATCTATTTTGTTGATCTTTTCAAAAAATCCAGCTCCTGGATTCATTGATTTTTTGGAGGGTTTTTCATGTCTCTATCTCCTTCAGTTCTGCTTTGATTGTAGTTATTTCTTGTCCTCTGCTAGCTTTTGAATTTGTTTGCTCTTGCTTCTCTAGTACTTTTAATTGTGATGTTAGGGTTTCGATTTTAGATCTTTCCTGCTTTCTCTTGTGGGCATTTAGTGTTATAAATTTCCCTCTAAACACTGCTTTAGCTGTGTCCCAGAGATTCTGGTACTGTATGTGTTTGTTTTCATTGGTTTCAAAGAACTTATTTATTTCTGCCTTAAGTTTGTTATTTACCCAGTGATCATTCAGGAACAAGTTGTTCAGTTTCCATGTAGTTGTGCAGTTTTGAGTGAGTTTCTTAATGCTGAGTTCTAATTTGATTGCACTGTGGTCTGAGAGACAGTTTGTTGTGATTTCTGTTCTTTTACATTTGCTGAGGAGTGCTTTGCTTCCAACTATGTGGTCAATTTTGGAATAAGTTCAATGTGGTGCTAAGAATGTATATTCTGTTGATTTGGGGTGGAGAGTTCTGTAGATGTCTATTAGGTCCGCTTGGTGCACAGCTGAGTTCAAGTCCTGGATATCCTTGTTAACCTTCTGTCTCATTGATCTGTCTAATGTTGATAGTGGGGTGTTAAAGTCTCCCATTATTATTGTGTGGGAGTCTAAGTCTCTTTGTAGGTCTCTAAGGACTTGCTTTATGAATCTGGGTGCTCCTGTATTGGGTGCATATATATTTAGGATAGTTAGCTCTTCTTGTTGAATTGATCCCTTTACCATTATGTAATGGCCTTCTTTGTCTCTTTTGATCTTTGTTGGTGTAAAGTCTGTTTTATCAGAGACTAGGATTGCAACCCCTGCTTTTTTTTGTTTTCCATTTGCTTGGTAGATCTTCCTCCATCCCTTTATTTTGAGCCTATGTGTGTCTCTGCACATGAGATGGGTCTCCTGAATACAGCACACTGATGGGTCTTGACTCTCTATCCAATTTGCCAGTCTGTGTCTTTTAATTGGAGCATTTAGCCCATTTACATTTAAGGTTAATATTGTTATGTGTGAATTTGATCCTGTCATTATGATGTTAGCTGGTTATTTTGCCTGTTAGTTGATGCAGCTTCTTCCTAGCATGGATGGTCTTTATAATTTGGTATGTTTTTGCAGTGGCTGGTACTGGTTGTTCCTTTCCATGTTTAGTGCTTCCTTCAGGAGCTCTTGTAAGGCAGGCTTGCTGGTGACAAAATCTCTCAGCATTGCTTGTCTGTAAAGGATTTTATTTCTCCTTCACTTATGAAGCTTAGTTTGGCTGGATATGAAATTCTGGGTTGAAAATTCTGGTTTGAAAA
Source organism: Homo sapiens (assembly GCF_000001405.40). NCBI lineage: Eukaryota > Metazoa > Chordata > Mammalia > Primates > Hominidae > Homo > Homo sapiens. Next base: position 48,137,173 of record NC_000001.11, read on the forward strand.
TTCTTGCCTGGTATCACCAGCGGAGGTTGCAGAAAATTCTTGCCTGGGTATCACCAGTGGAGGCTGCAGAACAGCAAATATTGCAAAACAGCAAATGTTGCTGCCTGATCATTCCTCTGGAAGCTTCGCCCCGGCCGTGTGAGGTGGCAGTCGGCCTCTACTGGGAGGTGTCTCCCAGTTAGGCTACTTGGGGCTCAGGGACCCACTTGAGGAGGCAGTCTGTCCATTCTCAGAGCTCAAACTCCATGCTGGGAGAACCACTGCTCTCTTCAAAGCTGTCAGACAGGGACGTTTAAGTCTGCAGAAGTTTCTGCTGCCTTTTGTTCAGCTATGCCCTGCCCCTAGAAGTGGAGTCTATAGAGGCAGGCAGGCCTCATTGAACTGCGGTGGGCTCCACCCAGTTTGAGCTTCCCAGCCACTTTGTTTACCTACTCAAGCCTCAGCAATGGCAGACGCCCCTCCCCCAGCCTTGCTGCTGCCTCACAGTTCAATCTCAGACTGCTGCACTAGCAGTCCTAGCAGTGAGCAAGGCTCTGTGTGCATGGGACCCACTGAGCCAGACATGGGATATAATCTCCTGGTGTGCTGTTTGCTAAGACTTTTGGAAAAGCGCAGTATTAGGATGGGTGTGTCCCAATTTTCCAGGTACCGTCTGTCATGGCTTCCCTTGGCTAGAAAAGGGAAATCCCCAACCCCTTGTGCTTCCTGGGTAAGGCAATGGGGGTAGCAGCTCATCCAGGGTGAACTCACACATGTTTCAGGCAACTTAAATTCTCTTTTCTTATGCTAAATTATTTATAGAGTTAGCCCATAACAGCAAAAGATAATGTTTCTTAGACCTCCCTTCTACTTGATCTATTCAACTGGCTGAGGGCCTTTGGGGACCACAAGCATTAGAATATGTTCTACATCCTGAACCTCCATTGATGGGACCCCAAGCTTGATGGACATTTCTTCAGCATCAATTTGCTTGCCATGGACCCCAAATAAATTCTCAACCCCAATCGTTGATATAACCCCTGGAATCTTCCTTCATGGAGACACCCCACAAACCTTGGTACTGTCAACTCTGTGATGTTTGGGAACCTCCTTAGTCCTGCAAAAAACTGCCAGAAGATATGGCCCATCTAAACTGGTGGGATGTTAAAGGCCAGAGATGAGATCCAGGAACCAAAGGAAAGATCATAGTTGGCCATTGCCTCTGAAGGGAAAACATACAAAGTGGTGCTGTTGCCCACCTAAGGTCAGAGACATGTGAAAATCTAAGATGGGACCCTAAAAGGGTACACCTGGGGGTCCAATGTGAAACCAAAGACTTCCCCAGAGGGACACCCCAGGCAGAAACTTTGGGTCAATAAATAAGCCCTCCTTAGGCTTTTTTTCTTAGAATCTTTTTTATTCCTTACCATCATGGGAAACACTGCATCTATTCTACCTGATTCTGCACTTGGCTGCATCCTCAACCATTGGAATCCGTTTGACCCTGATAATCTAAGCAGGAAATGCTTGATACTCTTTTGCAGTACTGTTTGGCTTCAATATTGTTAGGAATCTGGAGTTTGCTGTTGAATGGGAAAGTGGAATGAAGTTGCACATATCCAGACTTTTGTGCTGCTGTTCTAAGCAGGGTCGGGCTGTGCATAGAGTTACACCCTATGCAACTGTGATGCTCTCTTTTGGTGCTGTTGGTCCTCAGTGTTCTTTGGAGTCTAGGGAGGTTTGGCCTTTAAAAATCAAACTTTCATAGAAGCTGCTTTACCTAAAATTTTGATTCACAGTCTTTGTGGGATTACCTATTGGGGCAAACAAAGTGTAACCATGTAAAACTGGTGAGCTTGTATTGTTATCTTACGGCTAAAGTTCCAAGGCAAAAGCTACTGGATCTTCATTTTTGTGTGTGTATACATGTCTAGATGTGTTTATTTGCATGTACACTTATTGTTGTGGCTACCAAATTGGCTTGTAAGCAGAAGAGCACTCATAAACTAAGTAAATAAGTGCAAGCAATTTTCAAGTTCATATGACTTAAGAATCTTAAGTATATCTTCAGTAAAGTATATCTTTACTGAACAAGCTGGTTTTAAAATTATCAGTAAAATAAAAATAGAAATGTCTTCAGAATTGTAAACATACATTTTTTCTGGGTTTTATATATGTCTTTGCTAGATATTTTGAGTTGTCAGTGTTTGGCATAGAAGGTAATAAACCTATTAACTCAGCCAAAACAAAATCATCTTGATTTGTGTGCCTTCTTTGACAAATGAGAATAGTTTAATGTTGTTAGCTAAATTTTTTGAGTTATCAGCAAAAATACCTACGTATTTAACTTTGAGGCTTTTATTTAGGTGAGCATATGATGTTCATTGGCTATTTTAAAAAAATGGTTAACAAGAAAATAACTAACCTTAAATGATGGTGTCTAATATCTCGGTTTTCAGAAGTAATCTAGATAAACTGTTAAAAATGAAAAAAATTGAGTACATGTAAATGGGATAAATGTTTTAGGTGAACTTTTGTGTAAATTAAAATTCTAAAATTATTTTTATGCTTATTGGATATCTGGGTTATTTCCAGTTTCAAAAGGATTGTGATATGAGGAAATATGTCTCTAAAATTGTGAAATTGTTCTCATCTATAAAAATGATCATATCTGATAGTTCAGGATTTCTTTTTAGGTTTCACCAAAATTTAATGTTACTAAGGATAAGAATTATAGTTAACACATATTTCTGTATATAAAATGTGCCCAAATTTATGTTATTAGTAAAAAATAATTTTGTGTAACTCTGAAGTTATCTAAAAGTTAATTAAAATTATGGACTTTAAAAAGGTTTTGAAACAAAGTAATAAGGAGCTTGTAAGTAAGGGAGAGAGATGTGAAGAAAGTTATTATATGAAGATGTATTTTTTATAAGGAAGGATATAAAGTTAATAATTTTGTATGAGGAAGGATCTTCCATGGTAGATTTTCTTGTCCTGGAGTAAAATGACTGGGAAGAAGAAGAAAGAAGGAAGAAGGAAGAAGGAGGAGAAGGAGGAGTAGAGGAAATCTGGGACTTAATGGAAAGCTCAGGCATGTTGTGGATGATCTGTATGTCATACATAGTTTTTTTTTTTTCTGTTTTTCTGTGTGTTTATCTTCATGCATATACAGAGAAACTAAAAAGTTGAAACATTTTAGATAATAAAATATTCTCTAAAACCTGATAGAGAATTGGAGAAGTATGGCTAATTAACATTTTCATAGTTAAAGCTCTGAGTCTTAAGTAAATTAAAATAAGAAATATTGTAAAGAAATACATTGGCAGTTTGACAATTCTTTTTTAATATAGTTAAGCATGAAGTCGGCCTTAATGTACATGCTTACATTGCTTCACATTATGTCTGCTGTTTTGCATGGATAGTGCTGGCACTAGAGTACTTTCTGGTCATGTGCCTAGAGTAAATTTCTTGATTGCACAGGATGTATGCTAATATCAGTGGACTTCATAATATTGAATTGTATAACAGGAATAAAGTATTCACTACATGTTTTGTGGGGGGCTCTGAGTAACACTGTAGCCTCCAGAGTAGACAGAGTAGGAAAAAGGTTGATGGTTGGTTTTCTGTTTATTTGTTTTTGCTTCTCATTTTCATTTGTTTGCTGTTTGTTCTGTTTGGGGTTTTGCTTGTGTATGCATATATATTTATATAAAATCATTGATTTTTTTTTTTTTTTAGTTTCTGATGGAAGGCTTTCATTTGGTTCTCTGAATGGTTATTTCATTTCCTGTGCATTTCTAGCAAGTCAATATTTTTTCCCTTTATCTTGAATTCCTAGGCTATCTTTGTTTGGTGTGCAGAAATTGATGGAGCCTGCCAGCTATTTGGAATTTGGTTGGTTTTGCTTGCCTCTGGTGATCTAGAGAGCTAAAAAAAATAAAAGACTTAGTTTTATATGATATAAACAGAGAAAGTACATTATATATTTTGTTTTTTGGAGAGGTGGATGGAGTGGAAATGTTTGAGTAGTGTTTGTTTCCAGGGTCAGCCAGTTGAATCAATGGTTTGAGTTGGTTTTAGAACTTTTCCTCTGATGTATAAAAACTATAAGTTCCAAATTTGGGGCTCATAGCAAAACCACTTTATGAAGCAACAAGGGAGGCAGAAAATAAGTCAATGGAGTGGACCCCAGAAATGAAGGGAGCCTTCACCAAGTTAAAACAGGCTCTCAGCCAGGTTCCACCAGTTGGTATCCTGAAACTCACTTAGCCCTTCTCATATCTGGATTGTCTAGGAGCATGGGCTGGTATTTGATTAACCTTTCCCCTCTCATCCAGATGTGTCCTTTTATTTCTAGGACTGACCTTACTTGATGTGGGGTTAACACATCCAGTGGTTGACCCAGGGTGATTTTAGTGGTTTCTTCCACAAAAATAGCAGTGGCTACTATTGCCCACAGGCAGCTTGGCCACCCTAAGGCCACTCTGTCCAATTTCTTTGAGAAGTAGGTGGTTGGCCTGGGTTCTAGGCCTAATATTTTAGTGAGCACATCCACAACTATGCTTTTCTGTTCTGCTACATACAACGAGAAAGGCTAAGTGGTTGCTTTACAAAATAGAAGGGGACTGGATCTCCTAACTGCTGAAAAAGGTGGCGTATGTCTTTTCCTAGAGGAAGAATGCTGTTTTTATGTCAACCTATCAGGATTAGTAAGAGATGCCACCCAAAAATTAGCTGACCAGGTCTCTAAAATATGTTGACAGCTGTCTGAGTTATGGGGCTCCTTCCCTTAGTTGGCCCATTATTAATAATTATAGTGGCAATGATTTACAGACCATGTTTGTAAATCCTTTAACCAGATTTATTTCTTCTCACCTAGAGACCATTAAGCTTCAAGTGATCATGCAGAAGAGCTACCAGCCAGTTTCAGATAATGGCCCTGGTCATTGAGAGGTCACACTGTCTTCATTAGACAGAGAAGGGAGAGCGTTTTGTGATCCTCAATAGGTAGGGACTGCATACAAATCAGCATGAAGCAGTTACAGAAGAAAGACCATTGGTCTCTCTGCCTCCCATAAAAATGTATGGGGCTCACATCTCTCAGGGGGAAATGAGATAGAATAGAGTCTGCAGACAGGGAGCCTAAGGCCAACCCATGGCTGGCTTCTTCGAATTAAACTGAAGAAAAACTTCAGCCTCTTACTGGCCATGGGCCAAGCCCCCATTTCAGCCTCTGGTTGGCTGTGGGTGAATCCTTCATTTGCATAAGGTGTAATCAACTGAAAGCCTCTAAAAAGTACCTAGGGGTGTTACCAAATTCTTCTAGCTTAATAAAAACCCAAGGAACATTGCAACTGGGGCTCTTGAGCCTCTTGCTCAAGCCTGCTCCCACTCTGTGGCATGTACTTTTGCTTCAGTAAATCTGTGCATTCATGTCTTTGTTCTTTCGTTGCTTTGTTTCTGTGTTTTGTCCAATTCCTTGTTCAATAAGTCAAGAACCTGGATGACTCATAGTCAAGACCCTCCACCAGTAACAGCAGCACTGGAGTCTCTCTGAACTTATTATGGTTTAGAAGGTTGCCTGATTAATTGTTCTTTACTCAATTAAACTCTGTTTAATTTGTCTAAGCTTTGTATTTTCAAAAGAATTTATAGTCAGAAGTATTTATCCAATGTATCAGTAAGAAATAATCAGGATCAGACCATTTAGGGCTTTGAAAACCAGCTTAAGCAATGAGCAATGAGCTCACTGTGTGAACAACGTAAGTTCACTGAAGTATTTTGAACAAAGTGCCAAGATCCTATAGACACATAGAGGCTTATTCTGACTGCAGTGCAAAGACCATATTAAAAGCCAATAGAGGAGATTCTGGAAAGATGAAAGAGTAGAAGGAACCTTCTCATGTAAATAAAAATTACATCAGCAGAATCTGTGTGATGTAAACTTGGAATCTCTGGAGTGTATTGAAAGTTTGCAACTACCAGGGGAAGTCTTGGATACTAAACTGTAGTTAATTACAGCCAATTTCAGCTTTTAGCACAGCAGCAACCCATTCCCTATCCCTATCCTCTTGGTAGACAGTTGTGTGTGTGCTCCTGGAGCAGCCCGCACATAGATTGCAACAGCCACAGCAGGCAAAAAGAACCCTTTCCTCTAAATATTGGTGATCTGTTGCCTGATCACTCATCGCTGCTTCTAATCAAAAGGTGCAGGCGCCGAAAGGGAAACCATTGTTGTTGCATTTCCTCTGCTGTTGCAACACCCTCCCTTTCCATCTGAGGTGACATTCAGGATGCAACTGTGAGGAAATGTGGGGGAGACACACAGCCAAGAAAGAGTCTACCAACTGATCAATAAGCCTACATGCCACCTGCTGGATCACGCCCCAGAGCTTCAACATCAAAAATACCTGGCTAACATTCCCCAACTCTGAAACAAGAGGCAATAAGTCAGCTTCAAATAAAGACCCTACAAAAAGACCTGGTCCAGTGAAAACATCCAGAAAAGAAGTCTTGACTGTACTCAATCTATATTGCAGTCAAAGGAACACCCACACGCAGAGTGAGAAAGAACCAACACAAGAACTCCAGTAACTCAAATGGCCAGAGTGTTGTATGCCCTCCAACACCAGGTCTCCAACAAGAGTTCTTCACCCCGGGAGGCGGAGCTTGCAGTGAGCCGAGATAGCGCCACTGCAGTCCAGCCTGGGCGAAAGAGAGAGACTCCATCCCAAAAAAATAAAAAGAGAGAAAAAGAAAAAAAAAGAGTTCTTCACCACGCTGAACTGGCTGGGATGACAGAAATAGAATTCAGAATATGGATAGGAATAAAGATAATAGATTCAGAAGGATGGTAAAGCCCAATCTAAAAAAAAAAAAAAAGTGTCAAAATAAAGTGATACCGGAGTTGAAGGATGAACTAGCCAGTATAAAAAAGAAGCTAACAGGTCTGACAGAGCTTAATAACACAATATAAGAATTTGACAATGCAATCACAAGTATTAACAGTAGAATAAACCAAAGTGAGGAAAGAATCTCAGAACTTGCAGACTGATTATCTGAAATAAGACACACAAATATAAAGAAAAGCAATAAAAAGAAATAAGCAAAATATCTAAGAAATATGGGATTATTTAGAGACCAAATCTGAGAATCACTGGCATCCTGAAAAAGGGAAGGAGAAAGCAAACAACTTGGAAAACATATTTTAGAATATCATTCGTGAAAACTTCCCCATCCTTGCTAGAGAAGCCAATAGTCAAAATCAGGAAATACAGAGAACTCCTTTAAGATTCTACACAGGAAGATCATAACTAAGACACACAATCATCAGATTTTTCAGGGTTGAAATCAAAGAAATAATGTTAAAGGCAGCTAGAGAGAAAGCAGGTCACCTACAAAGGGAATCTTATCAGGCTAATGCAGAACTCTCAGCTGAAACCTTACAAGTCAGAAGAGATTGGGGGCCTATATTCAACAATCTTAAAAAAAAAATCTTCATTCAAGAATGTCATGTCCAGTTCAGCTAAGCTTCCTAAGTGAAAGAGAAATAAAATCCTTTTCAGAGACACAAATGTTAAGAGAATTTATTATCACCAGCCCTGCTTTACAAGAGATGTTGAAAGGACAACTAAATATGGAAAGAAAAGACTGCTACCAGCTAATACAAAAACGTGCTTTAACACAAAGACCAGAGTCACTGTAAAACAGCCACAGAAACAAGCCAGCATAATAATCAGCTAACAGCACAATGATAGGATCAAATTCAACATATCAGTACTAACCTTGATGTAAACAGGCTAAATGTCCCCACTTAAAAGGGACAGAATAGCAAGCTGAATAAAGAACCAAGACCCAATGCTATGGTGTCTTCAAGAGACCCAGCTCACATATAATGACATTCAAGCGCTAAAAATAAAGGGATGAAGGAAAATCTATCAAGCAAATGAAAACCAGAAAAAAAGCAGGGGTTGCAATCCTAATTTCAGACAAAATGGATTTCAAACCAATAAGACCAAAAAGACAAAGAAGGGCATTAAAAAAATGGTAAAGGGTTCAATTCAACAAGAAGACCTAACTATCATAAATATATATGAATCAACACAGGAGCATTAAGATTCATAAAGGAAGTTCTAAGAGACTTACAAAATGACATAGGCTCCCACACAATAATAGTGGTAGACTTCAATAGTTCACTGAAGTATTAGATCATCGAGGCAGAAAATTAACAAGGATATTCAGGAACTAAACTCAACATTGAACTAAATGGATCTGATAGACCTTTACAGAACTCTCCCCCACAAAACAGCAGAATATACATTTTTCTCATCACCACATGTCACATCCTCTAAAATCGACCACATAATTGGACATAAAACCATCCTCAACAAATGTAAAAAAAAAAAAATTACACCAAAAACAGTCTTGGGCCACAGCACAATAGAAAGAGAAGTCAGGACTGAAAATTGCTCGAAACCATGCGATTACATAGAAATTAAACATGATCCTGAATGAGAATGAGACCCGAGATACAACATACCAGAATCTCTGGGACACAGCTAAGGCAGTGTTCAGAAGGAAATTCATAGCACTAAATACCCACATCAAAAAGTTAGATCTAAATTCACAACCTAACTTTACAACTGAAAGAATTAGAGAAGCGAGAGCAAATCAACCCCAAAGCTAGCAGAAGATGAGAAGTAACAAATATCAGAGCTGAACTGAAGGAAATAGAGACCCACAAAACGTTCCAAACATCAATGAATCAGGAGGGTTTTTTTTAAACAAAATTAATAAAGTAGGCCACTAACTATAGAGACTAATAAAGAAGAAAATAGAGAAGATTCAAACAAATACAATTAAAAATGATAAAGGGAATGTTACTACTGACTCCACATAAATAAAAACAACCATCAGAAACTATGAGCACCTCTACAAACAAAAAACCTAGAAGAGATGAACAAATTTCTGGACTCAAGACTGGGCCAGAAAGAAATTGATTCCCCGAACAGATCGATAATGAACTCCAAAATTGAATCAGTAATAAATAGCCTATCAACCAAAAAAAAGCTCAGGGCCTGATGGATTCACAAGCAAATTCTGCCAGCTGTACAGAAAAGACCTGGCACCATTCCTACAGAAACAACTGCAAAACCTGTGGAGGAGGGATCTCTCCCCAACTCATTTTATAGTGACAGCATCATCTTGATACTAAAACCTGGCAGAGACACAACAACAACAAAACAGACCAGGCCAATGTCTTTTATTAACATTGAGTCAAAAATCCTCAAGAAAATACTGCAAATCGGATCCACCAGCACATCAAAAAGCTTATCCACCATGATCAAGTAGGCTTTTCTCCTGGAATGTAATATTGGTTCAACATACACAAATCAATAATGTGATTTATCACATAAACAGAACTAAAGACAAAAACCACATGATTATCTCCATAGATGTAGAAAAGGCTTTCAGTAAAATTCAACACGTCATTTTAAAAACTCTCAATAAACTAGGTATTGAAGAAACATACCTCAAAATAATAAGAGCCATCTGTGACAAACCCAAGCCAACATTATACTGAATAAGCAAAAGCTAGGAACATTCCCCTTGAAAACGCACAGGTAAGGATGCTCTCTCTCACCATTTCTATTCAACATGGTATTGGAAGTCCTAGCCAGAGCAATCAGGCAAGAGAAAAAACTAAAGCACTTCCATATAGAAAGAGAGGAAGCCAAACTCTCCCTGTTTGCAAATGACATGATTCTATATCTAGAAAAGCCCACAATCTTGGCCCAAAAGCTTTTTGAGCTGATGAACAACTTCAACAAAGTTACAGGATACCAAATCAACGTACAACAGTCACTAGTATTCCTCTACACCAACAGCCAAACCAAGAGCCAAATCAGAAAGGTAATCCCATTCACAATTGCCACAAAAAGAATGGAATACAACTCACCAGGGAGATGAAAGATCTCTACAATGAGAATTACAAAAAAAAAAAAAAAAAAAAACAAAAAAAACTGCTCAGAGAAATCAGAGAAGACACAAACAAATTTTTAAAATTCCATGCGATAGGAAGAATCAATATAATTAAAGTGGCTATACTGCCCAATGAAATGTACAGATTCAATGCAATTTTCATCAAAACACCATCATTATTCTTCACAGAGCTAGAAAAAAATATTTTAAAATCCGTATGGATTCAAAAAAGAGCCCAATTGGCCAAGGCAATCCTAAGCAACAAGAACAAAACTGGAGGCATTATATTACCTGACTTCAAACTATACTATAAGGCTACAGTAACCAAAACAACGTAGTACTGCTATAAAAACAGGTATATAGACCAATAGAACAGAAAAAATAGCCCAGAAGTAATGTTACACATCTGTGATCATCCTGATCTTCAACAAAACTGATAAAAGCAAGCAATGAGGAAAAGAATCCTTATTCAATAAATGGTGCTAGAATAACTGGCTAGCCATATGCAGAAGATTGAAGCTGGACTCCTTCTTTATGCCATATACAAAATTCAACTCAAGATAGATTAAAGACTTAAGTGTAAAATCCAAAATTATAAAAACCCCAGAAGACAACCTAGGCACTACCATCCTGGACACTGGAGAAGGCACAGATTTCATGACAAAGACACCAAAAGCAATTGCAACAAAAGCAATAATTTATAAGTAGGATCTAATTAAACTTAGGAGCTTCTGCTCAGCAAAAGAAACTATCAACAGAGTGAAGAGACAACCTACAGAATGAGAGAAAATATTTGCAAGCTATGCATCTAACAAAGGTCTACTATGCAGTGTCTATAAAGAACTTAAACAAATTTACAAGAGAAAAACAACCAACTCAATTAAAAAGTGGGGAAAGGACATGTACTTCTCAAAAGAAGCATACATGTGACTAACAAGCATATGAAAAAAAAGCTCAATATCACTAAGTTTTTAGAGAAATGCAAATCAAAACCACAATGAGATACCATCTCACACCAGTCAGAGAATGGCTATAATAAAAAAAAAGTCAAAAAATAATAGATGCTGGCAAGGTTGTGGAGAAAAGGGAATATTTACACACTGTCGGTGGGAGTGGTGGGAGTGTAAATTAGTTCAAGCATTGTGGAAAGCAGTATGGTGATTCCTCAAAGAGCTGAAAAAAAAAAAAAAAGAACTACCATTAGACTCAGAAATCCCATTACTGGGTATATACCCAGAAGAATACAAATAATTTTACCATAAAGACACACGCACAGGAATGTTCACTGCAACGATATTCACAATAGGAAAGACATGGAATTAACCTAAATGCTCATCAATGACAGATTGGATAAAGAAAATGTGGTACATATACACCATGGAATACTGTGCAGCCAAAAAAATGAGTGAGATCATGTCCTTTGCAGGAACATGGATCAAGCTTGAGGCTATTATACTTAGTAAACTAATGGAGGAACAGAAAATCAAATACCACATGTTTTTATTTATAAATGGGAGCTAAGTGATAAGAACTTATGAACACAAAGAAGGAAACAACAGATAATGGGGTCTACTTGAGGGTGGAGGGTGAGAGGAGGAAGAAGAGCAGGAAAGATAATGGCTGGGTACTGGGCTTGATATCCAGGTGATGATATATGTACAATAAACCCCAGTGACACGTGTTTACCCATGTAACAAGCCTTCACATGTACTCCCAAACCTAACATAAAATTTAACCTGGGAGAAAGAAAAGAGAATTGTCTAGCCATGACTTTTTCCACTTTTTAGTGAAATAATAGTAATAATAGTTATTATTATTGGAGAATTGCTTGAGTTCATTGTATATCCTGGAGATTAATCTCTTGTTGGATTAATGCTTTGCAAGTATTTTCTCCCATTCAACATGTTGTTTCTTTCTTCTGTTGATTGTTTTGTGGCATGGGAGATTTTTAGTTTAATATAGTCCCATTTGCCTATTTTTATTTTAATTGTCTGTGCTTTTGAGATCATAGTCATAAAATATTTGCCTAGACTAATGTTGTGAAGTGTTTCCCCTATGTTTTCTTGTAGAATATATTTAAGATCTTACATTTACGTCTTTGATTTCATCTTCAGTTGATTTGTGTACATGTTAAGAGATAACAGTCCAGTTTCATTCCTCTGCATATTGATATTTGGTTTTTAAGAGAGTGTCCTTTTGCCAGTGTATGTTCTTGGTGCTTTTGTCAAAAATCAGTTGGCTGTATGTAAGTAGACTTATTTCTGAGTTTTCTGTTCTGTTCCATTGGTCAATGTGTATATTTTTATCCCAGTACCATGCTGTTTTGGTTATTATATCCTTGTAATATATTTTGAAGTCAGGCAGTATGATACCTCCAGTTTTGTTTGTTTTGCTCACAATTGCTTTAGTTATGCTGGCTCTTTTTTGGTTCCATGAAAATTTTAGAATTATTTCTTCCATTCTTGTGAAAAATGTTAATGGTATTTTGATAGGAATTGCACCAAATTCATACATTGCTTTGGGCAGTATGGTCATTTTAACAAGATTAATTCTTCTAGTCCATGAGCATGAGATTTCTTTCCATTTATTTGTCTTTCATCAGTAGTGCTCAACGTCACTAATCAAGGAAATGCACATCAAAACCACAATGAGAGATCATCTTACCCAAGTTAAAATGACTACTATTAAAAAGTAAAATAAATAAATAAATAAATAACAGATGCTTATAAGGATGTGGAGAAAAGAGAACTCATACACTATTGGTGGGAATATAAATTAGTATGACCATGTGGAAAACAGTATGGAGATTTTTCAAAAAACTAAAAATAAATTCATCAACCTCGCTATGTGGTATCTATACAAAAGCATAGAAATCAGCATATCAAAAGAATAACTATACATGTATATTTATTGTAGCACTATTCACAATAGCAAAGATATACAATCAACCTAAGTGTCCATCAGTGGGTGAATGGATAAAGAAAATGTTGGGGGGAGGAGCCAAGATGGCCGAATAGGAACAGCTCCGGTCTACAGCTCCCAGCGTGAGCGACGCAGAAGACGGGTGATTTCTGCATTTCCATCTGAGGTACCGGGTTCATCTCACTAGGGAGTGCCAGACAGTGGGTGCAGGCCAGTGGGTGTGCGCACCGTGCGCGAGGGGAAGCAGGGCGAGGCATTGCCTCACCTGGGAAGTGCAAGGGGTCAGGGAGTTCCCTTTCCTAGTCAAAGAAAGGGGTGAGGGACGCACCTGGAAAATCGGGTCACTCCCACCCGAATACTGCGCTTTTCAGACCGGCTTAAAAAACGGCGCACCACGAGACTATATCCCACACCTGGCTCAGAGGGTCCTACGCCCACGGAATCTCGCTGATTGCTAGCACAGCAGTCTGAGATCAAACTGCAAGGCGGCAGCGAGGCTGGGGGAGGGGCGCCCGCCATTGCCCAGGCTTGCTTAGGTAAACAAAGCAGCCGGGAAGCTCGAACTGGGTGGAGCCCACCACAGCTCAAGGAGGCCTGCCTGCCTCTGTAGGCTCCACCTCTGGGGGCAGGGCACAGACAAACAAAAAGACAGCAGTAACCTCTGCAGACTTAAATGTCCCTGTCTGACAGCTTTGAAGAGAGCAGTGGTTCTCCCAGCACGCAGCTGGAGATCTGAGAACGGGCAGACTACCTCCTCAAGTGGGTCCCTGACCCCTGACCCCCGAGCAGCCTAACTGGGAGACACCCCCCAGCAGGGGCACACTGACACCTCACACGGCAGGGTATTCCAACAGACCTGCAGCTGAGGGTCCTGTCTGTTAGAAGGAAAACTAACAAACAGAAAGGACATCCACACCGAAAACCCATCTGTACATCACCATCATCAAAGACCAAAAGTAGATAAAACCACAAAGATGGGGAAAAAACAGAACAGAAAAACTGGAAACTCTAAAACGCAGAGTGCCTCTCCTCCTCCAAAGGAACACAGTTCCTCACCAGCAACGGAACAAAGCTGGATGGAGAATGACTTTGACGAGCTGACAGAAGAAGGTTTCAGACGATCAAATTACTCTGAGCTATGGGAGGACATTCAAACCAAAGGCAAAGAAGTTGAAAACTTTGAAAAAAATTTAGAAGAATGTATAACTACAATAACCAATAGAGAGAAGTGCTTAAAGGAGCTGATGGAGCTGAAAACCAAGGCTCGAGAACTACGTGAAGAATGCAGAAGCCTCAGGAGCCGATGCGATCAACTGGAAGAAAGGGTATCAGCAATGGAAGATGAAATGAATGAAATGAAGTGAGAAGGGAAGTTTAGAGAAAAAAGAATAAAAAGAAATGAGCAAAGCCTCCAAGAAATATGGGACTATGTGAAAAGACCAAATCTACGTCTGATTGGTGTACCTGAAAGTGATGCGGAGAATGGAACCAAGTTGGAAAACACTCTGCAGGATATTATCCAGGAGAACTTCCCCAATCTAGCAAGGCAGGCCAACGTTCAAATTCAGGAAATACAGAGAATGCCACAAAGACACTCCTCGAGAAGAGCAACTCCAAGACACATAATTTTCAGGTTCACCAAAGTTGCAATGAAGGAAAAAATGTTAAGGGCAGCCAGAGAGAAAGGTCGGGTTACCCTCAAAGGGAAGCCCATCAGACTAACAGTGGATCTCTTGGCAGAAACCCTACAAGCCAGAAGAGAGTGGGGGCCAATATTCAACATTCTTAAAGAAAAGAATTTTCAACCCAGAATTTCATATCCAGCCAAACTAAGCTTCATAAGTGAAGGAGAAATAAAATCCTTTACAGACAAGCAAATGCTAAGAGATTTTGTCACCACCAGGCCTGCCCTAAAAGAGCTCCTGAAGGAAGTGCTAAACATGGAAAGGAACAACCGGTACCAGCCGCTGCAAAATCATGCCAAAATGTAAAGACCATCGAGACTAGGAAGAAACTGCATCAACTAACGAGCAAAATCACCAGCTAACATCATAATGACAGGATCAAATTCACACATAACAATATTAACTTTAAATGTAAATGGACTAAATTCTCCAATTAAAAGACACAGACTGGCAAGTTGGATAAAGAGTCAAGACCCATCAGTGTGCTGTATTCAGGAAACTCATCTCACGTGCAGAGACACACATAGGCTCAAAATAAAAGGATGGAGGAAGATCTACCAAGCAAATGGAAAACAAAAAAAAGCAGGGGTTGCAATCCTAGTCTCTGATAAAACAGACTTTAAACCAACAACGATCAAAAGAGACAAAGAAGCCCATTACATAATGGTAAAGGGATCAATTCAACAAGAGGAGCTAACTATCCTAAATATATATGCACCCAATACAGGAGCACCCAGATTCATAAAGCAAGTCCTGAGTGACCTACAAAGAGACTTAGACTCCCACACATTAATAATGGGAGACTTTAACACCCCACTGTCAACATTAGACAGATCAACGAGACAGAAAGTCAACAAAGATACCCAGGAATTGAACTCAGCTCTGCACCAAGCGGACCTAATAGACATCTACAGAACTCTCCGCCCCAAATCAACAGAATATACATTTTTTTCAGCACCACACCACACCTATTCCAAAATTGACCACATACTTGGAAGTAAAGCTCTCCTCAGCAAATGTAAAAGAACAGAAATTATAACAAACTATCTCTCAGACCACAGTGCAATCAAACTAGAACTCAGGATTAAGAATCTCACTCAAAGCTGCTCAACTACATGGAAACTGAACAACCTGCTCCTGAATGACTACTGGGTACATAACGAAATGAAGGCAGAAATAAAGATGTTCTTTGAAACCAACGAGAACAAAGACACAACATACCAGAATCTCTGGGACACATTCAAAGCAGTGTGTAGCGGGAAATTTATAGCACTAAATGCCCACAAGAGAAAGCAGGAAAGATCCAAAATTGACACCCTAACATCACAATTAAAAGAACTAGAAAAGCAAGAGCAAACACATTCAAAAGCTAGCAGAAGGCAAGAAATAACTAAAATCAGAGCAGAACTGAAGGAAATAGAGACACAAAAAACCCTTCAAAAAATCAATGAATCCAGGAGCTGGTTTTTTGAAAGGATCAACAAAATTGATAGACCACTAGCAAGACTAATAAAGAAAAAAAGAGAGAAGAATCAAATAGACACAATAAAAAATGATAAAGGGGATATCACCACCGATCCCACAGAAATACAAACTACCATCAGAGAATACTACAAACACCTCTACGCAAATAAACTAGAAAATCTAGAAGAAATGGATACATTCCTCGACACATACACTCTCCCAAGACTAAACCAGGAAGAAGTTGAATCTCTGAATAGACCAATAACAGGAGCTGAAATTGTGGCAATAATCAATAGTTTACCAACCAAAAAGAGTCCAGGACCAGATGGATTCACAGCCGAATTCTACCAGAGGTACAAGGAGGAACTGGTACCATTCCTTCTGAAACTATTCCAATCAATAGAAAAAGAGGGAATCCTCCCTAACTCATTTTATGAGGCCAGCATCATTCTGATACCAAAGCCGGGCAGAGACACAACCAAATAAGAGAATTTTAGACCAATATCCTTGATGAACATTGATGCAAAAATCCTCAATAAAATACTGGCAAACCGAATCCAGCAGCACATCAAAAAGCTTATCCACCATGATCAAGTGGCCTTCATCCCTGGGATGCAAGGCTGGTTCAATATACGCAAATCAATAAATGTAATCCAGCATATAAACAGAGCCAAAGACAAAAGCCACATGATTATCTCAATAGATGCAGAAAAAGCCTTTGACAAAATTCAACAACCCTTCATGCTAAAAACTCTCAATAAATTAGGTATTGATGGGATGTATTTCAAAATAATAAGAGCTATCTATGACAAACCCACAGCCAATATCATACTGAATGGGCAAAAACTGGAAGCATTCCCTTTGAAAACTGGCACAAGACAGGGATGCCCTCTCTCACCGCTCCTATTCAACATAGTGTTGGAAGTTCTGGCCAGGGGAATCAGGCAGGAGAAGGAAATAAAGGGTATTCAATTAGGAAAAGAGGAAGTCAAATTGTCCCTGTTTGCAGACGACATGATTGTTTATCTAGAAAACCCCATCGTCTCAGCCCAAAATCTCCTTAAGCTGATAAGCAACTTCGGCAAAGTCTCAGGATACAAAATCAATGTACAAAAATCACAAGCATTCTTATACACCAACAACAGACAAACAGAGAGCCAAATCATGAGTGAACTCCCATTCACAATTGCTTCAAAGAGAATAAAATACCTAGGAATCCAACTTACAAGGGATGTGAAGGACCTCTTCAAGGAGAACTACAAACCACTGCTCAAGGAAATAAAAGAGGATACAAACAAATGGAAGAACATTCCATGCTCATGGGTAGGAAGAATCAATATCGTGAAAATGGCCATACTGCCCAAGGTAATTTACAGATTCAATGCCATCCCCATCAAGCTACCAATGACTTTCTTCACAGAATTGGAAAAAACTACTTTAAAGTTCATATGGAACCAAAAAAGAGCCCGCATCGCCAAGTCAATCCTAAGCCAAAAGAACAAAGCTGGAGGCATCACACTACCTGACTTCAAACTATACTACAAGGCTACAGTAACCAAAACAGCATGGTACTGGTACCAAAACAGAGATATAGATCAATGGAACAGAACAGAGCCCTCAGAAATAACGCCGCATACCTACAACTATCTGATCTTTGACAAACCTGAGAAAAACAAGCAATGGGGAAAGGATTCCCTATTTAATAAATGGTGCTGGGAAAACTGGCTAGCCATATGTAGAAAGCTGAAACTGGATCCCTTCCTTACACCTTATACAAAAATCAATTCAAGATGGATTAAAGATTTAAACGTTAGACCTAAAACCATAAAAACCCTAGAAGAAAACCTAGGCATTACCATTCAGGACATAGGCGTGGGCAAGGACTTCATGTCCAAAACACCAAAAGCAATGGCAACAAAAGCCAAAATTGACCAATGGGATCTAATTAAACTAAAGAGCTTCTGCACAGCAAAAGAAACTACCATCAGAGTGAACAGGCAACCTACAACATGGGAGAAAATTTTCACAACCTACTCATCTGACAAAGGGCTAATATCCAGAATCTACAATGAACTCAAACAAATTTACAAGAAAAAAACAAACAACCCCATCAAATAGTGGGCGAAGGACATGAACAGACACTTCTCAAAAGAAGACGTTTATGCAGCCAAAAAATACATGAAAAAATGCTCATCATCACTGGCCATCAGAGAAATGCAAATCAAAACCACTATGAGATATCATCTCACACCAGTTAGAATGGCAATCATTAAAAAGTCAGGAAACAACAGGTGCTGGAGAGGATGTGGAGAAATAGGAACACTTTTACACTGTTGGTGGGACTGTAAACTAGTTCAACCATTGTGGAAGTCAGTGTGGCGATTCCTCAGGGATCTAGAACTAGAAATACCATTTGACCCAGCCATCCCATTACTGGGTATATACCCAAATGACTATAAATCATGCTGCTATAAAGACACATGCACACGTATGTTTATTGCAGCATTATTCACAATAGCAAAGACTTGGAACCAACCCAAATGTCCAACAATGATAGACTGGATTAAGAAAATGTGGCACATATACACCATGGAATACTATGCAGCCATAAAAAATGATGAGTTCATGTCCTTTGTAGGGACATGGATGAAATTGGAAACCATCATTCTCAGTAAACTATCGCAAGAACAAAAAACCAAACACTGCATATTCTCACTCATAGGTGGGAATTGAACAATGAGATCACATGGACACAGGAAGGGGAATATCACACTCTGGGGACTGTGGTGGGGTGGGGGGAGGGGGGAGGTGTAGCATTGGGAGATATACCTAATGCTAGATGACGAGTTAGTGGGTGCAGCACACCAGCATGGCACATGTATACATATGTAACTAACCTGCACAATGTGCACATGTACCCTAAAACTTAAAGTATAATAAAAAAAAAAAAAGAAAAAAGAAAATGTGGTACATATACACAATGGAATAGCATTTGGCAATTAAAAAGAAGAAAATCATGTTATTTGCAGAAAGTTGTATGGAACTGGAGGTTATTATGTTAAGTGAAATAACTCAGGCACAGAAAGACAAATATTGCATGTTTTCACTTATATGTGGGAGCTAAAAAAGTTTGCTTATAAACGTAGAGAGAAGAATGATAGATACTAGAGGCTGGGATGAGGGGATTCAAGGGGGAATTAAGAGAGGTAGCTTAATGGGCACGCACGTGCTCGTAAATAAAAATATAAGTTCTATTGCTCAACTACAGAGTAGGGTCAATAACAATGTATTATATGTTTTAAAGTAGCTAGAAGAGATAAATTGTTCTCAACAGATACAAATGATAAATACTCAAAGTGATGGACCTGTCACAAACCCTGACTTGATTATTACACACAAAATACCACATGTACCCCATAAAAACGTAATATATTGGATTCAATTTTTAAAAAGTAAAAGAAGAACAAAGCCAGAAGACTCACACTTTCTAATTCCAGACCTACTACAAAGCTACAGTAATCAAAACAGTGTGATACTGACATAGAAAAAGAAACATAGACCATTGGAATATAATAGAGCCCAGAAATAAACCTTTACAAAATGGTTAAAGAATCTTTGACATGGGTGTTAAGAGCGTTCACTGGGAAAAGGAGAGTCATTTCAATAAATGATTCTGGAAAAACTGGATATCCACATGAAGAATGAAGTTGGACCCTTATATAATACCATATTCAAAAATTAACAGAAAGTAGATCAAAAGCATACAGTAAGACAATTCTTAAAAGAAAACATAGGATAAAAGCTTCTTGACTTGGATTTAGTGATGATTTCTTTAACATGAAACCAAAAGCACAACAATGAAAGAAATAATAAACATTCAGATATTGGACTGCTTGAAAAATTCTTTAAATTGTGCCTCAAAAAGTCATCATTCACCAAGTAAAAATGCAACCACACAATAGGAGAAATTATTTGAAAATCTTACATCTGATAAGGAATTAATATCCAGAATATGTTGAGAAATCTGAAAAGTCAACAACAAAAGACCCACAACCCTTTTCAAAAATGAGCACATGAATTGAATAGACATTTCTCCAAAGAATATATGTAAGCAGCCAATAGGTACATGAAAAGATGCCCAATATGCCAATCATTAGGCAAATGCAAATAAAAACTATAATGAGAAACCACATGCATTGGGATAATATATAATTAATATATTACACATACATAATATATATTTATGTGTATTATATAAATACACATTTTATATATAGTTTATATATATATATACACACATATGCTATGCAAATGGAAGTATTTGGATAGTGTATGTGTGTATATATATATTTCATAAATATCTCTATACAATATTATATATATACATACACACATACATACATACCTGCAAGCATTGGCAAATGTATAAAGAAATGAAAACCCCTGTGCACTTTTAGTAGGAATGTGAAAGGGTCCAGCCACTGGGGAAAACCATATGGTGGTTCCTCAAAAAATTCAGAATAGAATTACCATATGAGCCATCAGTTCCACTCTGGGTATATACCCAAAAGGAATTAAAAGCAAAATCTTGAGGAGATATTTGTACACTTTTATTTATAGTAGCATTATACATAATAGCTGAGATATGGAAGCAACACAAATCCCAATCGACGGATGAATGGAGAAGCAAAATGTGCTATATTTGTAAAATGGAACATTAGTCTAAAAAGGAATGGAATTCTGCAATGCGCTATAGTATGGATGAGCATTGAGGACGTTATGCTGAGTGAAATAAGCCTGTTATAAAAAGGCAAATATTTCTATAATTCCACTTATATGAGTAACTTAGAGTACTGAAAATCATAGAGACCAAAAGTAGAATGTGGGTTGCCAGGGCTTGGAGAGAGGGGCAAATAGGGAATTATTGTTTGATGTGTACAGTTTCGGTTTTGGAAGATGAAAAGATCAGGTGAATGGTGGTGATGGGTGCACAACAATGTGAATGTACTCTGTGTGTCCAAAATGTCCACTTAAAAATGGCTACAACAGTACATTTTATGTTACATAGATTTTACCACAAAAATAAAATTTTCTGCTTTTGAGAATACTTTATGGGAGAATGTATCCCACAGAGTGGAAGAAAATATCTGTAAAACATATATTGACAAGAACTTGAATTTAGAATGCATTATGTCTCAATTTCATGATGCATTTATAATATTTTTTTCTATTTTCTCTTAAAACCATATACTAAGATTGTTGAAACACACAGTGAAGGCATGTAAGTGCCTGAGTTGGGATCCTGGCTCTGCCATTATTTAGCTATGTCATCTTAGATAAGATATTTAGCTTCCTTTTGTACCAGAATTTGTCAACTATAACATCTCTTTCACTAAAGATTGAATATATTAATCTGTATACAACTCTTAGAGCATATAATAAGCATGTAATGTATATTAACTAATATCAAATCACTTTGCTCCTTTTCTTCTGGTAAAGGGGAATGTGCAATTTAGTCTGCTAACACAGTAAATATTCACTGGCTCAGGTATGGACATTTTTGGAGTAAAATATAAAAAGCACTTTAACCCTAATTTGGTTTAAGGCCACTTGTGTCTTCATTTCACAGGAGAAAACTATTGAACAAAACCCTCTGAAGAGTCCAGGCCTACTTTATAACTTCTAATTGTGATTTCTGGCTGTAGCTCCAGCTTATGAAGAAGAAGAAGAATTATTTTATCTGGCTGATTATTGCCTTGCATATGTCATTTCCATAGGGACCTCAAAGATAAAGCTGAGCGCACATGTCAAACATGTTGGGTTCAGCTATCCCAATATTTTCACAACTACCATTCCCATTTTACCAAAAAGGAAAAGAATCAGTTTCAGGTGTCCATGCAGACCGTGAAATTTAGCAAAATGTGTGTGAACATGTGAATAATTTTGAGAGGAGTGTCCTGTGATTTACACTGATATCTGAAAAAATACCTATGACCTAAAAAGTTTAAGATATACTGAATTATTACCCCTTCTAGGCTAAAAGTATAGTAAAAATTAACATAATTTATTTGATGATGTGACGGCCAATGTTTGGCAAAAATAAAGCTATCAACTAAAAGAAATATTTTCTTTTCCTAGGAACAGAAATATCAGCAGTTTGTGGCATTAAGCCCACAAATTTCAGGAAGTTGGATTCCAAACTCTAGGACATGAGGTCCAAGTAGGTATTATTCCTGTAGTTCAAACAAGCATTACTGCTCTTTGGCTAAACGTCTTACCAGAGAATGGGCGTTTAGGAAATGAGATATTTTCAGGACATTCCCATCCTTTTAATCCACATACCTCTGTTTCTGCGATGCAAACCGATAATGAGTCCAACAATTGCACACATTGAAAAGAAGGCTATCCCAATGACTATCAGGCAGGGAGAATTCTAGTCACACCAGTTACCTGAAGAAGAAGAGATATTGTAATTGTTAGTTATTGGTGTAGAGGCACTTTTGATTGGGGCACAATGTGTCAAGAAATCAAGAGGTATGTTTTGATGCCATCCCACTGCATTCATTTAGATTTGGGCTAAGGCTTAGGTCTAAAGATCAGAGAGCTGTGGGTGACAGAGACAAGAAGAACGGCTGTTTCTAGGATGGGATAGGTTTGGGTTGAGGCTAAACAGGTCTGGAGAAAAACAACTCATCCTTCTTTCTCTCTATCTAGCCCATCAGTAAATGGGCCTCATTAGAGCACTAGATGAAGTTATGCTCCGATTGTTATCATTTCACCTGGGCTTGAAAGAGTCTGGGAGTACAGTAGTTCTGGAGACCTCTGAACTGCCTGAAAGATCATATGAGCTTTGGATATACGACTCTCATGAGTGAAAGGGTTTTCAACAACATAATATTAAAAATATTCTTTAGCATGCATCATAGCAACATCATTTGGCTATCTAGTCTGTCCATAAAATAGCCTATGGTGTGGGGCTTACTACCACAAGTGATGCCATTCCACCACTGGAGTAGCATAGGCACAGTGTAACTTAGTGGTTAAAATATGGGATACAGTGTCCATATGGCTTATAATCGATCTTATTTCCTATCATTACTAGCTGTGTGATTTTAGGTGCAATAGTTAACGTTGGTGGGTTTATTTTCATAATATAGAAATTGGAGTGGTAATAATATTTAACTCAAAGTGTATTATGGAGGTTAAATGCACTAATTTCTGTAAATCTGTTGGTGTGGAGTTTTTCAATAGTAAAAATACAATAAATGTTAGCCTCTAATGATGATGTAATAATTACTATTATAAAACTAACTCTGCATCCTTAAAAATTATTTATTCCAACTGATTCACCAATACCTTTTAGATAAAGTTGAAGAGATTTTCAGAAACTCAAATTATGCCCATGAGAAACAGTTGAATAACTGGGCACACTCAGCTTGGCAAAGGTCAAGTTTGAAATGTTCCTGACTGCTAATCTCTGAAGAGCTATCTGGGAAATGTCAGTTGTTACACATGTGACCTTTGAATGTTCAATTAAATGTAAGATACAGAGAAGCAGGTCAGTATTAAATAAGGACAAGCATTAAAAGATGTATTGAAGCAGGAACATTAGAAAAAAACAAATCTCTAAAAACTTGGATAGTGTGAATAAGCCGATAGAAGCTACAGTACAGTTTGTTTTGCAAAACAGCAGCTAGCAGAGGTGAATGTTGTGAACTGGTGGCTTTCTGGCGGAGTGGTGTCTTCCCCAAACCCCACAACCACAGTGGTGGAAAATGGCAGTTCTGAGGGTCACATACAGAGTTCAGGCCAGAAGAACAGCTGCAAATGTAAACGGAAAATCCAAGAAGTGGAGAGATATTTAGGAAGACCAAGACCCAAATCCTTCGCTGACAGCAGAACTACACGTGGTGGGAGGTGGCGCAGGAGCCTGGTGAAAAGCAGGGGGAGAGCACAGGACACTACTCTTGAAACACAGAGCTCTGCCAGAAGAGATCTGTGAGTCTGAAGCTTCTTAAATTGAGCACAACCCCAAATCATGAACAGCTATTTTTTGGTGTCTTAAATTTTCTTGCTTATTGTGCAAGTTCCCCCAATCCCCGCCCCCAACACCATAGTTGAGAATGAATGAAAACTTTTTGTTTAAGGAAAAGTAAAACACCTGGTGTTGCAGCTAGTGTAACTCTCCCTACGTGGTGTATTTTAATGATACTGTGCAATTAAAACTTAATTTTATGCCCTGAAGTGTCAGTGGTCCCTTTAAGAATTCAAGTGAGAAATATGTGTAAATTCTGTTAGGTGTTAAATGTTAAAAAGCTTTCCCAGGTTGTTTGAAAATCTGTCACCATAAGGACAATGGGTTTCAACTTGGTTGAGATACAAAAAGGTCACACTTTCAGATAACAGCATTGTCAACAGCTCCAGCAGCAAAAGAGAACAGTATGTAGGATCAAGGAATGGGTGGAGAGCATATGTTTAACATACATGGAAAAGTTCAGAACTTCCTGAGACAGACAGACTTGAGAATTATGGGTCATGCAGCTTTAGCTTCCCCACTCCCATTAGCATCTCTCATCCTTCAAGCCAACTTACGTTGCTCTCTTTGCTGTAGTTCAACACTTGGCAACATAATGAAGAATAGCAGAACAGCCAAGATTGCAACCAGAATCAGTATCCAGATAGAATTCCATGGAAACAGTTTATCTGAAATAGGGAGTCACAAATTTTACCACTTAGGAAACTTGAACCCACCAAACTAGGAATGATGATTCATCCAAAGCATGTTTCTGCTTAATACCTGTCACCTTCAAATGTAAACCAAGGCCAATTTGGGAAATTAATTATAATTGTGCACGTGAAAAATGGGATAGGATCTGGAGTAGGGAAGAGCTGAATGTGAGTTAGTTTGAAGATGGAGCAAAGGTGAGTGAAGGCTGCGCTCCCATGTTTTCTGTTTGTTTGTTTGTGACAGAATCTTGCTATATCTTAAGGCTGGATTGCAGTGTCGTAATCACTGCTCACTGCATCCTCAACCTCCCTGGTTCAAATGATCCTCTCACATCAGCTTCCTGAGTATCTGAGACCACAGGCACATGCCATCATGCCCAACTAATTTTTTATTTTTTAATTTTTCATAGAGACAAGGTCTTGCTATGTTGCCTAGGCTGGTTTCAAACTCCTGAGCTCAAGGCATCCTGGCCGCTAGGCCTTTCAAAGTGCTGTGATTACAGGCATGAGCCATTATACCTGGCCTCTTCCATGTTTTTTGACATTCAGTGAATACAGATAAGATCTCCCTGAGATGTCTCTATTCCCAGGACTGTAACTCATGCTCAAAGTTTGTGCTAATTATAATTCTGTTAAATCATCATTTTTTAAAGTGCATATACTTTTAAAAAGCATTTTTCACTAAAGTTGTAAATAAATCAGCAGGGCTTCCCCCAGCCCTGCCTTTTTGTTTGTTTTATTCATATATATCCTACTATGAACTTGGGGGAAGGAAGGTATGTAGTTTAGTCCTCCTTTATCCCCTGTAACTGTTTGTATTGCTGTTTCTGACACAACCATAATATGAAGCTTTTTTTTCTGGAAAATCAAATGAGAAAATAAGCGCAAAAATGTTTGAATGTAGTAAATTGCTAAAATTGTTAGGGGAGTCATTCCTGTAAGTGATAATGTCCCTTTCAGCATGTGACTCTAATATTAATTTCATGGAATACACAAACACTAACACATTCATATTTCCTTGACAGTTTGTAAGACACTTACTAGGGTGTATTTCTGTCATTCAAGTATCAATGATTTATTGCATTCCTGCTATGTGCCGCGCAATGTTTGAAGCAGTTGGAGTGTATTAGTGTATAAAACTGACAAAGATTTGTATCTTCATGTTTCAGACAGGGAAACAGATAAGTGAAAATAAACATAATAAATAGGTTGTATGGTGGGCTAAATGGTGAAAATAACATGGAAGAAAGAAAAATTAAGGTAAGTGAGGAGAGTGGGAATCAAGTAATTTGGGGGCAGGTGGCATTTTTTTCAAGCTGGTTTGTCAAGGTACTCTTTATTAGGGAGGTTGAGTTGAGAAGAGACTGGAAGGACATAGGGGAAGTTAGAGCATTCTAGGAAGAGGGACCAACTAGAGCTAAGCCTCCAAGGTAGGAGCATGTCTTGCAGGTTTAGGAACAGCAAGGAAGTCTGTGTGACTAGAGTAGAGTGCACAAAGGAGGGTGTTAGGATATGAGGTCAGATAGGTAATGGGGGCAGAGATAATGCAGGATATTGAAGGGCATTTTACTCTGAAAAACAATGGGGAAAAATTGCAGGGTCTTGAACAGAGGGTTCCTATTTATATGTTGAGAATGTACTATAGTGGACAAGAATAAAAATAAGAGGATATTTAGGATGCTATTGCCAAAGTTGAGACCCATGGGTGATAGTGTCTCAGGCTTGGATAGCAGTAGTAAGTTGGTGACAAGTGATGAGATGCTGAATATATTTTAAAGGTAGAGCTAACACAATTTCTTGATAGATGTGTTGCAGAATATGAGAGAAAAATTGGTGTCAATGATGAATTCAATTATTTTGTTTTGAGAAACTGAAAATATAAAGTGTGATTGGAAAGACATTAATTAAGCAAATTTGGAGGTAATCAGGAGTTTACTTTATGATGTGTTTGGTTCAGGATATTTATTAGACTTCTATGTTGAGAGGTTGAGTTTGAAGATGAAAACCGAGTTTGAAGAGAGGACAGGGCAGGAGATACTATTGGAGGAGCCATAGTCACACTGATGATATCCGAAGTCTTGAGACAGAATGAACTCACAACAGAGGAAAGGCTCAAAAAACTACATCCTGGGAAACAGAAAACCAAATACTGCATGTTCTCACATATGAGTGGGAGCTAAATTATGAGAACACATGGACACATAGAGGGGAACAACACACACTGGGGCCTTTTGGAGGGTGGAGGGTGGGAAGAGGGAAAGAATCAGGAAAAATAACTAATGGGTACTAGGTTTAATACTTGGGAGACAAAATAATCTGTACAACAAACCCCCATGGCATAAGTTTACCTATATAACAAACAAACAAACAAACAAACCTGCACATGTGTTTAAAATAAATAAACTTAAAATAAAAGTTAACATAAAAGTTAAAATAAAAGTTAAAAATAAAAGCTAAAAAACAAAGCAAAACAAAAACTATGTCCTGGGAACCTGAATAGCAAGAAGGCAGAGTGAAAAAAAAAAGACTATAACAAAAAGATTAAGAAAGAAAACAAGCAAGAAGACAATGAATAAAACCAAGAGAAAGTAATGTCTTGGAAACCAAGTGAAGAAAGTATGTATATGATTTTTTCTCTTTAATTTACAAATTTTATGTCAATGGCCATCATTTGAAGAACAAACACTCAGATCGCACCTGGTAAGACAATGCTTGTCCTTTCCTCTTGACCGGTTACAGGGTTTTGAAGGTAGCAAGTGATGTTGCCATGGGAGCTGTCTCTAAGGAGAAGGCTCATCTTCATGGTGAACAATCTGTTTCTATCCTGGGAATGGGATTTTGATGCAGGCGGAATGATCTCTCCTCTGCTCTCTCTCCATTCCATTTGAGGCTGTGGTAACCAACCTTCTGAATTACACTCCACTAAAAGACCTTTGCTATTCGGAGGATGAATAAGAATTTGTATTTCTAAACTTGTAGCTGGTTGGAATACAAAAAGGGAGAAACTGTTTTTAGAGGAAGACAAGGAAACACAGAAGAGATGGAAAAGCCTTCCTGCCCTCTTTAATCCCTGTGTCCTTAGATATTGATAGCTAAGCTATGAGGCTGATTGTCATGACAAGCCATTCAAAAAGGAACAGGGATAAGCCATACTGAAGTGTTATGATAATCATATTAACAACATAGTCCAAAGTAAGTGAGGCGAGGAAATGCCTGTTTTTTACATTTATTCATTCACTCAAAATATGGGCTATTTACTAAATTTAAGTAACTTGGTTAGGTCCTTGGATTATGATAAACAAAAAAATCAAGATCTCAGTCCTCATAGAATTTACGGCTTAATGTTTTTTTCTTTAATCTTCACCATTAGCCACTTCTGAGCCACCATAACAAATTACAAATTTGTATTTTGCATACAATAGGTATTTTTACATGCAATATGTTTTACAAAAAAAAGGAAATACATTACTGTTTTCAAAATATGGTGCATATCACTTTAGAGAAAATAAGTCTTTGAAAAATTTCAGGATATTACCTAGGACATAAGTCTTGCCTAATATGTGGGCAAAGAAATAATGAACAGAGATTTAAAGTGTGACTCTAAAGCAGCCCTGTCTAATAAAATTTTCTGCAATTATGGAAATATTCTATATGTGTGCCCTCTAATGCAGTAGCTGCTTGCCACATGAGACAACTAAGCACCTGAAATGTGGCCATTGAGACTGAAAAACTGAATGCTTAATTTTATTTAATTTTCATATGAATTTAAATGGCCACATGTGGCTAATATATATCATATTGGATAGCTCAGCTGTAGACTATGGAGTTGGGTGTCATATAATATCCAGTAAATATGTTAAGCATGAGTGCCCTGGATCCCTCCACATGTGTCCTCATATTTGTGAAGACCTTAGTTTGCTTCAAGTCCTCCATCTCCCCTCCATTTCTCTGCCGTTCAGACTACTTCAAGGGTGAGTATTCACCTTTCATTCAGAATACTTCAAGGGTGATTGGCTTAAATGCTACGTATTTGCAAATAGCACCCATATAGTATATAGACTGTAGAATTTTGAAGATAGTAGGTGAAGGCTTTCTGAAATACATTTAGAAAGGTGAATCTGTAACTAAGTAGTCAGTAATTTGATTCAGGGAGAAATGAGAATAAAAATTATCATTAAAGAGTCTATTGTAAAGATTCAGGTACTTTTAAAAGTCAAGTTTTACTAAAGTGTTGCCAGAAATAATTAGAAGGATTGTAACAAATTCTAAAAGGATTCTGTTAATTTTTTAGCAATCTAGCAATATATGTAGACGTAAAAAAGCAGACAGTATTTACTGATAGTTTTGATGTCTGAACAGATATAATTCTCATTCTTGATCCTCCACTCTTTCCAAATCAAACTCTAAACTCATAAATTTGACCTTGTTAACCAGACCATATAATATAAAAATAGAAATAGTGAGAATTTTCCTAATACTCAGCCTCATACAGGTTGAGAATCTTGGATGCATAGAAAACTCACAGGGATCCATCCTTACCTGTGACCTTCACTTCTGTGATGGACTCTTCATAGACATTTCTGTCTTTGAAGAAGCAGTGGTACTGCCCGTCATCATCAGCACTGACATTAAGGATCCTGAGGGTCACTTTACCTTCTCCAATGGCTTCTTTCAGGAGCTCTGTCCGCTCCACATACTTGGAGATAGTTTCTCCATACAGGTCTTTACCATCCTTATACAGGTAAACAGGTCGTGTGTAGTGACTCTGGAACCAGCGTATTTCCATGTGTTCTGCGCTTTGTGGTGGAGACAGCTGGCAACTGAGCTCAACTTTTCCACCCAGTGGAGCCAAGATTGGCCTCTATAAGCTATTCACTATGAATTGTTCTGTGAAGGGAGACAGCAACGAAAGGATGAGAAGTGGACCAAGACAAAATTTTTATTTGAATTATTATATCACAAACACCCATAGACACACACACACACACACACACACACACACACACACACACACACTTTATTGAGAGTACATTCTTTTGTTTTCTCTTTTCCTTGAAAACACCTTTACTTTGCACTTTGCTTGAATGGAAATTCATCAAATTACTTTAAGAAATATGGGGAGGCCGAGGTGGGTGGATCACCTGAAGTCAGGGGTTCGAGACTGGCCTGACCAATATGCTCTGTCTCTACTAAAAATACAAAAAAAAATTAGCTGGGCATGGTGGTGTGCACCTGTAATCCCAGCTACTTGGGAGGCTGAGACAGGAGAATCACTAGAACCCAGGAGGCGGAGGTTGCAGTGAGCTGAGATCACGCCACTGCACTCCAGCCTGGAAGACAGAGCGAGACTCCATCTGAAAACAAAAAAAAAGAAAGAAAGAAATATAAAAAATGGTTTCCATTGTTGCTGTATGGTTTTCATTTCTGTTAAAATAAAGAAAAAGTACTACTACCAGTATAACAATTGCCCCTCTTCATTCTTTTTTTTCACCCTAGTTAAAACAACATTATTATTATTATTATACTTTAAGTTCTAGGATACATGTGTAGAATGTGCAGGTTTGTTACATAGGTATACACGTGCCATGGTGGTTTGCTGCACCCATCAACCCATCATCTACATTAGGTATTTCTCCTAATGGTATCCCTCCCCTGTCCCCCCACCACCCGACAGGCCCTGGTGTGTGATGTTCCCCTCCCTGTGCCCACGTGCCCTCATTGTTCAACTCTCGCTTATGAATGAGAACATGCAGTGTTTGGTTTCTGTTCCTGTGTTAGTTTGCTGAGAATGGTGGTTTCCAGCTTCATCCATGTCCCTGCAAAGGACATGAACACATCTTTTTTATGACTGCATAGTATTCCATGGTGTTTATGAGCCACATTTTCTTTAACCAGTCTATCATTGATGAGCATTTGACTTGGTTCAAAGTCTTTGCTAATGTGAACAGTGCTGCAATAAACACACGTGTGCATGTGTCTTTGTAGTAGAATGATTTATAATCCTTTTGGTATATACCCAGTAAACGCATTCCTATTTCTCCACAACCTCACCAGCATCTGTTGTTTTCTGATTTTTTAATGATCACCATTCTAGCTGGCATAAGATGGTATCTCATTGTGGTTTTGATTTGCATTTCTCTAATGACCAGTGATAATGAGCTTTTTTTCATATGTGTGTTGGCCACATAAATGTCTTCTTTTGAGAAACATCTGTTCATATCTTTTCCCCACTTTTTGATGGGGTTGTTTGTTCTTTTCTTGTAAATTTGTTTAAGTTCCTTGTAGATTCTGGATATTAGCCCTTTGTCAGATGCACATATTGCAAAAATGTTCTCCCATTCTGTAGGTTGCCTGTTCACTTGGATGATAGTTTCTTTTGCTGTGCAGAAGCTCTTTAGTTTAATTAGATCCCATTTGTCAATTTTGGCTTTTGTTGCCATTGCTTTTGGTGTTTTAGTCATGAAGTCTTTGCCCGTGCCTATGTCCTGAATGGTATTGCCTAGGTTTTCTTCTGGGGTTTTCATGGTTTTAGGTCTTACATTTAAGTTTTTAATCCATCTTGAGTTAATTTTTGTGTAAGGTATAAGGAAGGGGTCCAGTTTCAGTGTTCTGTATATGGCTAGCCAGTTTTCCCAACACCATTTATTAAATAGGGGATCCTTTCCCTATTGCATGTTTTTGTCAGGTTTGCCAAAGATCAGATGGTTGTAGATGTGTGGAGTTATTTCTGAGGCCTGTGTTCTGTTCCATTGGTCAATATATCTGTTTGGTTATCAGTACCATGCTGTTTGGGTTACTGTAGCCTTGTAGTGTAGTTTGAAGTCAGGTTGAATGATGCCTCCAGGTTTGTTCTTTTTGCTTAGGATTGCCTTGGCTACATAGGCTCTTTTTTGGTTCCATATGAAATTTAAAGTAGTTTTTTCTAATTCTGTGAAGAAAGTCAGTGGTAGCTTGATGGGGATAGCATTGAATCTATAAATTACTTTAAGCAGTATGGCCATTTTCATGATGTTGATTCTTCCTATCCATGAGCATGGAATGTTTTTCCATTTGTTTTTGTCCTCTCTGAATTCCTTGAGCAGTGGTTTGTAGTTCTCCTTGAAGAGGCCCTTCACATCCCTTGTAAGTTGTATTTCTAGGTATTTGATTCTCTTTGTAGCAATTGTCAATGGGAGTTCACTCATTATTTGGCTCTCTGTTTGTCTATTATTGGTGTATGGGAATGCTTGTAATTTTTGCACACTGATTTTGCATCCTGAGACATTGCTGAATTTGCTTATCAGCTTAAGGAGTTTTTGGGCCGAGACCATGGGGTTTTCTAAATATACAATCGTGTCATTGGCAAACAGAGACAATTTGACTTCTTCTCTTCCTATGTGAACATGCTTTATTTCTTTCTGTTGCCTGATTGCCCTGGCCAGAACTTTCAATACTATGTTGAATAGGAGTGGTGAGAGAGGGCATCCTTGTCTCGCACCGATTTTCTATGGGAATGCTTCCAGCTTTTGCCCATTCAGTATGATGTTGGCTGTGGGTTTGTCATAAATAGCTCTTATTATTTTGAGATACATTCCATCAATACCTAGTTTATTGAGAGTTTTTAGCATGAAGGAATGTTGAATTTTATTGAGGCCTTTTCTGCATCTATTGAGATAATCATGTGGTTTTTGTCATTGGTTCTGTTTATGTGATGGATTAGGTTTATTGATTTGTATATGTTGAACCAGCCTTGCTTCTCAGGGATGGAGCCAACTTGATCATGGTGGATAAGCTTTTTGATGTGCTGCTGGATTCATTTTGCCAGTATTTTATTGAGAATTTTCACATTGATGTTCATCAGGGATATTGGCCTGAAATTTTCTTTTTTGTTGTTGTTGTGTCTTTGCCAGGTTTTGGAATCAGGATGACGCTGCCCTCATAAAATTAGTCAGGGAAGACTCCCTCTTTTTCTATTGTTTGAAATAATTTCAGAAGGAATGCTACCAGCTCCTCTTTTTACTTCTGGTAGAATTTGGCTGTGAATCCATCTGGTCCTGGGCTTTTGTTGGTTGGTAGGCTATGAATTACTGCCTCAATTTCTGAACTTGTTATTGGTCTATTCAGGGATTCGACTTCTTCCTGGTTTAGTCTAAGGAGGGTGTATGTGTCCAGAAATTTATCCATTTCTTCTAGATTTTCTGGTTTATTTGCATAGAGGTGTTTATAGTATTCTGACGGTAGTTTGTATTTCTGTGGGATCAGTGGTGATAGCCACTTTATCATTTTTTGTTGTGTCTATTTGATTCTTCTCTTTTTTCTTCATTAGTCTGGCTAGGCATTTATCTCTTTTGTTAATTTTTTTCAAAAAACTAGCTTCTGGATTCATTGATTTTTGGAAGGGCTTTTTGTGTCTTCTTCACTTCTGCCCTGATCTTAGTTATTTATTTTCTTCTGCTTGCTTTTGAATTTGTTTTCTCTTGCTTCTCTAGTTCTTTTAATTGTGGTGTTAGGGTATCTTTCCCACTTTCTCCTGTGGGCATTTAGTGCTATAAATTTCCCTCTAAACACTGCTTTAGCTGTGCCCCAGAGATTCTGGTACATTATGTCTTTGTACTCATCGGTTTCAAAGAACTTACTTATTTCTGCCTTAATTTTGTTATTTGTCCAGTAGTCATTCAGGAGCAGATTGTTCAGTTTCCATGTAGTTGTGCAGTTTTCAGTGAGTTTCTTTATCCTGAGTTCTAATTTGATTGCACTGTTGTCTGACAGATTGTTTGTTATCATTTCCATTCTTTTGCTTTTGCTGAGGAGTGCTTTACCTCCAATTATGTGGTCGATTTTAGAATAAATGTGATGTGGTGCTGAGAAGAATGTATATTCTGTTAATTTGGGATGGAGAGTTCTGTAGATGTCTATTAGGTCCATTTTGTCCAGAGCTGAGTTCAAGACCTGAATATCTTGTTAATTTTATGTCTCGTTGATATGTCTAATATTGACAGTGGGGTGTTAAAGTCTCCCATTATCATTAAGTCAAAGTCTACATCTCTTTGTAGTTCTCTAAGAACTTGCTTTATGAATCTGGGTGCTCCTGTTTTGGGTGCATATATATTTAGGATATTTGGCTTTTCTTGTTGCATTGATCCCTTTACCATTATGTAATGCCCTTCTTTGTCTTTTTTGATCTTTGTTGGTTTAAAGTCTGTTTTATCAGAGACTAAGATTGCACCCCTGCTTTTTTTGCTTTCCATTTGCTTGGTAAATATTCCTCCATCCCTTTATTTTGAGTCTATGTATGTCTTTGCACATGAGATGGGTCTCCTGAATACAGCACAATGAGGGTCTTGACTCTTTATCCAATTTGCCAGTCTGTGTCTTTTAACTGGGGCATTTAGCCCATTTACATTTAAGGTTAATATTGTTATGTGTGAATTTGATCCTGTCATTATGATGCTAACTGGTTACTTTGCCCATTAGTTGATGCAGTTTCTTCATAGTGTTGATGGTCTTTACAATTTGGTATGTTTTTGCAGTGGCTGGTACCAGTTTTTCCTTTCCATATTTAGTGCTTCCTTCAGGAGTTCTTGTAAGGCAGGCCTGGTGGTGACAAAATCTCTCAGCATTTGCTTGTCTGTAAAGGATTTTATTTCTCATTCACTTACGAAGCTTAGTTTGGCTGGATATGAAACTGGATATGAAATTCTGGGTTGAAGATTCTTTTCTTTAAGAATGTTGAATATTGGCCCACACTCTCTTCTAGCTTGTAGGGTTTCTGCACGGACATCCACTATTGGTCTGATGGGCTTCCCTTTGTGGGTAACCCGACCTTTCTCTCTGGCTGCACTTAACATTTTTTCCTTCATTTCAACCTTGGTGAATCTGACAATTACGTGTCTTGGGTTGTTCTTCTCGAGGAGTATCTTTGTGGTGTTCTCTGTATTTCCTGAATTTGAATGTTGGCCTGTCTTGCTAGGTTGGGATAATATCCTGAAGAGTGTTTTCCAACTTGGTTCCATTTTCCCCTTCACTTTCAGGTACACCAATCAAACATAGGTTTGTTCTTTTCACATAGTCCCATATTTCTTGGCAGCTTTGTTCATTCCTTTTCATTCTTTTGTCTCTAATCTTGTCTTCATGCTTTATTTCATTAAGTTGATCTTCAGTCTCTGATATAATTTCTTCCTCTTGATCGATTCGGCTATTAATACTTGTGTATGCTTCACAAAATTCTCGTGCTGTGTTTTTCAGCTCCATTAGGTCATTTCTGTTCTTCTCTAAACTGGCTATTCTATTTAGCAATTCCTTTAACTTTTTTTAAAGGTTGTGAGCTTCCTTGCATTGGGTTGGAACATGCTCCATTAGCTCGGAGGAGTTTGTTATTAAGAGGTTTTCTGGTTTTCGGAATTTTCAGCCTTTTTGCCCTGTTTTTTCCTTATCTTCATGGATTTATCTACCTTTGGTTTTGATATTGCTGACCTTCAGTTGGGGTTTTGGTGAGGAAGTCCTTTTTGTTGATGCTGATGCTATTCCTTTCTGTTTATTAGTTTTCCTTCTAACACTCAGGCCCCTCTGCTGCAGGTCTGCTGGAGTTTGCTGTCGGTCCACTCCAGACCCTGTTTGCCTGGATATCACCAGCAGAAGCTACAGAACAGCCAAGATTGCTGCCCTTTCCTTCCTCTGGAAGCTTTGTCTCACATGGGCACCCACCAGATGCCAGCCAGAGCTCTCCCATATGAGGTGTCTGTCAACCCCTTCTGGGAGGTGTCTCCC
This sequence comes from Homo sapiens, assembly GCF_000001405.40. Classification (NCBI taxonomy): domain Eukaryota; kingdom Metazoa; phylum Chordata; class Mammalia; order Primates; family Hominidae; genus Homo; species Homo sapiens. Next base: position 48,172,680 of record NC_000001.11, read on the forward strand.
CATCAGGAGGCACAGGGGTCAGGTACCCACTTGAGGAGGCAATCTGTCCCTTAGCAGAGCTCAAGTGCTGTGCTTGGAGATCCACTTCTCTCCTCAGAGCCAGCAGTCAGGAATGTTTAAGTCTGCTGAAGCTGTGCCCACAGCCAACCTTCCCCCAGGTGCTCTGTTCCAGGGAGATGAGAGTTTTATCTATAAGCCCCTGACAGGGGCTGCTGCCTTTCTTTCAGAGATGTCCTGCCCAGAGAAGAAGAATCTAGAGAAGCAGTCTGGCTACAGCGGCTTTGTGGAGCTGCAGTGGGCTCTGCCCAGTTTGAAATTTCAGGCCGCTTTCTTTATACTGTGAGGGGAAAACCGTCTACTCAAGCCTCAGTAATGGTGGATGCCCTTCTCTGCACCAAGCTCGAGCATCCCAGGATGACTTCCGACTGCTGTGCTGGCAGCGAGAATTTCAAGCCAGTGGATCTTAGCTTGCTGGGCTCCATGGAGATGGGATCCACTGAGCTAGACCACTTGGCTCCCTGGCATCAGCCCCATTTCCAGGCAAGTGAATGGTTCTCTCTCCCTGGCATTCCAGGTGCCACTGGGTTATGAACAAAAACTCCTGCAGCTAGCTTGGTGTCTGCCCAAACAGCCGCCCAGTTTTGTGCTTGAAACCCAGGGCCCTGGTGGCGTAGGCACCTGAGGGAATCTCCTGGTCTATGGGTTGTGAAGACCATGGTAAAAAGGTAGTATCTCGGCTGGAAAGCACCGCTTCTCATGGCACAGTCCCTCATGGCTTCCCTTGGCTAGGGGAGGGAGTTCCCCAACCCCTTGCACTTCCCGGGTGAGGTGATGCCCCACCCTGCTTCAGCTTGCCCTCTGTGCACCCTCTGTCTAACCAGTCTCAATGACATGAGCTGGGTACCTCAGTTAGAAATGCAGAAATCACCTACCTTCTGCAATGATTTTGATGGGAGGTGCAGACGAGCTGTTCCTATTCAGTCATCTTGCCAGCCACACATGCCCATCTTCATTCCATTATTTCATTTACTCTAAACATACTTTCAGGCAGTTCTTAAAATTTACTCCATTTTAACTATAATGAATCCATGTATGAATGCATTTGTCTTTTTCTGGCTCTTTCATAGTGCTTCTTGAATTGGATGATTCTTGTCTTTTTTAAATTCTGGAAAATTCTCACACATTCTATGTTTAGTTTGACCTCCTTATTCTTCACAGTCTGTTATTATGGAAGTACTATGCTTAACACGTTGCGTCTCTCTGTTTTCTTCGATGTTACCAACAAGATGTCTTAAACTATCACCACCTGCCCCTACAAATGTACACAGGTTAGGATGTTTCATTTATCGTTTTCTGCTTGTGATACAACTTGGCTGTAACAGAAGTTCTTTCAGTGTTGAGGCTCAGAAACTCTCAAAGTTGATATTTAGTCCCTGACTATAATAAGATGTGGGAAGAGGGGACATTTCAAACTCTCCATGTTGGTCCCTTGCCCCACTCATTGAGGAAAGTGAAGTCTATTTTGCAAAATTAAGGCTGAGTCAGTGAAAGAGATCTAACATAACTGCCTCCGTCTTGCTTCTAAAACCCAAACTGTCCTTGTTCATTCCTGGGCATAGGCTGAGCTAACTTTGGGAGAAACTTATTTATAGTTTATAGTTTAAAACTAAGATGATGAGGTGGGGGGCAGCCCCCGCCCGGCCAGCCCCCCCGTCCGGGAGGTGGGGGGCAGCCCCCGACAGGCCAGCCGCTCCGTCCGGGAGGTGGGGGGCAGCCCCCACCCGGCCAGCCACCCCCTGCGGGAGGTGGGGGGCAGCCCCCGCCCGGCCGCTGCCCTGTCCCGGAGGTGGGGGGCGCCTCTGCCTGGCTGCCCCATCTGGGAAGTGGGGAGCCCCTCTGCCCGGCCGCCACCCAATCTGGGAGGTGTACCCAGCAGCTCATTGAGAATGGGCCATGATGACGATGGCAGTTTTGTCGAGTAGAAAGGGGGGAAATGTGGGGAGAAGACAGAGAGATCGGATTCTTGTTGTGTCTGTGTGGAAAGAGGTGGAAATGGGAGACTCCATTTTGTTCTGTACTAAGAAAAATTCTTCTGCCTTGGGATGCTGTTAATCTATAACCTTACCCCCAACCCCGTGCCCTCTGAAACATGTGCTGTGTCCACTAAGGGTTAAATGGATTAAGGGCGGTACAAGATGTGCTTTGTTAAACAGATGCTTGAAGGCAGCATACTCCTTAAGAGTCGTCACTACTCCCTAATCTCAAGTACCCAGGGACGCAAACACTGCGGAAGGCGGCAGGGCCCTCTGCCTAGGAAAACCAGAGACCTTTGTTCACATGTTTATCTGCTGACCTTCCCTCCACTATTGTCCTATGACCCTGCCAAATCCCTCTCTCCGAGAAACACCCAAGAATGATCAATAAATACTAAAAAAATTAAAAAACAAAAACAAAAAAAACTAAGATGATAACAGCCCTTTCCCAAAGCAGGCCTCCTTCTTGCCTGGGGACTAGATTGCCTCTGTAGGACTAACATTAGCTACAAGATTAGAAATTATGGCTAAAGGGCATTGCAGCTTGAGACTACAAGATTCTTACCCTCCCTAAACTGCTCCTAAGATCAGTGCTTGAGATATTTTGCAGACTCTGCAAATTTTAGTGCCTTAATCAATTAAACTCCAATTATATATTTAAAATATTGATTATTTTGAATGTGTTTTAAATGCTTATGTAACAGCAAAATATCACATATAGAGTGATTACAAGCTAGTTGTCATATTTACCTTTATGTCTATTCTAAAATAATAATAATAATGCAAGGTAAAATCATTTCATTGTTATTCTATACTAGTTTTTATATCTAACTAGATATATAATTTGATATATTCTTAAGGTTGTATAATACATATTTTATCACATTTTCCAGTTTACAACAATCTTAGAGAAAATAAAGAGAAAGAAAAAAATTTGAAAGGCATAATGGAAAATATCAGAATATTTTATGTTAAAATCAACAATACAGCACACATAACTTGATGGAACCATTTGAGATCCTGAAAATAAAAATACCTTTAAAGTACTTCAAAAAAGAAAATATGCTTATAAACTTTAAATAGAAAAACTATATTATAAAAAACAGCAGAGAATATTTCTGCAAGATATTAAATTAATTATATAAATACTACATTTTTAAAAGAGTTCTGTAATTGGCCCATGAGAAGAGAGTTCAATGGGGCAGAGTTTGGAAATGCAAATCCTTAGGGGAATTTGGTTTATGACAAAAATAACATCTCGGATATCTGAAGAAAGATGGATTACTTAATAAATAAAAAAACAACTAGGTATTTTTTGAAAAAATAATGTCAGATTTTAATCTCAATTATTATATAAGAAATCATTTTGCATGGGTTAGTTTCAAAATTTAAAATAAATGAAAGAGTCATTGTTATAATCTTGAAATGTGGTCTGGAAAACTCTTACTAAGAAAACGTAGGACTTGGACACTGTGAAAAGAAGAAACTGTTGAATTGTACAACATAAAAATAAGTCACTAAATTGAATTTCAAACTGGTCAAGAATGTATAGAAAAGGTATAACAGATCAAACACTAATTCATTATATTCAAATTTTGGTTCATTAAAATTAAAAATGTCTGCTCTGCAAAAGCTTTTGTTAAGAGAAAAAAAAGACAAGCCACAGACTAAAAAAAAATTGCAAAAGATAGCTGATGAAGGATTCTATGCAGAATATACAAATTAACAGTGTAAAAACAAACCGCACAATTAAAAATAGACAAAATATCTGAACAGATACTTTATTAAAGAAGATAGATGACAAATAAAGATGTTAAAATGCTCAAAATCATATATCATTTAGGAATTGCAAATTCAAACAATGAGATACTACCCTAAACCTATTATAAGTATGGCTGAAATCAAAAATACAAACAAGGACGTGAAGAACAGGAACTCTCATTCATTGCTGGTGGGAGTGCAAAATGGTATAGGAACTTTGGAAGACAGTTTGACATTCTTGCAAAGCTGAATATAAGCTTACTATATAATCTAGAAATTGTGCTTCTAAGTATAACCCAAATTAGTTGAAAACTTGATACAAATGCTTAAAGAGTCTTTTCTAATACTTGTTAAAATTGGAAGCAGTCAAGATGTGCTTCAGTAAGTGAATGAATAAACAAACTATGATAAGTCCATACAATGAACTATTACTCAGTGATAGAAAGAAATGAGTTATGAAGCCATTAAAAGACATGTAGGAAGATTAAATACATATTACTAAGTGAAATAAGTCAGTTTGAAAAGGGCACAGACTGTATGAATCCAACCGTATGAAATTCTGAGTCAGACCTATAGAGACAGTAAAAAGAGCAGTAATTGGCCAGGCTTCAGGGGAAGGGAGGGATGAACAGGTGAAGCACAGGACATTTTTATGATGGTGAAATTATATCCTATGATACTATAACAGTGGATACATAGCATAATACATTTATATAATGAATTTGAGAATTTCAGAGGCTTATCAAGGAAAAAGATAAGCCCACAGGTGGCAGTAGCACACAAAGCTTCTACTTGGACGCTACTTGGACAGGGTTGCAAAAAGAACAGTCCTCACAGCATAAGGCCTTATAGAAGCACAGGGGACCACCATCCAGAACGCAGGAGGACAAAGGAGCTCCCAAGGATGGGAAGGGAGATGCTGCATGTCTAGATAACATCACTTCACAGCATGGTAGGAAGCTGCTGGGTCAGAGGGCTCTGAAGGGCAGCAGCCTGCAGTTTATGTAACTACAAGATTTTTCTTATCTATGGCCGGCAGATGTTGGGTGCAGTTTCCCAAGGTGTACAAAGCAGGAAGACATAAAATGGCAAAAAAAATCTGCCTGTTGGAGATATATTTACAACAACTGGATGCGAAAACATTTCAGTTTGGCACTGTGGGCTTTTGAGCTAATGAGTCTCAGCCTGATTTAAGAAGTAAGCAACAAAGGGCCAATATGCAAAGGCCATCTCTGGCTCATTTATATAACAATTTGTTAAATCCTAGAGAATGGTACAACACAGAGTGTCTAATGTAAACTTGGACTTTTGTTAATAATAATCTATCAATATTGGTTCATTAATTTCAATAAATGTATCACACAAATGCAAGAGGTTATCAAAAGGGGAAACTCTGTGGGAGGGGGGCAGGTAGGGAAGAGGGAGTGGGGCTATGTGGGAACTTTATATACCTTCTGCACAATTTTTCTGTGAACCTAAAACTTCTATAGAAAATAAAGTCTATAAAAATGTTAAAAGTCAATGAGGAGAAAAAGGAGAGCGAAATAAATGGAAACTTGGGGGAAATTTTGTAATTCACAAAATAAAATCAAAAGTCAAAACCAAATAATTCTGCACATCCAAAATATAACTAACAAGTCCATTGAATTATAAACTGGTCAGAAACACATGCAACAGTTATAACAGATCAAAAAGAGATTTGTGCAAGTTTAATGCAAAGGAAATGTGGAGTAAGGCATTAAGTAGGCAGTTTAGAGAAAATGAATACAATTTTTTGAGAGGAAAGAAGGCCACCCTAACTCAATAAACAAGTAAAATATTATCACTGTGAGTTTCTATTTTTCATCTGTAAATTTGGAAAATACAAAAAACCCTGAAACCTGTAACACCCACCTGACAAACTCACATATGCTGTTGGTGGACATGTACACTGGTAACTATTTCAGAATATTTTTGATATCGTAATAAAAACAGCACATAGCCTTTGACAAAATAGTTCTATTCATAGAAATATTTCCTACATTCTTACTTACAGATATGCTCAAAACATATGTACAAGGGTGTTTGTGGCAGCTTTCGTTTTATTAGCCAAAGACTGGACACTACCCAACTACACATTGGTAAGATTTGTACCATGTAACAAGTAGCTTTTGCCAGAAATTTTAAATCTTGTATGCCACTTATTGGTTCAGGATTTTAATGTATATGTCTCTAAATAAACTATATTTATGTCTGCTTTGCATTGATCCCCTTCCACTGCAAATTTTCATCACCTATCGAGGTCCCACCAGCCTATTGTGTCTTTGCTTATCTTACTGTACAGATAACTCACATGGATTCCAATATGGACCACAATTTGGACAGCTTCTTCATTGTATAAGATATAAGTAAATCATGTCACCTCAATACAAATATTGAGTTCTTGAGGGCAAATGTTAGGTCTTCTTCATTTGTTGTTGTTTTTTTTTTTCTCCCTGGAACCTAATACATGATAAAGACTTGCTGATTAGAAGTAATTTTTCCTAACCATAAGACAGTTCTTATAGTACATATCCTCATTACATAACTATGTATTAAACCTAAGGAAAATGCTCAAGAGTTTGTCCCTTTTGTTTGGTCCTTGCTTTTTCTGGCACACTTCATATTGCCAAGGCCCGTAAGGGTAAGAGAGAGAGTCATACCTGAACTTGATATTGTCATCTGGAGGAGATTCATAACAACAAAGTATCTGGAGAAAGATAGCCCTGTAGTTTCCATTATACCTGTGATAAGAAATTAGGCAGGTTCAGTGAGAACAGGATTAATATGTCACAGAAATCACATATCTCCACATCTTCCTGCAGTAATTAACTCTCAAATAGAGTTACCAGATGAAACGTAGAACCCCCAGTTAGATTTGAATTTCAGATCGGCAGTGCAAGTTTTTTGGTATAAATATTTCTTGTGCATCATATAATTTTTATTTTCTAAATCTGGTAACTCTACTTTTAAGATGTTCAATATAATGACCAAGTCCAGCCAGAGGCTTCTTTCTCATTAAAGGATTTCTTCCTCCCAGGCTAGATGTCATTTGTCTTCTGGTGTTGTAAATTTCATCAGGTGAACCTGCTTTTCCAGAGAAAGTGGCAGCAGATCTAGGGAGTAGGTCTTGTTCTCCAAAACCTTAGCCTAAGCATCTGCCACATTTAGTTACATTTAGGTTCAAAGAAAAATTTAAAGACATCTTTAGATCTATTATTCTTATGGAATGAATAAGTAACCACTTTATAAGAGAATATGACTTTCTTTTCTTTAGTTGTGGCAATCCCTCAGAATTTCCTGCTTCTGAAGAACTCACAAATAGAGACAGATGAATGAGCCTATATGGCCATGGAGAACAAAGGGTAAAACACAATTGCATATTTTAGTCTAATGTGAAGGTTTTTCATCAGTTCTATAATGTTTTGGCTTTTGATTCAGCAGACAAATGTGATGGTTATCTATCCCTCAACAAAAAAAGTTTGCTAGATTCTAGGGTCATAGACAAGTGAACAGACACTTGGATAGTAACAATAATGTAAAACTGCCATCTTATGTACATGGGCAGTTCTTGCAACCTTGGAGAGCAATTCACTCTGCAGCATCATGGCAGGGAGAAGATCCACAAAGTGAAGACTTTACTAGTGAGGTGGTGTCAACATTTTGAAGAATGAGGTGGTTATCTCATAGAGTATAAAGGGAATGGGGACATACACCAGATTCAATATGCAGAAACCCTACTGAGCAAGGGAAATTGAGGAATATATTTGTCTATCAAGATTAAGGAATGAGGCAGAGAGCACACTGTGAAGGGCTTCATATGCTAGGGTAATGAATTTAAGCTTTATCCTCTAGGATAGGAACTACTAAGAGGCTAAGAGGTAGTATGCATAGTGATTAAAAGCGAGGTCCTAAAATGGTACTGCTAAGTAGAAATCCTGTTTTTACTATTTAGTTGTATGAACTTAAGCAAGTTACTATAAAAACACTCTGTGACTCTGTTTATTCAGCTGTAAGTAAGGAATAATAATTTTTCCTCATTACATTTATTGTTGGAATTGATTGAATTATTATATATAAAGTGGTCATAATGGTGCCTAATAGGTACTATACTATAAAGTATAAGTACTACAAGAAAATTAAGAATGATAAAGTATTTGTTCACTCATCATTTTTAGTATATTGAATTTTATTGTTTAAGAGGGATAAAAAGCAGGGGCTTTGGAACCAGATTCAAATCTCGACTCATAATTTTCATTAAAACAAAAAAGTCCTCATTGTCCTCAAGTTTTAGTTACTGCTTCCTGCTCCTGCTCCCTCAAGCCCAGGCCTGGTCACAATCCTTTTATTTTAGCTCCAGGATATTGCAATAGGATTTCCCTACACCTTATTCACACATTTGTAAATGATCTTTTATTTGAATGCCCCAAAATTTGAGCATTTCAACTTTTTTTTTTTTTATTAGAACCACGACTGATGAGGAACTGGTACTTAAAGTGTCTCCCAGAAAGAAACCCTCCAAATATGATTCTGAAATTGGTTTTCTTATGTATTCGAGGAGGGCACAGCTAATGTATGGATGCAATTTGCCAATATTTGAGGTACAAAGATTAACTGCAAGTGAGGAGTAAGGTACAGAGAAGAAAACAAAATGACTTGTTTGCTATGGCAAAAAATAGTAATTGTAAAGACTGTGCAGTCCTCTACCTTCTTCAGACTACCCTGGAAGACGGACTTAAGGAAAAGGGGCAATTTAAAGTTCTAAATAGACAACTGAGAACATGTTCGAAAAACCCAGAGGTCTCCATTTCAGCTCTGAAGGAGTCCCTCATCTTCTCCCTAGCCAAAAGACATGCAGTAGAGGACTTTTAGTTTTCAGGAACCTAATAGGTTAGATGGGCACATCTATAATTAAAGGGACACTCATTCACCTTGAAGGGACAGATACTCTGTTATTGGATCTGATGTCCCTGCCAGCAGCACTTCTTAATGCACAACTCATATACATACAGAATGCCCTTTCATTCCATGATATCCCATACAACAGCAGTCCCCAACCTTTTTGATACCAAGGACAGATTTCATGGAAAACAGTTTTTCCATGGACTGGGGGAAGGGAGGATTAGTTTGGTGATGTATCAAGTGCCTTAAATCTATTGGGCAGTTTATTTCTACTATTATAGCATTGTAATATGTAATGAAATAATTATGCAACTCACCATGATGTAGAATCAGTGGGAGGCCTGACCTGGTTTTCCTGCAACTAGATGGTCCCACCTGGGCGTGACAGTGGGAGACAGTGACAGATCATCAGGCATAAGGAGCATGCAATTTAGATCCCTCACATGCACAGTTTACAATAGGTTTCGCACTCCTATATTAATCTAATGCTGCTGCTGATCTGACAGGAGACGGAGCTCAGGAGGTAATGTGAGCACTGGGGATGACCTATAAATACAGATGGAGCTTCGCTTGCTGGCCCTGCACTCACTTCCTGCTGTTGGCCTGATTTCTAACAGGCCATGGAGCAGCAACAGTCTGTGGCCCAGGGGTGGGGACCCCTGCTATACAACATTGTCTCTCACAAACAGAATCATTTTACAGCAAATGAAGCACAGCAATGGGCTTAACACCATGACATTCTCTAGTCTCACCACATTCCCACAACTCAGATACAGCTGACTTCATAAAGCCTGTAATAGGCTCAGGTAGGACATGTGGGACATGCCTTAAACTAGTGGCTAACTACAGGACTGTCAAGTCCCTGGAAATGTGGAATGGAGTTCCCTCTAGATGGCACAAAGAAGAGAGAGGAATAAAAATGAAGACCATCAATGAAGCAAGGACTATGTCCGTAAATCTTACTAAATCTACTCACCTACTTGAGCCAGGTGATCCAAATCAGTTCTCTGTTGTCCCTACAGAATGAGTCTCAATTGAGTCACATGAATTTCAACAGTGCTTCAGCAGTTTTCTTGTAGCTAAGGCAGGATGTGCCAGAGTGAGATGGGGATCAGGCAAACTGCCTATCAAAGCCCTTTCCTCTGCTGTCAAACTCAGGGAATCTGATTCTGCCAGCCTGATTCTTATGTTCCAGTCCAAGGGAAATTCCCAGGGGACTGGCTGCTTCAACCTGTGGGTAGAACTCTTTGTTCAGCTTCAGTGATCACAGCTGGCAGTATGAAAGTACTAACATGACACGCCTCACTCTGAAGGAAAGCAAGATGTAACCTGATGTACATATTTCATGTAATTGGTGCTGAACAAAATGGCTGCGATGAGTTTATTTTGAATGCTGAACCTGTACCTAGAAAGGAAAGGAGGGAAGCTGTGGAAGCACAAATAAAAGGCACTAAATTCAGATTAAGCATTCAAGGAAGGTTTAGGAAGCTGATAATGGCTGAGAGGAGTCTTAAAATAAAATTACCCGCTAAGCCCAGTTAAGAAAGGCTTAACTGAGTAGTCTTTCCAGGCTAAGGAAGCAATAGTTTGAAAGACACAGGAGAAGATGGGCAACTCAGAAATTTTCAAGCAGTTTACTGTGGCTGGAATGGGAGTTCGGATGGGAGGGAAGGATGAGAGGTGAGCTGAAGAGAGAAACAAAGGTAAAATGATGAAGAGTGTAATTTCAATAAATATATGATATATATTTCATATATTTCATATATGAAATATGTTTCAATATATATATTTCAATAAATATATGATATATATTTCATATATTTCATATATGAAAGTAACTATTTATAGATAATAAAGGTTATATAAATGCATAAGTACAGATAACATAGGTACATATATAAGTACATGTATAACATGTACAGGTATACATGTGTAAAATATGTATACAATGTACACATGTACATGTACATATTTATAAATGATTACGCATATTTATGCATGTTTACATATATGTTCATATGCATGAGTTTATATGTACACAAGTATATATATTCATACAGCACATGTGTACGTGTAAATGGTGATCCATGTATGTACGTACAGTCATCCTTTGGCATGCTCAAGTGATTCGTTCTAGGATCCACGAGGATAACAAAATTCGAGGACACTCAACTTAATGTTTGCACAGAACCTGCACACATCCTCCTATGTATGTTAAATCATCTCTAGATTACTTGTAATAGCTAAATTGATATAAAATACTATGTAAATACTTGCTATGCTTTATTATTTTTTATTTGTATTATTTTTGTTGTATTGTTCATTTTTATTTTTTTGTATTTCTTTAAGTTTTATTTTAGGTTCAGCGATATATGTGCAGGTTTGTTATATACATAAACTGCATGTCATGATGTATCTCAACCTTAACCTCACATCTTAAACAAAATTTAATATGAGATGGAAATTTAAATGTAAAAATTAAAATATAATGTATAAACCATAGAAGAATATTATGAAAACATGGGGTAGGCAAAAACTGGGGGAAGATACAAAAAGCAGTAACTATAAAAAAAAATGATTCAAATCTCATCAAAATTAAAGACGTCTTATTAAAAGCACCATTAAGAATATAATAAGGCAAGACAGACCATGGAAATATGTGGGCATCTTAGACATCCAACAAAGGGCTTATATCCAGAATATATAAAGAACTCCTACACCTCAATATTGATTTTGAAAACAACCCAATTTTAAAAGGGCAAAAGACTTAGACACTTTAAGAAAGAAGATAGAGCCAATAAATACAAGTGCTGAACACACTCACTATTAGAGAAATGCAAGGTAAAACTATAATGAGATTTCACTTCAGAACCACTAAAATAGCTGAAATTTAAAAACTGACAACACTAAATGTTGGCAAGGATGTGGATAACTGGAACTCTCATACATTTAAAGTTGTGCCTAAGACTGGCAGTTTCTTATACAGTTAAGCATGCATCTGCTCCATGACCTAACAATTCCACTCTGACATGTATCCAATAGAAATGAAAGCATGTCTGCAAAAGTCCTTGTATAAGAATGTTCATAGCAATCTTATTCATACTAGCCCAAAAGTAGAAATAGCCCAGATGCCCATCAACAAGAAAATGGATAAACTAAATTGTATTTTAACCATAAAAATACTACTCAGCAATTAAAAAAAAACTAATGAAACATGCAACAGCATGGATGAATCTCAAAATATTATACTAAATAAAAGAAGCAAGACAAAATATGTACTATATGATTTCATGTATATGAGCATCTGAAACAGGCAAAGACAAAATAAGTTGGAAAACCTCAGAAGGGCTATCACTGAAGGAGTGGGGATTGATTAGTAAGGGGCAAGAGAGAACTCTCTGGAATAATTGAAGTGTAGTTAGGTACATGGGTTACACAGGTATATACAATTCATTGCACTGTACACTTAATTTATTTCACTGTATTAAATTATACCTTGATTATAAACAAAAAAAGATTCCACTGGTTACCTCATTGTTTTAAATGTGGGTAAATAGAAAAAGCAAAATGATAAATTAGTTGATAACCAGAATGGAGAATTTTCCATCTCGCACTCTATTATTTTTCCTTGGAAATGTTTACATGTCTCTATACTACTTTATAATTTCCTTAACAATTGCCAAAGCCAAATCCCAAGGTGTGAGTGAGAAAGACACAAAGGATAAATAGTAAAATATTTTTCTAAGGGAAACATTAGAGTGTTTTAGTTTTGGATATTGGCCAGAAGCAACAGTAAAACATAGCAGGTAAGACTGTAAGTTTGTAAGGCTTAGAATAGTGCACCACAGAAATGCAGTACCTTTGATGAGGGAAGCCTGAAAATATTAGATGGTTAAGGAGTTGGGACTGATCTCAAGACTTAAGGTCTAAAAAAAGGTATCTTTCATATCTTAACTCAAATATTCATTCATGAAGCACTTATCTATGGAGTGTTATTGTATGCAAGGCACATTCCAGTGCAGTTCTATCCAATAGAAATCTAAAGTACACAACAAAGATAGGAGCAGAATTCAATGAAAGTGAAAAACCATATTAAAGAGAAACTAAAACAAGTCTCTTGTAAAAGATCAATAAAATTAATAGATCTCTACTGAGACTGATGAAGAAAAATGGAGTAAAAACACAAATTACAAATATTAGAAAGAAAAGATGGAACATTATGAGAGACCCCACAGACTTTTCACAGGAAGATAAGGGAATCCTACAAACAACTCTATGCCCATAGCTTTAACAACTTATATGGCATAGAACAATTCTTTCCAAGACACAAACTAACAAGCCCCACTTAAAAGAAAAGAGATAATGTGAATAGTCATATATAGCTACTAAACAAAATAATCTGTAGCTAAAAACTTTCCAGGAAATAAAAATAGGCCATGGTCCAAATGGCTTCACCGGCAAATCCTATCAAGCATTTAAGAAAGAAACTACATCAATTTTATACAATCTCTTCCATAATATAAAAATGAATACTTTATAATTTTTATGAGACCAGAATTGTTCTGATATTAAAATCAGACAAATTCATTACCAAAAGAAACACTACAGATCAAGGTACCTTATGAACATAGATGCGAAACTTATCAACAAAATATTAGTGAATCTAACAACGTGTAGAAAGGATAATACATCGCAACCAAGTGAGGTGAATCCTAGGAGCCCAAGGCTGGTTCAACATTACAAGCCAATCAATATGTACTCCACTATTGAATGAAAGATGAAAAACTATGATAATATCAAGAGATGTAGGAAAAAGTATTTTTCAAAATTAAAAATAAATTGATGGTTTAAAAAATCTCTTAGGAAGCTTAGAGTTAAGGAGAACTTCAAGCTGAGAAAGTGCATCTACAAAAATCTACATATAACATTATTCTTAATGGTGAAAAACTGTATGTCTGAGGGGCATAAAGCAGAATGAAAGGCCAAGGCAAGTTTTAGAGCAGTAGTGAAAGTTTACTAAAAATTATTAGAGCAGGAACAAAAGGAAGTAAAGTACATTTGGAAGAGGGCCAAGTGGGTGATGTGAGAGATGCGAGTGCACTGTTTGACCATTGACTTGGAATTTTATATGTTGGCATGCTTCTAGCATTTTTTAATCTTCTCCCCAATTCTTCCCCTGGGGGGAGGGACTGTCTATATGTGCAGTGGCTTGCCAGCAATTGGGAGGGGTTGCATGCACTGTGTGTTTACTGAAGTTATGTGCATGCTCATTTGAGGCATTTTTCCCTCTAGCGTTCTTCTAGTATTTTTAGAGGGTGGTCATATACCAATTGAACTCCATCATTTTGCCTCAGTGCACATGCTTAAGCACGTGCCAAACTCCTTAAATCTTATCAGGAAGCTGCTCATCACCAGCTTTAGGTGTTTCCTATTTATTGGGAGACTCTCTTTTCCTGTCACCAGCCATGATAAATTATTATCTTAGAGAGACAGTTGAACAACCACATGACCATCACCCGATGGTTGCCTGACATTCCTGGGGAGGGGGACCTCTCTTTCCTTGCTCACACCTGCCTAACTACCTACTCTAACATTTTCCCCCTCAAGAATTCAAGACCCAATTCTTTGGGAAAATGGACAAAGGTCAGTCTTCTGAAACTGTTTCCTACTGATGAGGAGGTGGTGGTGCTTGTTCTATGGGCCTTGGCTTCTTGCTAGCTCTCAGAACAGTGTGGCTCTGTGAGTTAGTGAAAGTGGTATCCAGTCAGGGCCAAGGGAGACAGGGGTGGGATTTCACTTCTGCTGTGTCCCTCTGATGGCTGGTCAAAGAGTCCTCGGTAGAAGGGTGACTTTTGAATATTGACAGGATGGTATCCCTCACTGAGAATCATCTGGAGCTTGATGGGCTGAAGGCAAGAGGAGACAAATCAGTTATTAGATTTAGAAGACATGGACCACAAAGGATCAAATGTAGGAGACTAACAAGTGAGCCTATAAAAGAAAGAACACAGAAGAACTATTTCAAGTTTCCTTCCCAATTTAGCCAACCCAAAGAGGTTTGTTCCTATAAATTGGAGGCTCGTTTTAGGAGTTGTCTGATGTTGCCTTATACTTTTCTAAATTGATTTACCCAAAAGCAACATTTTTTCATCTAAGGCTAAACAAAATTCCTTCCTGTGCCACCATTAACATATCTAGTCCTTGATAATTTTAGAAGACTATAGCTGCTAAAGAACCTATTTATCCTTGCATAATTAAGGTTTTAGCCACGGCATCAATATTGTCGGCTATTTCCTTTGAGAGTTGGCAATAGATTAAGGAGGCTTTTGTGATTCCAGCAATTCCAGTTTCTGCACCAGCTATCATGCCAAGTCCCACAAGAAGGGGGATTAATTGAATAATGCTCCTCACCCCAGCCAGGAAAGATGGAATGGCCATAGACTGGTACTGGAAGAGAGAGATTGCCAGGGGCTATGTAGATGTCAGGGGATAGATAGCCTGTGATACAAGTCCTAGACCAGTTAGTGAGGAGGCATTGGTGAAAGGATTGGCCACAAATAGAGAAGGCTCCTTGGGTTTTAAACCAAGTAGAAATGTCAAAACAGAATAGAAGTTTGACTTGTTCCAGCATAGGTAAGGGGCATGGCTAACTCCTTTTGTCCCCAGTCCTTACATATAATTTAATGGCTTTAAAACAGGCAAATTGTACAGTTAAGAGTCACAGTAGCAGTTTATGAAGGATTTATTAGGCCTAATAGCCTGTAAAATTGTGCATTTTTATAAATTTCTTTTCACAATTCTTTTCATGACTTACATAGACCATCTACAACATGCTTAAGCTTTCTGACATATCCTAAACATCCCTCTTTTTAAATGACTAGTCATTTTACTTAAGGACAAGAATTTACCATACAATATCCTTTTTTAGACAAAATATTTTCTTTATAACCTTCCTTACCAAGAAAAATACCTCTTTATAACTTCTGAATTAGACAAAAGTCATTTTCCCTTTGTTGGGAAGTTATGTTTGTACTATGTGTTGCTGTGTGAGTCTTGTGACAGGGGAGTAGATAAAGAGGTTATCTATGTATGTATAAGTTATCCTCCCTCAAGAGATTGCTTGGTTAGATTTCCCTAGGGCTTGTCCAAATAAGTATGGACTATTCTAAACCACTAAGGTAAGACTGTCCAGGTTGAACTTATTGGTTAAATATTTTTGTAGCTTACCCCAGGAGAAATAGGGCTATTAGAAAGAAAGGTGAATTTAGAGGTTGAGTAAATATTAAGCAGGCACTCATTTTGGAAAGTATATTTTTGCCCCAAAGAGGTATTGAGTATTTAGACATTACCAGGGACTCGTGGAAGAATTGTAATTGGTCCCTTAAGTTATATAAAGGGGTGTGGATCTTTTCTTTTGGAGAGAGGAGGTGTCATTTGCCCCCATTACCCAACAGGATTTGTGGGAGAGTTGTTCAGAGAAGGAGATTAGTGAAGTAGGCAGCTCTTGGACCTAAGAGGGATTTATAATTTTACTTTTCAACTCCAGAGTTGCCCTTGGCTTCATCTTGTTGATGATGATGTCTCATTTGTAAGCCAATCAGAGTAGTGAGCCTCTTCAGCTCAAGACCACCATGATGGGTTGGGATTCTGTCCCAGGGGCCCTTTGGAACCCAGGGAAGTCCCATTACCAGTGGCCAAGCTTGTGACAGAGGAAGCAAGCTGTGCAGGGCTTTTTCCCATTTATCCTATTGGGACAGTTTGCCTTCCAGTGCCCTGGCTTCCCACACTGATGGCAGGAACCTGGGAGTATATTCTGACGACAACCTGGGGGGAGGCTGCAGGGCTTGTAGAGCAGCCAATAGTTGAGCCTGCCTCTTGTTCTTGCATTTTCCCTTTTCCTTACCCCTGTCCTCCTTATTCCACTGTCAATTAGAAAAGACTGAGGAGGCTAATTTGAGGTTTTCCTGCATGAGGCACTGGGTTCTAAGCTGACTTTTGTAATTGCCTCCCCTTTGTTAAGGATGGATCTGAGGGGCATGTCCTGTGGTATAGAGATGCAATTACCCATCTGTGAAAAGGGAACAGAAAATAAAAAAGGAAAGAATGTGTCTCCTCTTATTTCCCTATTATCCTTTCCTGAACAGGTCATCGCCCATTTGTCCATAGGGTTCTGGAATGAACCAGTCTCACCAGGTACCCTTAACCTTGGTCTTGGTCTCATCTCATCACAATTACCCTCTTGAGAACAGAGGAGATACTAGGGTAAACACAGGGATCCTATTCATTTCCAGGGTTCTGAAATTAACCAGTCTTATGGGTACCCCTAACCTTGCCTTCCTCTCTGTTCTATTGGTAATCTGCCCTGGGGTCAGCCTTCATCTCTCTGTCCTATGGGCACGTCTGTCTCTTGCATCTGCAGCCTTGGGCTGGCCTATATCCTTGTCTCCATGACCTTATAGTGACTCTAGCTTGGGGCATTCTGGCAACAAAATGATTATCTCTTTTCTTATAATCACATTTCCCCATGCTTTTTAAATATATGAGAAGCCTATTTTTTAGCTAATTTCTGCAAGAGGGCTGGACTTACCTCCCTTCAAATATGACCTTAAAAGTCTTGAGGTATACTAAGAAGGGCATGAAGATGATTAGAGGAATGGAGGAAATTTTGTATTTTGGGTTCCTCATCCTCCCAGGGTAATGTGCAGAAAAAATACTTGAGCAGACAGGACCATCCTATTACTATAGGAGGAAGCTGGAGGAAGAAGGGGGATACTCAAGGAAAGGCTTCATGTGCTTGCAAAAACGACAGCCCTTGGATTTGAGATGGCAACATTTATTTGCCCTTTTGACATAAATGAGAAATTCTGCAAGATGTGGGGCTTGGGATAAGGGCTCACAAATGCAAAGGAAGAATTTTCCCTCCTACCAAATGGGTGCTAACTCATAAAAAGCAAGTAGATGGGGTCCTTAAAGGGCCATAGAGGGAAGCCCTCTGCAGGTGAACAAATTGCTTCAAGAGCCACTGAAAAACTTGGCTATGGAGCATAACAGGGACAAAAAACATAGGGTAAGTCATAAGAAGCTGGCAGAGCCATGGTTCTAATTACTGTCTGTCCCAGCAATAAGCCAAAAGACATCCACAGGGGAGCCTGTTTCCTTGCAGCTGCACAAATGCAGCAAGAGCCACAGGTGTATGAATAATAGGGAGTGTGTGTTTAAGGCAGAGAAGGAAGTCTTATGGCATGTGAAGTGAAAGCAGAGAAGAGACATACTTGCCTTTGAGACAGACTGTCCAGTGGGTGTGCAAGGCCATTTCAGAATACACACCGAGAAAACAGGAGAGTAGGCAGTGTGGGTTTTGCGGAAAGACCTCATTTTCATTTCAAACGCAGAGGAAGCCCCAGACATGGCACCATCCTAGGCTTTAGCCCTACCACTCTCTCGAGCCTCCTGTCCAGAAGGGCTATTAGTGGCTCAGATCTGTTTGATGTGGACTTCAAGGTCTTTTCCACCTCCACAAGCCACTCATCAGTGTGAGATGAGAGATCAGCTGTGGGGAGCAGAGCCACTGTTAGCCCCAAGGGAAGAATCAGGGGAGGAATCATTCTGGGCGTTGCTTAGTAAGCAGGAGAGCAAAAGGGGAGAAGGAAACCACATAAGGAGGTTGAATACCTCCAGCCCAAGAAGGAAAGGCATAGAGGTATCTTACCACTAGGGAACGTATGTGAGTCATGGCACTGAAGTATGTTAGCAGTGGCAAAGACATACAAGTCAGCAGCAACTCGATTCTTGCCTCCTTGAAGGAAATAATTCACCCAAGGATTATAGGCAGAATGAAAGACCAGAGCAGGAGTGAAAGTTTATGAAAAATTATTGGAGCAGCAGTGAAAGCAAGTAAAGTACATTTGGAAGAGGGCCAAGCAGGTGATTGGAGATATCCAAGTGTGCTGTTTGACCTTTGACTTGAGGCTTTATCTGTTGGCATGCTTCCAGGTTTTTCATCTCTTCTACCCCAATTCTTCCCTTGGGGTAGACTGTCTGTATGTGCAGTGACCTGCTAGCACTTGGAAGTGGCCACATGTGCAGTGTGTTTACTGAAGTTGTGCACCTGCTCATCTGAGGTATTTTTCATTTTTCCCCCGCCAGTCGAGTGGTGACCAATTACTACTTTAGAGAGAAAATTTAACATCCCCCATGACTATCATCTGATGGTCACTTGACAATTCTGGCAGACTTAAATGTAAGGCTCAAACTATAAAAATTCTGGAAGACAACATAGGTGATACCATCCTCGAAATAGGAACGGGCAGAGATTCACCTCTCCCTCTCCCTCTCCCTCTCCCTCTCCCTGTCCCTCTCCCTCTCCCCACGGTCTCCCTCTCTTTCCACGGTCTCCCTCTCATGCGGAGCCGAAGCTGGACAGTACTGCTGCCATCTCGGCTCACTGCAACCTCCCTGCCTGATTCTCCTGCCTCAGCCTGCCGAGTGCCTGCCATTGCAGGCACACGCCGCCACGCCTGACTGGTTTTGGTGGAGACGGGGTTTCGCTGTGTTGGCCGGGCTGGTCTCCAGCCCCTAACCGCGAGTGATCCGCCAGCCTCGGCCTCTCGAGGTGCCGCGATTGCAGACGGAGTCTCATTCACTCAGTGCTCAATGGTGCCCAGGCTGGAGTGCAGTGGCGTGATCTCGGCTCGCTACAACCTACACCTCCCAGCCGCCTGCCTTGGCCTCCCAAAGTGCCGAGATTGCAGCCTCTGCCCGGCCACCACCCCGTCTGGGAAGTGAGGAGTGTCTCTGCCTGGCCGCCCATCGTCTGGGATGTGAGGAGCCCCTCTGCCTGGCTGCCTAGTCTGGAAAGTGAGGAGCGTCTCCGCCCGGCCGCCATCCCATCTAGGAAGTGAGGAGCGCCTCTTCCCGGCCGCCATCACATCTAGGAGGTGAGGAGCGTCTCTGCCCGGCCGCCCATCGTCTGAGATGTGGGGAGCGCCTCTGCCCCGCCGCCCCATCTGGGATGTGAGGAGCGCCTCTGCCCGGCCGCGACCCCGTCTGGGAGGTGAGGAGCGTCTCTGCCCGGCCGCCCCGTCTGAGAAGTGAGGAGACCCTCTGCCTGGCAACCACCCCGTCTGAGAAGTGAGGAGCCCCTCTGCCCGGGGGCCACCCCATCTGGGAAGTGAGGAGCGTCTCCGCCCGGCAGCCACCCCATCTGGGAACTGAGGAGCGTCTCCGCCCGGCAGCCACCCCGTCTGGGAGGGAGGTGGGGGGGGTCAGCCCCCCGCCCGGCCAGCCGCCCCGTCCGGGAGGGAGGTGTGGGGGGTCAGCCCCCCCGCCCAGCCAGCCGCCCCGTCCGGGAGGTGAGGGGTGCCTCTGCCCGGCCGCCCCTACTGGGAAGTGAGGAGCCCCTCTGCCCAGCCAGCCGCCCCGTCGGGGAGGGAGGTGGGGGGGTCAGCCCCCCGCCCGGCCAGCCGCCCCGTCCGGGAGGGAGGTGGGGGGGTCAGCCCCCCGCCCGGCCAGCCACCCTGTCTGGGAGGTGAGGGGCGCCTCTGCCCGGCCGCCCCTACTGGGAAGTGAGGAGCCCCTCTGCCCGGCCAGCCGCCCTGTCCTGGAGGGAGGTGGGGGGGTCAGCCCCCTGCCCGGCCAGCCACCCCGTCCGGGAGGTGAGGGGCGCCTCTGCCCGGCAGCCCCTACTGGGAAGTGAGGAGCCCCTCTGCCCGGCCACCACCCCGTCTGGGAGGTGTGCCCAACAGCTCATTGAGAACGGGCCAGGATGACAATGGCGGCTTTGTGGAATAGAAAGGCGGGAAAGGTGGGGAAAAGATTGAGAAATCGGATGGTTGCCGTGTCTGTGTAGAAAGAAGTAGACATGGGAGACTTTTCATTTTGTTCTGCACTAAGAAAAATTCTTCTGCCTTGGAAAAAAAAAAAAAAAAAAAAGGAACAGGCAAAGATTTTATGACAAAGACACCAAAAGCAATCACAACAAAAGCAGACATTAACAAATGGGATCTAATTAAACTTAAGAGTTTCTGCACAGCAAAAGAAACTATCAATAGAATAAATAGCCTACAGAAGAGGAGAAAATATCTGCAAACTATGCATCCAACAAAGGTCTAATATCCTGCATCTATAAGGAGCTTAAACAAATTTACAAGAAAAAAAATAAGCAACCCCATTAAAAAGTAAGCAAAAGACATAAACAGACATTTTTCAAAAGATGACAAACACACATAGCCAACAAGCTTATGAAAAAAGAAGCTCAATATCACTGATCATTAGAGAAGTGCAAAGCAAAACCACAGTGAGATACCATCTTACACCAGTCAGAATGGCTATAAAGGTCAAAAAATAATAGGTGCTAGAGAGGTAGTGGGGAAAAGGGAATACTTATACATTGTTGGTGGGAATGCAAATTAGTTCAACCAATGTGGAAAGCAGTATGGTGATTTCTCAAAGAGCTGAAACAGAACTACCATCTGACCCAGCAGTCTCATTACTAGATATATACATGGAGGAATATGAATCATTCTACCATAAAGATACATGCATGCAAATGTTCATTGCAGCACTGTTCACAACAGCAAAGACGTGGAATCAACCTAAATGCCCATCAATGACAGATTGGATGAAGAAAATGTGGTACGTATATACCATGGAATGCTATGCAGTCATAAAAAAGAACAAGATCATGTGCTTTGTGGGAACATGAGCTGTTGTGGGAGCTGGGGCTATTATCCTTAGCAAACTAACACAGAAACAGAAAAAATAATATCGAATGTGCTCACTTATAAGTGGAAGTTAAATGATGAAAACTCATGAACACAAAGAAGGGAACAACAGACACTGGGGTCTGTTCGAGGGTGAAGGGTGGGGAGGAGGAAGAGGAGCAGAAAAGATAACTATATGTGTACTAGGTTTAATACCTGGGTGATGAAATAATCTGTACAACAAACCCCTGTTACACGAGTTTACCTACATAACAAACCGGCACCTAAAATAGAAGTTAAAAAAAAAAAAACTTGAAGTCAAAGAAAAAAAAACTGCCTTTGTAGATGATATGATTCTTTCTACAGAAAATCCCAAGGAATCTCAAAACGAACAAACAAAACCCTCGTGAAATTGATAAGTAGTTATAGAAAGGTTTAGGATACCAAAGTCAATTGCTTTCAGTTGTATCTTTGCAATTTCCTGTGAATGTATAATTATTTCAAAACAAAAAAAAAAGTCTTAAATGGAAAAATGACCTACTCTCATAAACCACAAATATATGTAATCTTGCTTGGGCTTGATAAATAAATGGTGATAACTTACAAAATGACAAGAAGAATTACTGTTCTCTTTTGGATTTATTGATGGGAGGTAAGCCGAGGAATCCACCAAAAACCTCTGGAAATGAAATAATTTATTTTAATATTAACTTATACTGAATCATGCACACAACTGTAGCCTCACCTTTCAAATAATATTAGTATTAACATTTTGGTATATTTCCATCCAGTATTGTGTGTGTGCTAAAAATTGAAGAATTCCAAAACTTTACCGTTCATGAGAATTACCTGCAGGGTTTTTTTAAAGACAAACCACTGGCAACACTCCAGAGTGTCTGACTCAGTAGCTCTAGGTGGAGTGCAAGAACTTGCTAACAAGTTCCCACGTAGTGCTGATAATATTGATACAGGGAACACATTTTTGGAATGCTTGACAAACACTATAATTCTATTCTCTTTTTTTACACTCCAGAATACATTATGAACCTGTTTTATTGTTGGTCTTCAAAAACATAATTTTAATAGATTTACAGGTTTCCAGTGTATTTCTGTCCCATCATTTATTTTTAAATTTGTATATTTTGTTGGAGCTCCAAAGGGGCAAAAATTATAGCTCCCCTTTTCTTTCAGTCTAAGTTTTGAATTAATTGAGAAAATAAAACTATATAGTAAAGCAGGAGATCAAAATATTACTTTTATTAAAGAACAAAACTCTGATATTGGGAAGTGTGTGCAGTATCTATGAGCAAGTCAGCTTCTGAATACTAAATCCAGGAATTAAGCAAACCTTCCCATTCCAGCACTGGAATTCTTGCACCACCAGGGATTCTCCCTGATGGCATATGCCCAAAGGCAGTTGGGGGCACACGGTCTGTGTGGGTTGCTTGACTCCCAAGAGAAGAATCCGTGGCTATCCCCATCAATAATAGGAAAACAGCAACCTTTCAGTACAGCTCTATTCCGCTTTCACGAGGCTATTCCACAGCACCATGGTTTAACACGGTTTAAAGTCACATGAGATACGACAGGTGAAAGAGCTAAGGACAAGCCACGCCAAAATATGCCGCTTTGACATATTAATTATTTCCAGCTGATGACACTTGAGAAACAGCAGATGCAGGAAGAGTCATCTAACGGCTCCTTTTCTACTGAAAACAAGCCACAGAATTTTCCATGAGAAAGATTCCCTCCCTGTGCCAGGAAGAGAAGAATACCCTTATCACCAGAGACTGGGAATCAATGCCGAAATGGATCTGTACAAACAAACATACTAAAATAACCCTTATCTTCCACTAGTTTTATTCCCTGCCCCACCACCACCATATATCTCCTAGTGACTTCTCCACAACTTACAGCTCCTAGTTCAAACCCTTTTGTCTTGTCATTTCTTCACAAATGTATTGTTGGGGCTCAGAAACAGATACCCCAAATTCAATGCGTTGACAGGCTGAACAGAAGAAGCCTCAAGGTTTCTCTGACCTTCTCCCTCTGCTGTCTCTCCCAAGGAAGGTGAAGTTCCTTTATCCATACAGTCTATTGTTTTTTTTTTTTGTTTTTTTTTTTCCTTTTTCTGGAGAACGGGGTCTCGCTATATTGCCCAGGCAGGTCTCGAACTCCTGGGCTCAAGCTATCCTCCCGCCTCTTAGCCTCCCTGAGAGCTGGGATTACAGGCGTGAGCCACCGCGCCCGGCCCCATACAGTCTAAAGATAGAGGAATTTCCTTTATCCATACCTACTTCCCCTTCCTGTAAGACCACAAATGTGACCACACCAGAACAGGCCCTTTCACTGTCAAAGAGAACTATTTACAAGTTACTCTCAGTTCCAGAATCCATTCATTCTCCTTCATAATCCTTTATTGCCCCTCAATGGAATTCCTCTTCTCACCACTCCCATAACCTGTTGTCAGGATGTTACATAAGCTTCTTAACCCCATTGCAAGTGAGTAGTCACCCTGTAATTCCCTCCATGTGCACTTTCTGTGCATGTTGCATGAAGGCAGTTCACTTCTTAAATTTGTGTGCATTTTATCCTATTAAGCTGTCTCATGTCGGTGATTTTTCAGTGAGCTTTCCCTACAGTATCATTTCTTTATTTAAATGATATAAAAGCTTTCTGTTCCAGTCACTCCTTCAGGTCTTTGTCCTCTTATAAAGATCCCCATATATGCAGTGGCTCATGCCTGTAATCCCAGCACTTTGGGAGGCAGGCAGATCACCTGAGGTCAGGAGTTTGAGACAAGGCTGGCCAACATGGCAAAATCCCATCTCTACTAAAAATACAAAAAAAAAAAAAAAAAAATTAGCTGGGCGTAGTGGTGGGCACCTGCAATCCCAGCTACTTAGGAGACTGAGGCAGGAGAATTGCTTGAACCCAGGAGGTGGAGGTTGCTATGAGCCAAGATCACACCACTGCATCCAGCCTGGGTTTGGGAGCAAGAGTCTATCTAAAAAAAAAAAGAAAAAAAAAGGAATAAAGTTTGCATGCTGTTCTTCTGTTAATCTGTTTTATGTCGGTTTCATTTTTGGGCCTAGCTAGAAACTCTAAGAGGATAGAAAATTTTTTCCTCTCCCACATATGCATAGGTTTGAATAGAATACTGCTCCTCAAGCTGATGAAACCCCAGCTCCTTTAGGGCTCTATGGGTGGATGTGTTCTTTATCATCCAATTATTAAGATTAAATTCCTGCAACTCAGATTGGGCCGGGCAGAACAAACGTGGCGATTGGCAAAGCACGTGGTTCCTAAGACAGCCTGGGAAAATTTCTTTCTCCCCCAGTCACATGCCCCAGAAACCTTCCCTACCTACTCATTGGCCTTTTATCAACATCAAAGCCTTCCCATCAGGAAGTAAAGATGTTACCCCAACCCACACAGAAGTTAAGGAAAGAGCAATGAAAAATGGATACTACATGCTTTTTGTTAACCTAAAAGGAAAAAAAAAAAGACTGAGGCAAAATTAATATAAGTAGAGAGTTTACTGGGGCCACATTTGAGGACTGAAACCCAGGACCATAGATTCAAGTTGCCCTGAATATACACTCTGATTGGCAACAGTTACAAGTTATTTTTTTGTTTTGTTTTCTTTTGTTTTTTGAGATGGAGTCTCTCTCTGTCACCCAGGCCGGAGTGCAATAGCACAATCTTGGCTCTATGCAACCTCCATCTCCCAGATTCAAGTAATTCTCCTGCCTCAGCCTCCCTAGTAGCTGGGTTTACAGGCACCCGCCACCACTCCCGGGTAAATTTTGTATTTTTGTTTTTAGTAGAGATGGGGTTACACCATGTTGGCCAGGCTGGTCTTAAACTCCTGACCTCAAGTGATCCACCCACCTCAGCCTCCCAAAGTGCTGGGATTATAGGCATGAGCCACTGCACCCAGACTCAAGTTGGTTGTTTTCTTTTGTTTTGTTTTTTCAGACCAGGTCTCACTCTGTCACCCAGGCTGGAGTGCAGTGGCGCAGTCATGGCTCACTGCAGACTTGACCTCCCAGGCTCAAGTAATCCTCCCAACTCAACCTCCCAAGTAGCTGGGACAACAGGTAAGCACCACGACATCTGGCTAATTTTTAAATTTTTGGTAGAGACAGAGTCTCACCATGTTGCCCTGATTGGTCTCAAACACCTGGGCGCAAGCAATCCACCTGCCTCGACCTCCCAAATTACTGGGATTATAGGTGTGAGCCACTGCGCCTGGCCACAGGTCAAGTTTTAAAGGAAAAAAGGAGGAAGTTTCTATGTTGTTTATCAAGATGTTCTTAAAATAACATAAGCTATTGATTGGCTATACATTGTTCTTTGTATCACGAATTTCAGAAACATGAAGATAATGAGTGAGGCAACTAGTCAGGAACAAAATATCTTTAAAAAATTGCCCCCAGATATAGGTGCAGGGTGGAGGTGGGGGTGACTGATGTCCTAAACTCTTGTTTCTCTGGGCCTGATAAGTCTTCTATACCTCACATGACTCAGACTGCTCTGAGTTATTTTTTCTTCTCATTTCCTAAAAGCAAAATCTGATGGATAGCACAAAGGTCTTGCAATCTAGAAAGAAAATTCAGCCATTCTTTCAATAATTATGTAACCACCCCACAGATTCTCCTTACCTACTTCCCAGATACAGCCAGTTTATCAAGACAGGGGAATTCCAATAGAGACAGAGTTTAATTCACGCAGAGCCAACTGAACAGGAGACTGAAGTTTTATTACTCAAATCCATGTTCTCAAAAATTCAGAGGCTTGGGCTTTTCAAGGACAGGGGAGGCAGGGGAACAGGTTCTGCTGATTATTTGAGGATGCAATCCTAGGGGTGTGGAACACGGTTGCAGTACACTGAGTCTGCTTCTGGGTGAGGGCCACAGGACCAGTTAAGTCCAGAGTCGTGGGTCCAGGTGGGGCCATCCAGTCATCATAAATGCAAAAGCCTGAAAAGACAACTCAAAAGGCCAGTCTTAGGTTCTGCAATAGTGATGTTATCTGCAGGAGTAATTGAGGAAGCTGATTTCCAGAATAATGACTAGTCATCATTTATACCTACATCTTAGCCGAATTCAGCCTCCTCTCATCCTCCTAACCTGATGGTCTTAGTTTTACAAAGGTGGTTTAGTTTGGGGAAGGGCTATTATTATTTAAACTATATACTAAATTTCTCCCAAAGTTAGCTTGGCCCAAGCCCAGGAATGACCAAGGTTAAGGGTAAGATGGGGGTTGATTAGATAAGATCTCTTTCTCTGTCATAATTTTCCCACTGTTATAGTTTTTGCAAAGGTTGTTTCAATTAGGGATTTTCTATGTGTCTGGCACTGTGCTGGGGATAATACAACGAGCAAACAAAGGCCAATCCCTGTTCTCTGGAGCTTGTGGGAAGAACACGGATCTTTGAGAGCTCAGAGTAAGGGAGTGGGCCCAGGAGAACTCACTGGCCAAAAGCAAGAGCATGTGCAGAGGTCCTGCAGTGGGAAGAAGTACAGGACATTGCCAGGAAATCTAAGACAATAGCAGGTGAAACATAGCAAAATAGAGGGAGATTTGAGGCAAAATGAGGCTGCAAGGCAGACTGGGCAGGGTCTAGTAGACTATGTTCAGGAATTTTAGCTTTATTCTGAGAGTTCTGGAAAATCACTGAAAGGTTTTAAGCAGAGTGTAAGATTTGGGAAGGACATACACAAATACTCATTTGAAACTATCTCTTTGGCTTGAGTGTGAGAAAAGATTGGAGAAGGGAGGAAAGGCCAGGTCAGTGACTCTGCCATCACCTAAGTAGTCAGTTAACAAACGCTCCATCTAGCCTGCCCCACACGTGCCTGCAACAGGCAGAGCAAAGTAAGGCAAACTCAATCCCACTCTCAAGCAGCTCAATCTTTTCTTCTGCCCACATTTGCCCCCATCCAGTGCTACTTTAGAGACATTCCCTTTTCTCCTTTCTTCTTATTTCCTCAGGGCTAAAGCCTGATAAATAGAGTCTGGCTTTCTAAGCAGAGATCTGCATTTAGGGAAAAGAAATAACACACAGCAACCCCACCCCTCAGTTTTACATTTTTTAACTTAAACAATTCTCTTTTTCCAGCAGAAAAGCCAGGATGTCACTGTTTATTCACAGCCAGGTCTCCACTCTGCACACTAAAAGTCACCGTAGTGTTTGCAGTCCTCACTCAAGCAGTGAGTGTAAAAGGAATTCCATCTGTCTCTAAAGATCTTTTGACAGGAATGAAAGACCTGTGAGGCAGTGGTTTATTCACCACAGCATCTTGATAGCTCAAGCTAAAAAAAAAAAAAAATGGCTAGCAGGCTGACATTACCAAAGCAGACACTACTTCTCTTTTAAAATTGGTTTTCCTGAGGCTAAATGCTAAACTTTATAGTTTTTGTAATTAAATATTATCCTGATAGAGTCAAATCAATTATAGCAGATAATAACTGCTTTGCTTTTGATTCTCTGGATAATGAATTAGTTGTCCTTACCAAATCTGATAGCCCTTTGGCAAATTCTTTATTCAAATCACTCAACACGTTTGTCAAGAAAGAACGTGGTTAAGTCCCTGGAAGCCTGCCTCCAGATTGCCATGGTAGCATCAGCTACTGCAGAGTCATCAAACATACATTTCTCCATATTTCCCTCAAGAGATTTTTGGAAAATGTCCTTTTGAAACACCAACATGAAAAGCTTTGACTGCTGGGCCCATTACATAATTGATGCCTAAGAACTACTTAATTGTTTGGTCAATAGATTCTCTTAGATCTGTTAATCAATTAATCTTAAAAACACAGGTAAAGCAGTAAGGCATGTCTCACATGACTTAGTCTCAACGAGACCCACTGGCTTCCATCACTCCCTGTTTCTTCCTCCAAGTAGTCGCAGTGGATCCTTTAATAACCTGTGAGTCTCCCTTGACATTCAAGCATACATGGGTGTATGTTTACACTCCATTTATTTACCCATCTCAAAGGGAGCCCCATTCCCTTCTGCCCCTCCTGCCCCTCCTTTCTTGGCTCTGCAGCTCTCCAGTTCCTATGGGGGCACCATAATCTTTCTCCCAGACTAGTGGTTTCAGTGATACTCTTCTGCAGACCAGGCTCTCTCTATTTTCCTACAAATACAGATTCCCTCTAGTCAGGCACCAGTCGCCTCTTCTTGGACCCAGCCAAGCCCATTACAAAGGAGAGACATGTCCCTCCTCAAATTTTGGTTAAATACCATGATAATGTGTTGAACATGCTCCCAGCATTTCTTACTCATTGACTGATACTGTCCCTCTGCTTGGACCCTATCTTCTCTTCTTTTTTAACAAAACCCCATTTATTCTTCCTGCCTAGCTCAAACCCAACCGTCTTTAGAAAGCCTTCAATAGTATTCTCACTCGATGAGATGTATTCTTCTTTAAAGCCTTACATCAGCATTGTAGGAAGGTTTTAGAGTCCGAGGCTCACCTAGATGGGCATCTAAATTCTCTGCCACAAATAACAAACCATTTGGCCACTCTGAGCCTTGGTTTCTTCAGCTACAAAATTGCATAGGAATTCTTTGAGGATTAAATCACATTTTAAAGTGTTTTACACCTGGCTAGCACTCAAAACTAAAAGCAACTATCGGTATTATTTATTTTGATCTCTTGCTGTAATTAGGCTCACTTTTATTATAGTGTTTATAAATTCATTTTTGCTTCCTCCTGCACTTCCTCCCCTTCTCCACTGTGAGAAACTTGGGAGACAACCTAACTAATCTTTAGAAGCCCAACCTCAAAAAGGGGCTAGGATGGAGAGCATTTATTACTAGAAAAACTGACATTATCTAGAATTCTCTGTTGTACAATTCAGAAACCATGTGTGTGGTTATTTATATTTAAAATTAAAAATAAATTAACTTTAAAATTGTGTTCCTTGGCCACACTGGCTACATTTCAAGTGCTCAGTAGCCACATGTGGTTAATGACTAAGATTTTAGACAGCACAGACAGAACATTTTCATCATCGTGGAAAATTCTATTAAACCACACTGGTCTAAATTCTAAATGCAATGACGTACTGTTCAGCAATAGCTCAGACTTCCAGCTGCCCAGAAAATCCCCATCTGATGCTAACACTGCAGGCAGATGGGGTCACACATAAAATAGTATATGGAAATACCACTAATGCTTTACTCCTCATCCCTGAATGGGAACGCCTCTGAAAGATGCTGAAACCTGCCCCATTGCGCCACCTTGTGCCCAACCCTTGATATTGCACATTCAATGTGCAAATAATTCTTACATATCCACCATCCCACAAAAAGCCGCAGAGAAGAGAATGTCCTGGGCTTACACAAAGCAACTTCCTAAATGCAATGGACTTTCTGAGTTACTACCTCTCCATGGCAAGGGCTTATGAAACACACACAGATCTCTCCATGCTCTGAACTCCTGTCTCAATGAAAGTCATGAGGGTTGTTGGTGTTTACCCAGGCATTTTACACTTGACTCATCTATTACTGACCGTAAGCATGTAGCAGTGGCACGTGAACTATCACCCCCAATCCTCACAAAAGTCATGCAGTCCCCATCATTATTTTCACTGGATTAGGAAGGAGAGACTTTGAAGAAAGCCATTTGCTCAAGGTCATACAAATAGTAAGACAAGGAGTGGAAAATCAAACCTAGATCTGACTCCCCAATTGCCCAGCTTTCTCTGTTCCCAGATCTAGCTGGAACTTCACTGGAGGAAAGGGATTTGATCTCCACCTTCTTCTGAACCAAGAAAGGTGTAGCCCAGAACTGGGAAGTGAGCAAATTCCTAAGAGGGATGAGCTAGTGAGCTGGAAGGGAGTATTTGTCACAAATAGCAGCTTCCTTTGCCCGACACCCATTTGCTGTATGATAATGGGCTGCGATGGACAGATGGACCAAGAGTCCTGAGATTCAGAGAGAGTTTAAAGAGAAAGCCATAACATTTCAGCCAGTTTCATTATATTTCTGAGATATTATCACAGTGTTCCAGAGAATGTTTACAAAAGTTTCAGAGATATAGATACTTGTGGATTTTCAGAGAGAGAGAAAGATTGGGAGAGTTACACAGAGAACTTAAGAAAATTCAGAACAAGGTAGAGAATAAATAAAAAGTCAGATAGGGTCAGAGATTTTTCTCATACGTCGGCTCCTACTTGCCAGGAACGTCTCAGAGAATGTTCAACATCTTGCTGCAAAATGAAAAGCCCAGTGAATTCCTTGGCTATCTACAAATATTGTATATGGAAGTTAGCCTTACATGGAGAATGAGATGGGGGTAGAAGGGAGTGGAGAAAGGACAGGTACCTAGTGATCTGCCTCATGGCCCAGAAGGCAGGTGGGATGGGAGATGTTAAAGTGTGCTCTACTCCTCCCCACTGTGGTCATCTTTTGTACTGCATATTCTGAAAAAGCCTTTTTTTGTAGGCAAGCTATTTATTGATAATAAAAAATGCGTCATCAGAGAAGACAATCTGGAAAAATACATAAAGGTGCAAAGAAGGAGTAATTCAAAATTACCTTCTTTGATATATTGAGAATAGCACTTTTTCTGCTAGTACATATGTGTGAATGTATATATGCAATATATGAATGGTTTTGATTTTACAAATATATGGTACGTACTCACATATTTACAAATGGAAATCATACTATCTGTAATGCACAAATTATCACACTAAACATAAACCATTTTTTCTCTTTTTATTTACTTAATATTATAAGCACTTTTTCATGTTAAGCAGTCTTTGAAAACACTAACTGCCTGTGTAACATCCCATTCCATCAATGATTCTCAAACTCTAGCAGGTATCAAAATTACCTTGAGGGCTTTAGGAATTCTGAGCCTCACTCCAAGAGTTTCTGAATCAAGAAGTATCAGCTAGGACAAGAATCTGCATTTCTAACAATTTGCCCAATAATGCTGATCTTGCTGGTCTGGGAACTACAAAGTTGTTCACTACGTTATACAAAAATTCCCTTATAGCTGAATATTTAAATTGTTTTTATTTTTAACATGAAGCCACCCCTAGCCCCACCTGGGGCCTCTCAGAGCTTTGTCAGGACCAAGTACCTGGACCTGGTGTTAAATCTGAGTAAAATCTTAATACATGATAATTTTCATAGAATAAATTTCTACAATGGAAATAACTAACTACAAACTTATGAACGTTTTGGAGACTTAATATGTATGTTCAAGCTGACACAAATAACTGATACCAAAGTGTGTTAAAGGAAAAGACATGGGCCTGGAGGTCGGAAACCTGTGTTTAAATCTTGCCCTGCCACTTGCTTGCTGTCTGACCTCGGACAAGTGACTGGAACTCCCTGAGCCTCGGTGCTATAATTACCACATCAAATATAAACAGGAATGGCCTTCTTTTAAGGTCTTGAACTCAGCCCAAATTCTCCAGCCCTATCTTCTGTCTCAGATAGAATACTGGAGTTGGAAGGAACCTAAGACTGTATCTTGCACACCATGAAGGGTCAGTTTCCCATCCTCTGAGCCTAGGGAGCCATCTATACTTACAACATTCACATCATTTATAACAGTACATTATAAGCAGTTGTTTAAGGGTCAGCCACCTTCCAAGTCAGAGCACGAGGTCATTGAAAGAGATTAGGCCTGGTTCATTTCTGAGTCCCAAGTGGCTATTGCATACATGGCAGATAGTCGCGAAATGTTTGTTGACGGAATTGTGAGGAAGGAGCTCAACCTCCACCATTCCCAAGAAGCCCTGGCATGAGATGATGAAGAGAAAAGAGCATAGCCCTGTAGCTGGGAGCCTTGGGGGTACATCTCAGTCTTCCCATAAATTCACTGAGACCCTGAGAAACTGCCTGACTCCCCCTCAGTTTCTAAGGAATCCCTTATCCCTAATTACCACACAGGGCTAGTAGGTGAAGATAAGAACGTGGTGTGTCGTTTAGACTATAAAGGGTGGTATGGCTGGGACTCCTAAGATCCTCCAGCACCATTATCTGTTCCTGATTTTTACAATTTCAGATTCTTGACAGGGCACAAGATCACCCAAAATAATGACAGTGTTTCCCACCCTGCTTCCCGGCTGGATAAGACCACATGACTAAGTTCTGAGCAACAGAATAATAGTGGAAAGGTTATGTGCAATTTCTAGGAAGTATGCTCTGGAATACTGAGGCAATGGCTGGAGTTTGAGCAGCCATGTTAACAATGAGATGGAATATGGTAGAGAAGAAAGATAAAAGGGGCTGTGCACCTTTAAAAATTGTGAATTATCCTACCAGTCCTGTTCTATCTATCTCCAGACTTACATGAAAAAAAAAAATCTTTCCTGCTTAAGCTACTCTTAACTTGGGCATGTATTATAGCCAGATTAATCGCAGCTGATACATATGGTGCTGCTAATGACAATATTTACATTGAATTACACTTTATACTTTATAATAGCTTTCAGGGGAAAGGAAGAAATTAATGTAATATTCACTCATTCATTTATGTGATGAAACAATGACCATCACTGTGTGTCAGGCCCTGGGCCACGTGCCAGGAACAGAAATGAAGCTGGTAAAACCCCTGCCTCCCATGAGCCCACCACTAGCAAGGGAAACAGATGAGCAGTCATGACACAATTGAGCGGTGTGGTAATGAGGGAAGCATGGGCAACTGTGGGGTGCCATAGGACCCAGGATCTAGGAAAAGGCATGACGTCCGGGATGGATGGGAATGGTGGCAGGAGCTGTGGCTCCAGATCCCAGGCTCTGCCTCCGATTGCTAATCCCAGGCTCCTCTGAATCTCCTTGGCTCAATTCCTATGGAGGCATTAGGGAACCTGTGGCCTGTATTTTCCCTCCCAGTGAGGACCAGATGCTGGTTGAAGAGCTCCCCAGAGTCTTGTTGGGATAACTGCAGTCTCTGCTTTCTGTAGAGGATGTGACAAGGTGAGCTTCAGACTCAGGCAGAAGCCACCCCAACTTAAGGCCTCTTGGGGCTCTGGGATTTGTCAGCACCGAGTAGCTGGACCTGGTGTTCCAGGGTGAACACCAGTGTGGAGCCAGGAGAAGCCGTTCACCTGTGAATGATAACAGGGCCAGCACCAACTCCTACTGACTGAGCATTTCTGTGTCAGACCAAGGGGTCTGTGCTTTACACACTCACTTCATACCTCAAGATGACTGTGTGAGGTAAGCCTTGCTGTCCCCATTTCACCTACAGAAAAGCTGAGGCTGGGGAGGGAAAATGAGTTGGCCAGCCTCACACACCTGTGACTGCCCTGCCCGGGCCAGGCTCAGATTCACACGCCTGACTTTTAAAGCCTGGGACTTGAGCCCTCATGGATAATTTAGTCTATCACACTTGAGAGTTCCAAGGTCATTAGAAACTACTGCAGACATCACTTCACAGATGAGGAAGCAGGGACTCACAGTGACATACAGTCTTATCCGGGGTCATCAATGTGCACTCATGACTACTCCATAGTGCTTTCCCAGACAAGCTACCAATAGTGTTTGTGTGTGGGGGGAGGGGGGTGGTGTGTGCATGCGCGGGTGTGCATCTGCTGGACACACCCATGCATGAACTGTAACTCAACACCAAGACCTACTTTCTAAGGTCCAAATGATGGCCATGTCTCTAGTATTAGCTGCCCTTTCCTCCTGTCTTTGTGTGTGGATGCATTGTTTTATTTTTATTTTTTCAGCTTTATTGAGGCATAATGAACAAATAAAAATTATATCTGCTTAAGGTATATGGTGTGATGACTTGATATAGGTATACAGTGTGAGATGATTACCACAATCAAGTTAATTAATACATCTATCACTTCACATAGTTACCATTGTGTGTGTGTGGTGAGAACACTTATGATCCACTCTCTTAGCAATTTTTATATAAACAATTCAGTATTATTAACCACAGTCACCATGCTGTACATTAGAGCCCCAGGACTTACTCGTCTTACAACTGCAAGTCTGTACTCTCCTCCTGTCTTTAGAAACCTGTTTGCCCAGGTACATAGCAGCTGGGCTGCCAGCAGCAACAACAGCTCCCAGCCCTGAGCTGGGGTCTTCCTTCCACATCTGACCCTGGGGGCCTGGAGCACTCTGAGCCCAAAGCAAGACCTCTCTGTTCCAGAACCAAATCTGGTAGCAAAGCCAAGTGCTGTCCCTCAGAGGCCTGGGCCCCGTAGACTGGAGTGAGACTTCTGGGCCTTTCCAACCGCCTCACCTGGGAGTGGAGCTAGGCCACATCCATAACCTTCACAGCCCTCCTGGCACTGTCAGAGCAGCTGTCAGAGGCCAGCAGGAGCTGCTCCATGCCTGGGGAGCTGCTGCCCAGGAGACTGGGCCAGAGAACTAGGGCCCCAGGAGGTTTTATCCAGGCCAGGCTGCAGAGGGCTGCACAGGTAAGAGTTGTCCGGGGCTGGCAGCAGTGAGGTTTCAGTGGCTAGAGTGTACCATTCTCCTTCATTTGCCTTCCTTTCTTTTCTCCACCCTTGGGTTCCTGTCACCATCCTCCTCAGACCTACTCACCTACATAACAATCCTTTCCTCTTGGAATTGAGCATTTAGCCTGTCCACATAGGGTCTCCTTCCACACCCCCGCCACCAGCACTTTGCCATCTGACAGGGAAGCACCCTGAGGCCTTGGCCCTGTTGGTTGAGGGGGGCATACTGTGAAGACAGAGAGCACCTCTCATGGTCTGCAAGGACCCCGTGAGCTTCTTCTCCCCCTGTACCCAGTGCAGAGAGCAGAGGCACTGTTTCCACAATGCCAGGGGCATCACTGGTACTGTATTCTTGGGTAATGGTGCTCCCTGGAGTTGTGCAGTGGGACAGCCTGACACAGGGCCTGGCACAGAATGTGCTCCGTGAGTGGCTGAGATTAATCAATGGAATTGCATTTGTGCATGAACTGAGCTGAGCATAGGCATGTGGGAAAAAAATAGCATCACTAAGCCTTAAGAAATGAGGGCTAGAGGGGGGCAGGAAAGGAGGGATAAGTGAGGGACAGCTGGCAGAGGAGGGCCTGGCACGGCCTCTGGAACTGGGGCCCAGACCCAGTGGAAACCCCTATCCCCAGTCCAGACATCTTTGTGCCCTCTCATGAAGTGGCATTGTTGTCTGGGGTAAATACCCAAGATTCGTTGTGTCATGGCCACGGAAATCTAGGACGCGGACCCCCCAGAGTTAGGTTAAGAGTGGAAGTTAAATAGGCTAAAGAAAGAGAAGAGCTCTCTGTGCATGGGGGTCGTGGAGAAAATGGGTTGCCGCCTCCGTGGTGAAATGCAGATTTTGTAGATGGGCTTGAGGAGACAGTGTCTGATTTACATAGGGCACAAAAGATTGGTCGGATGAGGTGCGTCATTTGCATAGTGTGGAAGAGGCTGACCGCCCCACCCTAATCTTTTCTTATGCAGGTGGGTTCTCCCTGGCCGGAGCCATGTTACCTTGTTCTTTAATGTACATGTCGTGACAAAGAAAAGGGAAGGTGGAGCCTCCATGTTGAACATACCTGGCTTCCAGGTAGCCCTTTTCCATTGGCACAGCTGCCAGCATTCACCCGTGCAAGTTTCCAGCTTGCTTATCTATGTTTGCAGCTCAATTTTTCAGACTGCTCTTTGTTAGAAAAGAGATGATTTGGGGGCTGCTTTTTGTTAAAAGGGAAATCCGCAAGGACCCTGGTGCCCTTTCTATCTGCCTAAATAATTTCTTTCTAGCTCCTGTATCACTCAGAGCTCCCATGCGGAGGGGCAAAACAGAGCCACTGTCCACCCACCACCAGGAGGGATGCCCCTTCCATGCCCTCTGCCCTGGAGGGAAGGGATGGTGGTGCAGCACAGCTTTCAGAGTCAGACAACCCAAACAAGCAGTGGAAATCAGCCAATAAATTTCACTCGCATCTGTGTGAAGAGACTACCAAACAGGCTTTGTGTGAGCAATAAAGCTGTTTATTTCACCTGGGTGCAGGTGGGCTGAGTCCGAAAAGAGAGTCAGCTAAGGGAGATAAGGATGGGGCCGTTTTATAGGATTTGGGTAGATAAAGGAAAATTACAGTCAAAGGGGGGTTGTTCTCTTGCGGGCAGAGTGGGGGTCACAAGGTGCTCAGTAGGGGAGCTTTTGAGCCAGGATGAGCCAGGAGAAGGAATTTCACAAGACAGTGTCATCAGTTAAGGCAGGAACAGGCCATTTTCACTTCTTTTGTGGTGGAATATCATCAGTTAAGGCAGGAACAGGCCATCTGGATGTGTACATGCAGGTCACAGGGGATATGAAGGCTTAGCTTGGGCTCAGAGGCCTGACATTCCTGTCTTCTTATATTAATAAGAAAAATAAAATGAAATAGTGGTGAAGTGTTGGGACAGTGAAAATTTTTGGGGGTGGTATGGAGAGATAATGGGCGATGTTTCTCAGGGCTGCTTTGAGCGGGATTGGGGCGGCGTGGGAACTTAAGAGTGGGAGAGATTAAGCTGAAGGAAGATTTTGTGGTAAGGGGTGATACTGTGGGGTTGTTAGAAGAAACATTTGTCATGTAGAATTATTGGTGATGGCCTGGATACAGTTTTGTATGAATTGAAAAACTAAATGGAATAACAGAAGGAGAAAAACAGGTATAAAAGGTCTAAGAATTGGGAGGACCTAGGACATCTGATCAGAGAGTGCCTAAGGAGATTCAGCAGAGTCCTGCCAGCAAAGATTATTTATTTACTTCAAGAGTTAAGAGTGGCACTTTGGGGATAGCACCAGGAGGTATCAGCTGTGATGGCTTGGAGAAACAGTATAAACCAGCAGTGTAAACAAGAGCAGGGCATGTATGAGTAGTTGAGAACGGTGAATAGGAGTATGACTAGACAGAAGATAGTAGGGATGACAAGTTTTTTGGGGGCACAGTCTAAGTTGGTCTGGTGTCTGGAATGAGACTGGGGCCTAATAAAAAGGAGCGTCTATACAGGAGCTTAAATGGGCCGTACCTTGTAGCATTCTGAGGACAGGTCTGACTTCTGAGAAGGGAAAGTGGTAAAAGTATTGTCCAGTACTTTTTAAGTTGGTGGCTGAGCTTGGTGAGGTGTGGTTTTAAAATACCATTAGTCTGTTCTACTTTTCCTGAAGACTGAGGACTGTAAGGGATATAAAGGTTTCAGTGAATACTAAGAGCCTGAAAAAATGCTTGGCTGATTTGACTAATAAAGGCTGGTCTGTTATCAGACTGTATAGAGGTGGGAAGGCTAAACTGAGGAATTATGTCTGACAGAAGGGAAGAATGACTGTGGTGGCCTTCTCAGACCCTGTAGGAAAGGCCTGTACCTATCCAGTGAAAGTGTCTACCTAGACTAAGAGGTATTTTAGTTTTCTGACTTGGAGCATGTTGAGTAAAGCCAATTTGCCAGTCCTTGGTGGGGGCAAATCCTTGAGCTTGATGTGTAGGGAAGGGAGGGGGCCTGAATAATCCCTGCGGAGTAGT
Organism: Homo sapiens; assembly: GCF_000001405.40. Lineage (NCBI taxonomy): Eukaryota > Metazoa > Chordata > Mammalia > Primates > Hominidae > Homo > Homo sapiens. The sequence continues at coordinate 48,210,571 of NC_000001.11, forward strand.
AGAATAGCAGATGGAACACTGAGAAGTTATTTCCTTGATAGGATAGATTTCCACGATGGAAAGGAAATGAGAGGTTCTGAGAAGCAGGCTAGTGGCTTGTACTATAGCATAGCCTGCCTTTGCTGGTGTGTGGCGATTAGGCCTGGTGGAACTGCCATCAATAAATCAAGCGTGATCAGGGTGAGGAACAGGAAAGAAGGAAATATGGGGAAATGGGGTGAATGTCAGGTGGATCAGAGAGATACAGTCATGGAGGTCAGGTGTGGTATCAGGAATAATGTGGGAGGCCGGATTGAAGTCTGGGCCAGGAAAAATGGTAATTGTGGGACTTAACAAAGAGTGAGTACAGCTGAAGGAGCCAGGGAGCAGAAAGTACATGCGTCAGGTATGAGGAAGAAAATAGATTTTGGAAGTTACGAGAAATGTAAAGAGTGAGTTGAGCATAGTTTGTGATATTGAGGGCCTCTAAAAGTATTAGGGTGGCAGCAGCCACTGCATGGAGACATGAGGGCTAGGCTAAAACAGTAAGGTCAAGTTGTTTGGACAGAAAGGCGACAGGGTGCGGTCCTGGCTCTTGTGTAAGAATTCTGACTGCATTAACCATGCCTAGGAAGGAAAGGAGTTGTTGTTTTGTAAGGAATTGAGGTTTGGGAGATTAATCAGACATGATCAGCAGGGAGAGCCCTTGTGTTTTAATGATAATTATGCCGAGATAGGTAACAGATGAGGATGAAATTTGGGCTTGACTGAAGTAATGGGGGCTGTCTGTGAAGCCTTGCGGCAGTACAGCCCAGGTAATTTGCTGAGCCTAATAGGTGTCAGGGTCAGTCTAAGTGAAAGCAAAGAGAGGCTGGGATGAAGGGTGCAAAGGAATAGTAAAGAAAGCATGTTTGAGATCCAGAACAGAATAATGGGTTGTAGAGGGAGGTATTGAGGATTAGAGAGTATATGGGTTTGGCACCATGGGGTGGATAGGCAAAACAATTTGGTTGATAATGCGCAGATTCTGAACTAACCTGTAAGCCTTGTCTGGTTTTAGGACAGGTAAAATGGGGGAATGGTAAGAAGAGTTTATAGGCTTTAAAAGGCCATGCTGTAACAGGCGAGTGATAACAGGTTTTAATCCTTTCAAAGCATGCTGTGGGATGGGATATTGGCATTGAGCGGGGTAAGAGTGATTAGGTTTTAATGGGATGGTAAGGGGTGCATGATCGGTCGCTAAGGAGGGAGTAGAGGTGTCTTATACTTGTGGGTTAAGGTGGGGAGATACAAGGGGAGGATGTGAAGGAGGCTTTGAACTGAGGGGAAAGGCGGCAATGAGGTGTGGCTGTAGCCCAGGAATAGTCAGGGAAGCAGATAATTTAAAGTGTCTCGGCCTAATAAGGGAACTGGGCAGGTGGGGATAACTAAAAAGGAGTGCTTAAAAGAGTATTGTCTAAGTTGGCACCAGAGTTGGGGAGTTTTAAGAGGTTTAGAAGCCTGGCCATCAATACACACAACAGTTATGGAGGCAAGAGAAACAGGCCCTTGAAAAGAAGGTAATGTGGAGTGGGTAGCCTCTGTATTGATTAAGAAGGGGACGGACTTACCCTCCACTGTGAGAGTTACCTAAAGCTCGGCGTCCGTGATGGAATACCAGGCGTCCGAGGTGATCGGGCAGCGTCAGTCTTCAGCCACTAAGCCAGGAAGATCTGGGAAGGAGTCAGTCACAGAGCCCTGGGCCAGAGTTCCAGGGGCTCTGGGAGTGGCTGCCAGGTGAGTTGAACAGTCCGATTTCCATCCGATTTCCAGTGGGGTCCTGCACAGATGGGACACGGCTTAGGACAAATCCTGGGCTGTGGGCATTCCTTGGCCTGGTGGCCAGGTTTCTAGCACTTGTAGCAAGCTCCTGGGGGAGGCAGTTCTAGAGGAATGCCTGGCCGCTGCGGTTTAGGCGTTTGGAAGTTCTTGTGTGCTGGAGATGTGGCTGGGGTTTGTCTCACAGTGGAGGCAAGGAATTGCAACTTTTTTCTATTATTTTACACCTTGAAGGCAAGGTTAATTAAATCCTGTTGTGGGGTTTGAGGGCCGGAATTTAATTTTTGGAGTTTTATTTAATGTCGGGAGTAGATTGGGTAATAAAATGTATATTGAGAATAAGACGGTCTTTTGACCTTTTAGGGTCTAGGGCTGTAAAGCGTCTCAGGGTTGCTGCCAAATGAGCCATGAACTGGGCTGGGTTTTTCATATTTGATGAAAGAGCCTAAACACTTACTGATTTGGGAGAGGTCTGATAAAGAAAAAGGAGCATTAACTTCGACTATGCCTTTAGCTTCAGCCACCTTTTTAGGAGGAAATTGCTGGGCAGGTCGGGGAGGGCTACTCCGGAATGTAAACCGGACCAGGTGTGAGGAGGGGAGGTGATAAAAAGATTTTAGGGTGGAGGAGCGGAGGCTGAGGAAGAACTGGGACCTAGCTTGGCCTGGCAAGGAGCAGCCTGGGGAGGTGGGGAGAGGTCAGATGGGTCTGTAGAAAAGGAAGATTGGAAAGACTCAGTGACGCTTGGGGTTGGGACTGAGGGGACAGGTGGGAGGGAAAGAAGGAAGATTTGGGATGATAATAATCGTCCCAAATAATAATCTGTGCACTGGGCACAGAGACTAGGGAGGGACCAATGTGTAAAAGAATGCCTGAACGTCAGGCACCTCAGACAATTTGCCTATTTTTCGACAAAAATTATTTAGGTCTTGTAGGATGGAGAAATCGAAAGTGCCGTTTTCTGGCTATTTAGAACTACTGTCGAATTTGTATTGGGGTCAAGCGGCATTGTAGAAGAAAAGAAGGCATTTAGGTTTTAGGTTAGGCGAGAATTGAAGAGGTTTTATGTTCTTAAGAACACAGGCTAAGGGAGAAGAAGGAGGACTGGAGGGTGGAAGGTTGCCTATAGTGAAGGAGGCAAGTTTAAAGAAAAGGGAGAGTAGAGATATGGAGGGAAGTGGTTCAGGGGTTCTTACCTTCCAGAAAAGCGGGAAAGGGGTCGGCACGCAGAGATATGAGGTCGGGGTGTGGAAATAAGGGATCAGGGTGCAGAGATACAAGAGGTTGGGGCACGGAAATAAGGGATCAGGGCACAGAGATATGAGGTCAGAGCAGGGAAATAAGGGATCGGGGTGCAGAGATATGAGGTCAGAGCAGGGAAATAAGGGATCGGGGTGCAGAGATAAGAGGTCAGGGCACAGAAATAAGGGATTGGGGATTCTTGCCCCCTAGAAAAGCGGGACTTGCCTATAAGGGTGAAGGAGAAGGGGTTGAGGGGTTCTTGCCCCTCCTCCAGAAAAGCGGAGAAGGGGTAGAGACAAAGAGAGAAGGGGTTGGGGTACTTGCCCCTCCCCCAGAAAAGCGGGACTTGCCACTAAGGGTGAAGGACCAAGGCAGGAGTCCTTGCATGGTCTGACACCTCTGAAACGTGGGTGAATAATCAGAGAGGCTTCCCTGCAATGATTAAACACCAAGGGAAGGCTGCCTTCCCAGTCTGTGACCGGCGGCGGAGTTTTGGGTCCACGGATAAAATGTCTCCTTTGTCTCTACCAGAAAATGAAAGGAATTGAAATTAAGAGAAGGGAGAGATTGAAGTGTGGCGCCAAGATTGAAAGGAGAAAGAGGTTAAGGGATAGTGACGGAGGTTGGAGAAGAAAGTAAAAAGAGGCCGCTTACTGGATTTGAAATTGGTGAGATGTTTCTTGGGCTGGTCGGTCTGAGGACCTGAGGTCGTAGGTGGACCTTTCTCACGGAGCAAAGAGCAGGAGGACAGGGGATTGATCTCCTAAGGGAGGTCCCCAGATCTGAGTCACGGCACCAAATTTCACTCGCATCTGTGTGAAGAGACTACCAAACAGGCTTTGTGTGAGCAATAAAGCTGTTTATTTCACCTGGGTGCAGGTGGGCTGAGTCCGAAAAGAGAGTCAGCTAAGGGAGATAAGGGTGGGGCCGTTTTATAGAATTTAGGTAGATAAAGGAAATTACAGTCAAAGGGGGATTGTTCTCTGGCGGGCAGAGTGGAGGTCACAAGGTGCTCAGCAGGGGGGCTTTTGAGCCAGGATGAGCAAGGAGAAGGAATTTCACAAGACAATGTCATCAGTTAAGGCAGGAACGGGCCATTTTCACTTCTTTTGTGGTGGAATGTCATCAGTTAAGGCAGGAACAGGCCATCTGGATGTGTACGTGCAGGTCACAGGGGATATGATGGCTTAGCTTAGGCTCAGAGGCCTGACAATAAGCCTCATTTCCTCACCTAAAAATGGGATTCATAAAGCCAGCTCACAGAGTTAGTAAAACAATGTAGATCATATTTGGGATGTGACCTACCTGATAATTCTGGCACAAACGGGTAATCATCAGCCTCCTTACCCCTCACTGTTCTGGCAAGGGAAGTTGTCAGCAGGAAGACTGGCTGAGAGTGGTTTTTCAGGAAGAACTTGCAGTGCCCAGGGTGGAAGCCAGCCAGAGGCACATGGAACATGCCCAGGATTTTCCTTGGGGTGGGGAATGCTGGAAGGAGACAGAGAAACACCCAGGCAGCCGCATAAAAGGGGCTTATTTTCTGTATGTAATATTGTGATTCCGTGGGGCAGCTCGAGGGTTCCAGGCTGAAGACCATTTGGTATCCTCAGCCCATAATGCTCTATGCTCCAGGACTTGCCACAGTGCTGCATTTCCTCAGCCAAAGGCTTCCCAACTGACCTAGCCTAGAAACAATGTCAGTCCCTTTGGGAGTGGAACAAACTCAGGGCTGTTCCTCACTCAGGGCTGCAGGCACTCAGTGAGCACTCATAGGAAATGGGAGCTGAGTGAGGAGAAGGAGCACTAAGGGGTGGGGGCAGGACCCCAGGTGGGAAGAATTGGGGGGGAAGCCACACAGGTCTGCATGCTTCCAGTTCAGTAAGAACAGCCAGGACACTCCTCTCCACCCACTCAGCTCAGCACCCATCTCTGCCTAAAGTACTGCATCAGCTGCCTCCTTCTTATCCACCCCCATGCTGGCCCCAAGAGGGATTTTCTGAAACGCCAGTCACCACCTACATTCACTGACTTGCTCCAGTCACTGTAGGCATAAACACAAGTAAGATACCAAGGTCCCCACCCTCAAGGGGCTCACATCTAAGGCAGATGCACCCCAAGTCAATAATCACATTCAGAGAGATAAATGGGGAGTACACTGGGGCTGTGGATTTTCCCAGGCTAGGAGTCCGTGCTTCTGAGGAAACAGCGCTCAGAGAGCTGAAGGTGAGGGAGGGTGTGCCCCTCTAGGAACTGCATGGAGTTCAGTTGAGCAGCCAGGAAGCACAGGAGAATTCTGACCCAAACCCCAGGGGGCATGGAGAGGGAAGAGCCTCTTTGGGAGAAGCTGCCAAGGAAGAAGGTGCCTGCAGGACAACCTAGTCACCATGACAGTTGGTGGACAGTCAGCCGATGGAAAGCTTGAGAACAGAGAGGTGTTGGTTTACATGGGCCCTGCAGCATGGAGAAGGAGGGGCAATGGGAAGCTGGATGGGGCAGGGCAAACACAGCCCCATGAGGGCAGGAAGATGAGAGAGTTGAGCTTTGCACAGAAACTCATACATAAGTGTGGTCGGAAGACAAGGCTGTGAAGCTGGTGGGATTAGCTGGCTCTGAGATTCCAAGCAAGACTCTGGTTTCCAGAATCTTCAGTGAGGGCACAGCCTAAAGCCTATGGGAGACAGGAGCTATGGATCTATAAGTAGGGGCCTGACCCTCCACTTACTGTGAACTGTAGATGGAGTAAACTGGACTCAGGGCACGTAATCCTAAAAGCAATTTTCTTAATCAACTGACTTAAGCAACTTGTTCAATGGGTATAATCCTTCCCTTGTCTTCTGGTTACAATTAAGCCATAGAAATCCCTGCTATCACTTTGAGTCTGAAAACACAGTCTCAATTTGGATATTGTAATGCCCAAGGCCATAGATTATGCAACACTTCAGTCTTCATGCAAACATAAGACTTCTCCTCCCTGCAGGTCCCACCCCCAGCTAGGGCTGCTGCAGGGCCTGCCTACCTTGGGAAAAGGGAATGTATCCAGCTTGTCATGTTTCTCACTCTCTTCCTCCCCACTCGAGAACTGCTAAGTCTGACCCCTGGGAGCAGCCGTTTGAAGAGGGAGGAGGAGTTGCAGGGAGCAGGGAAGTTCTGCCTTTAGTAGGATGCTTTTACCAAGGCTCGGGCTCATGGGCCTGGATCAAGCATAAGGCATCTTCCCTGTGGATGCCCTGGTAGAGTATGAAGGATTCCCCCAGCCTGGGAACCTTCCCTGTGCACTCTTCACTAAGCACTGCATCCCTAAGCCGTGGGCCACTTCAGTTCTTCCACAGCCTCCACACTTCCAGCAGTTCACTTCCAGATCCTGTCAGCTGAGGACCCAATCCCCCTAGGGAGCATATGGAACAGGATGGAAGATCTCAACACTATCTTTTTCATGTACGTGGCCCACATCTAGTTCACATAAACACATGCTAAAGAAACACTCCCACAATCTTTGCCCAACCCCTAGGGGGCAGGCCAATCCCAAACCAACTACTCCCAACTACCCCCACCTGCATACTCCACCAGGACATCCACAGAGAAGAGTCAGCCTTCTGCTGTTCAGGCCCAAGAGCCAGAGCCTTCTTAGGAGCATCCTACTCAAGTCAAAACATTCCTGCTCCCTACAACTCCTCCTCCCTCCTCGAACCACAGCTCCTGGACGCCAGACTTAACAGTTCTCAAGTGGGAAGGAAGTGAGTGAGAAGCAGCGAGGAAGCCAGAGGCTCTTGCCCTTTATGTATTTTTGACTTGAGTCCGACCCTGGTCCACAGTGCCCCAACTGAGGGGTATGCCTCCCAGCTCTCCACGTTTCCCTGCCAACGCTCCTGAACCCGAAACTACACTTGGGGCAAGGGGCAAGCTCAAGGCTGCTTGCCCCAAACCCCTTCCCCCATCATTAGGAAAATGCAACAAAGATTTGTCTAAATAAATGTTTACAAAATCTTTTTGTATCCCCCTTATAGAGTATTTGGAATTGCAAATTCAGTTCTTAGTATTTCCTTTACAAATCTGCTCTTTATTTTGTAATTTGTATGTATACTATGTCTTTTTTTCCTATACATTTTATTGTGGTTAAATATATATAATGTATAACTTACCATTTTTCAGAATAGAATTCAGTAATATTAAGTACACTCACTGTGTTGAGCAATCATTACCACCATCTATCTCCATAACTCTTCTCATCTTCTCAAATTGAAACTTTGTACCCATTAAACAATAACTCCTAAGCCCTCCTCCACCAAACCCTGGCAGCCACTATTCTACCTTCTGTGTCTATGATTTTGACGACTCTAGGCACCCTATATGAATGGAACCATACAGCATTTGGGTCAAAGACAAATGCTATATGGTTCCATTCATATAGGGTAGATCAGCTCTCAACAAAGGGCATTCTTGAATGGCAGCCAAGAATGTTGTTTCTGTTGCTTAAGTCACCCAGTTTGTGGTCCTTATTATGACAGCCCTAGCTATAGGCTCTAAGGAAAAAAGGCAGCAAGACTGGGCATCAATGATCAAGGACTGTTGCTTATGAGAGGTGAGGGTTTCAATGTGAGCTTTTAATCTAGTAAACTCTCTATTTCTTTTCTTATGTATTTGTTTCTTGCCACTCAAAAATTCTCTTTCATTCAGCATAATGTCAAGGTTCATCTCTGTTGTAGTATGTGTCAGCCCTGAATTCCTTATAAGGCTGAATGATATTCCATTAAATGTTTTGACTACATTTTGTTTATCCCTTCATTTGTTGATGGACATTTGGGTTGTTTGCATCTTTTGGCCATTAAAATTAATGCTGTTATGAACATGGGTGTACAAATATTTCTTTGAATCTCTGTTTTCAATTCTTTTGGATATATGCCCAAAAGTGAAATTGCTAGGTCATAGTAACTCTATTTTTAATCTTTTGAGGAACTACCATACTGTTTTCCATGCAGGCTGCACCATCCTATATTTCTACCCGTGATGCACAAGGTTTCCACTGTCTCCACATCCTCACCAACACTTGTTATTTTCTGTTTTATTGATAATAGTCATCCAAATGGGTACAAAGTGATATTGTATCACAATGATAAATGATTAGTGGTGTTGAACATCTTTTCATATGCATTTTGGCCACCTGTATAACTTCTTTGGAGAATTGTCTATTCAACTCCTTTGCTTATTTTTGAGTAGGATTGTTAGTTTCATTTGTGTTGATTTACTGGAATTCTTCATATATTATAGGTACTAATCCCTTATCAGATGTATGATTTGTAAATATTTTCTCCCATTCCATCGGTTGCCTTTTCACTCTGTTGATAGTGTCCTTTGATGCTCAGAAGTTTTTAATTTTGACGAAGTTCAGTTTATTTATTTTTTCCTTTATTGCCTGTGATTTTGGCATCATCACCAAGAAATTATCTCCAAGTCCAACAACATGAAGATTTTACCCTATGTTTTCTTCTAAGAGCTTTATTTTCTTAGCTCTTGCATTTAAGTCTTCAATCCATCTTGAGTTAATTTTCATATATGGTGCAATGTAAGGGTCCAACTTCTTTCTTTGGCATAGGAATATTCCATTTTCTCAGCATCATTTGTTGAAAATGCTGTCATTTTTCCACTGAGTGGTCTTCACACTCTTGTCAAGAATCATTTGACTGTAACTGTGAGACTTTATTTCTGGGCTCTCTGTTCTATTCCATTGGTTTATATGATTGTCTTTATGCCACTACCACACTGCTTTCACTACTGTAGCTTTGTAGTGAGTTTTGAAATCAGGATGCATGAAACCTCCAACTTTGTTCTTCTTATGTGTAGTATGTCTTTGTGCCTCAGTGGCAACTTCCATTTATTGGCCTGTTATATTTCTATACTTTTTTATGCATGGCTGAAACCATTCCCCTTCCCATAAAGCTTTCTCAGTCTCTCCAACAAAGGACTTCATTGATCCTTCCTCTGGGCTATCCAGCTAAAAGGAAGAAAGGGGTGGACAAAAGTGACCTATTTTGTGTCAAAAGCACCTGTCTTTTGACTGTCTGTATTCCCCACAAGGCATGAACAACTAAAGACATGTGTGCTCCCTGAACAGGGTCAGGGATAGGACAGGCCTCACTTCATGTAGGACTGACAGCATGAGGACATCCTTCACTCTCGGAAGCTCTCTGAGAGAATATTCTGGATAATTGAGGCCTCAGCTTTGAATGCCAACACCTGCCTAAAATGTTTGACCATTTTGCATGAAACTCTTCCTGCCTGGGTTTCATACTCCATGCCTTCTAAATAGAAAACTCATAATGACCACAGTCACCTTTCCTTGATGACTCTGGGTCATCCGTATGTGTGTGAATCTTGGCTGCTACTCAAGAATGCCCTTTGTTGAGAGTTGATCTACCCAGTTTTATAGGTCTGTTTGCCCCGATTTAGTCATCTTTTACATTGTCTTTCCTGGTCTTTCCAGGTTTAATGACCTCTCATGCACCATCAACCCATCAGCTGCCATTCTCCTTGCTGTCCCTGTGTAGCTTTGCCCCCTCTCTTCTAATTTGTTGTGAGTTGGGATATGAATAACAAGACTCTGGCTAAAACAAAAATAAACAGTCTCTGAGTGGGGTCACAAGGCTCACTGATAAGTCAAAGATTTAGGTTTTGGGCATGAGTTTTAGAATGTCTATTCTGGCTGTTTCAAAGCCTTTTTTGCTCCCTTCCTCATGCTCTGTTGGTCTCTGGGCTGCTAATGTGCCTGGTTAGCTTACAGATAAGTCTTAGATGCATTCGAGGAGAGGCTACTATAAACCCAAACCTGCTAGTTTTGGATTAGGTAAGTGTGCAGGGTTTGGGGGTCAGCCTCATGTATCTGTGAGGTAGATGGGAAGACAGAGCATGCAGGCAGCAGAACACTGTCCTAGTCCATCCCTACTGCTACAGCAAAACACCTAAGACCAGGTAATTTATAAAGTACAGGAATTTATTTCTCACAATTCTGGAGGCTGGAAGTCCAAGATCAAAGCCCCAGCAGGTTTGGTGTCTGGTGAGGGCCCAGTCTATGCCTCCAAGACGGCACCTTGTGGCTGTGTCCTCACATGGCAGAAGGTAAAAAGGCAAAAGGGCCTGGCTAGTTCCCTTAGCCCTTTTATAAGGTACTGATCCCACCCATGAGGGAGAAGCCCTCACGGGCTAATCACTCCTAAAGGCCCTACCTCTTAGTACTGTTGCATTGGGGATTCAGTTTCAACATGAATTTTGGAAGCAACACAAGCATCCAAACTATAGCAAACCCCAAGGGCTGGGTGAGGGGGCTCCTTGTGGGGAGCATAGAAAGAAGTACAAGACTCAGCTGTCTTCTCCCTGCGACATTCCTTTTCCCATCTCTGGAAGAGTCATCCGGATCCAGAGCCCTCACTATGGTGTGCTCAGAGGCCTAAGCTCAGACCACTCCTTCCCTGCTCCCTGATTAACACCCAGAGATCTGCCAGCCTCATTCCCCACTGTCCCTGTATCCAGCTCACCCCCAGGGACCACTGGGCACCTGGTCCATCACATTTTCCTGATGTTTCTAATGCTGCCCCTCCTGCATCCCTGTTCGTCTGATAAACTTGCCTTTAAACGTGTATATGAAGGACTCTTCCTCTGGTATCTAATCCTAACAGGTGCTAGATCCCACAGAGCCCTGTCCAGCTGGGGACTATGCTGACCTCTCTCCCAGATCAATATCCCTCTCCTCGGGGCTCAGCCTGGCCAGTGCCTGATGTTCTGGGATAGGAGAACTGGGGAGAGAAGGCCTAGGACCCTGCCTCTCACTTTTCTTTCCACCAAAAGGGGAAAAAAGAGGATCTGGTCCTCACACCCAGCCTTGGGATACTTATAAGATGCTGGGGATAGGGTGTGGGACAGGGCCAGTGAGAGCTGGGGATGGGGTGTGGGACAGGGCCAGTGAGATCTGTTTTCCTGCTGCTCCAGTCTGGGCCCTACAGCAGATGCATGCAGAGTAATATTTGTAAGACTGAAATATTCCAAATGCAGCTACTTTGGAAGGACCATGTGAGCAGATATCTAAGTGCGTGGCATCTGGGCCCCTTGGCTAGATGGTGGTCGATGTTGGTTTCTTTGTGTTAACCCCAAGAACATTCAGTAGCTCAGGGTTTGCAGAGGTTCTCAGGAGCACATCTTAGCCTCATTGGTGGTGTGAGGCAGGCAGGGCACAGGTCACACTGATGAGGACACCCGGGCCCAGAGACATTTAGCAACCTGCCCAAGGGCATCTGTAGTTCAGTGAGAGGTGGAGCTGGGACTGAAATCTAGGCTGCCTGAGTCCCAGAGATGGTCTTCCCTGGACCCAGGGAGCACTGTATCTTTTTCAGGGAAGGCCTCCTGACCACAACCATTTCATCTGTCACAGTACAGAATAGGAAGTATGGGTCAGGCATCAGAAGATGTGAATTCTGGCTCTGCCTTTTCAGAGATGGCCCTGCCTAGTTCCTTGGAATAAATGATGATGTCTTCCCCAGCCTCAGTTTCCTACACTATATAAAAAGAGAAAGCAACATCTAGGTAGGTTGGAATGGGAGTACATGAGGTGGTGGCCACTTTGCTAGGGTCACAGTAGACTCCTCACCTCCTTCCCCTTGTCTTCCTCTCACTAGGTAAAAGACAATTGTATTGAACTCTTAAGAAAATTGGACTCCAGTCCCGGCTCCACCTTTACTTCCCTGGGCCTTGGTTTTCCCACCACACAGGAGTTTGAACACTTTGATTTCTGAAGTCCTTCCCACCTCTGGGGTTCCAATATTCTGCTCCTTTTCTCCTCTTCCTCCTCCCCCTCCTTTCTCCTCCTGCTCATCTGGGGTTAGGGAGATTGCGTGTATGTGTGTGCCTGTGTGTACACATGCATGTATGTGTGTGCACGTAGTGGCAGCAAGGAAGAGGAAGGAAGGAGTCCTGCAGGGGTTGGTGGTGGCAGTTGGGAGAAAAGGAGGCAGGACTGTATGTGCCAGCAGGGCTCAGAGTTTTCTCACCAACTAATGGTGCTTGGGGCAGTTTAATCATTAAAGGAAAGGAATGAAGCCAGGAGCGCCTCAAAGTCCAGCCTGCTGTTGACCAACACTAACAGATGAGCAAGGAGCTGGCAGCAATGGGGCCTGGAGCTTCAGGGGACGGGGTCAGGACTGAGACAGCTCCACACATAGCACTGGACTCCAGAGTTGGTCTGCACGCCTACGACATCAGCGTGGTGGTCATCTACTTTGTCTTCGTCATTGCTGTGGGGATCTGGGTAAGTGGGCCCTGAGGCTGGGGCTAGCAGGGGAGGTAGTAGTGGTCTCTCAGCTTGGGTGGGGCTGTGGAGCTGGGGCAGGGCTAGGCAGAAAGAAGCAGATCATAGAACCATGTGGCTGAGAAGGAAGGGCCTTCAGGAATCAGGCTCCTGATCTCCTCATTTTTAGAAGGGCAGAGAGGGGTGTGGCTGGTCTGAGGTCACACAGAGAGTCAGAGGCAGACCAGGCCCCCGACTCCTGACTCCTCTCTGAGCACCTGCTGCCTTTGGCCCCAACCATCCCTGGTTGCCCTGAGCCTCACTCCTTCCTTCTTCCCACCCCAAGGCCCCCAACTCTGAGAACTCTTGACCCCTGGCCCTACCTCAGTCCTGCATTCGTTAGCATCTTGGCTAAGGTGATTTCTAAATGAGAAGGGGCTCATGTGCTCTCAGGGAAGTGTGCCAGGCTTATTCCAAGGTTCCTCTGTTCTCCATTGTTCCCAGGAGCCTCAGTGCTAGAGGCAGGGGCCAGGCTTTGGGGTCAGGGAAACCTGAGTTCAGGTCCCAGCTGCAACAATGAGAGCCTCATGTCCCTGGGAACATATGAGGCCTATCAGCTTTCTCAGGTGAACAATGAGAATAAGGACTATGCTGTGATCATTCAGCAACAGGACATACTGCAGCACCTGGCACGGTGCCTGGTGCCCGATCAGCAGGCAATAAATGGCTGCTATTATCACCACGCATTCCACAGAAGTGTGAGCACCTTTAGACTCTGCTGTGATTCAAGTCCCAGATGGTCACTTCCTAGGCTGTGGCCAGGTCAGAGACCCTCTCTGAGCCTCAGTTTCCTCATCTATAAAGGGGGGTGAACAGTCCCTGCCTTCTAGTGCTGGTGTGAGGAAGAATTGGGCTAACAGATGGTCACTGGCTCCTGGAAGTGGCCAGCCGAGAAAAGCACCAACTCCTCTGTGACTTTGGACAAATTGCTTCCAATGTTGGGCCTCCATTTTCACATCTGTAAAATGGATCTGTTTTGCTCGTATGGCCTCCAAGAGGATCAGAGCTGACAAGGAAAATACAAGCAAAAGCTTAACAAGCACAAGGCCCCACACATATTTATCACTCCCTCGTGACTGATTATTTTCCCTTAGGGGAAAGTCAGAGAACTGTTGGCTTTTGCATCTGAATAGCTGCTTCAAGTTCATCCTTCCCTACCCACTGCCCTGCCCTCACCCTGTATCTCCAGAGAATATTCCAACAGGCTGCTAACTGACCACCTACTGGTGTAAGACAGGGAGGTCCTGGATGGGGCTCAGTGGCGTGATCTGATTTCAACCCAGGGCAAGGGAAACTCCAAAACAGTACCCATAACTCTACTCAGGGCTCAAAGTCTCACAGTCAAACTGCAGCCCTCTCTGTCCTCCCGCCTCCAGTGTGGGAGCTCAGCTGGGAGCAGGGAGGGGATCAGCTCAGAGAAAGGGTGAGCACTACACATCTAAGGAGGTGATAACAAATCATACTCTGAAAGCGCACTTTGGGGAGGGAAGGATAAGGGGACAAGAGTGCACAATCAATGGCTTCACACACGTGACATCCGTTACCTCCTTTGCTCTTCGCACTGGCCCTGGGAGATGAATGGCGAGGCTCACAGAGAAAGTGACTCTGCCAAGATACATCGCTTAGAAACTGTGGAACCAGCCTCAGGCAGCTCTCTTCTGCCTCAGTTTTCACCCTCTGTGTCCCCACAGTGCCTGCACCGAGGGGAAGGAAATCTGCGGGGAGGGGGCAGGGCAGAGGTTCAGAGAGTCTTGAGAAATCCTCATCTCATCTATTTCCTTTCCAGTCGTCCATCCGTGCAAGTCGAGGGACCATTGGCGGCTATTTCCTGGCCGGGAGGTCCATGAGCTGGTGGCCAGTGAGTTGACCCTTCTCAACCACCCCTAGTGCAGAGGCTCCCAACTTTCTTCCTCCCCACTATCCAAGCACTTGTCCCATCTTCTCACACCTGGACCAAGGCAAAGACCTCCCCGTTGTGTTTCCTGACTCTGGGCCCCTTCTCTCCCGCCCAAACCCGCCCCGCAACCTGAGTGGTCCTGCTAGCACGCACCTTGGACAAACATCCCCTGGCCCCTCCTAGGTGTGGCCCTACATCTGGCACTTGACTTGCAGTGATGAATCTGGAATGTCCCTGTCCTAGAGAAGCTCAGAGCTGAGTGGGGCAGATAGATTCATAAACATCATGCGCACTGCTGAGCCAGAGGGAAGCAGGGGGCACTCACCAGAGCTTGGAAGCCCCTGACCACCAGACAGTGGAGTCAGCTAGGGTTAGGAAAGATTTTGGGGGGAAGGTGACACATAAGCTTAATATTGAAGAACAGTTAAGTTAAGGGAATCACAGAGGTAAAATCCCCAGCAATCTCAGGGAATCGATCCCCAAAACTTTGTGAGCCACAGTTTCTCCCATCAAGCCACACCACATTTCTAAGTTAGGGGAATCACAGAGGTAAAATCCCCAAAAACCTCAGGGAATCGATCCCCAAACCTTCGTGAGCCACAATTTCTCCCATCAAGCCACCTCACATTTCTATTGGTCCTCAAAATTAACTTCCTCCTCCTGGAATGGGATGGAGGGAGGAAAGCCCTGCCTCAAAAATTACCAGTAGAGTCATCAGCCCCAGTGGTAGCTGAAGCAGTATACACACCCAGGCATGCAAAACTCACACACGGCATGTGTGCATACCCACTCCCACATGCACACTCTCACACACTGACACACAACACTCACACTCACATACAAAGGCACCCACACATGTTCATACATGCCCGCACTCATACATGCTTGCAAACTCATGCACACAATCATACTCCTATTCTCACACTCACACCTTCTCTCACGCACTCACACTCTCACTCTCATACACACTGTCACAATCACATACACTCACATGCAGTCTCACACTCATGCTCCTTTACATACTTACACGTGCACACTCAGACTCACACATTCATGCGCACTCACACCACCAGCCATCTTCACGCCTCTCCCCACCCTTCTCCTTCTCACCACCTTCCCCACTCTCTAGTGGTCACAGACTCATTAAAGAGTAGCAGAAACACAGGAGGCCTCCAGGGCTCTCTGGAAGGTTTAGGTATCTGGGACAGGAAGAAGTAGGAGCAGGGAGCTCTTGTCTGTCCAGCATGACAGAATCCCCAGGGATGGCGGGGAGCTGGGCCTTGCAGCTCAGGAACAGTGGCGGGGTCACTGGTGCTACAGCCACCTTCTCATCAGGAAAAAGGAAAAACCCTTCAAAATGGTTCTTTTCAGCTAGTGCCCCCCAAATCACAGCCCTGGAAATGAAGGAAAGGAGGAGAAAGAAGCAGGACAGAGCAGGTTCCTCTGACCACTTCAGGAGAAGCCCAGGGGCCCTGCTGATTGTCTGGTCAACCCACAGAGAGCCGAGCTCTGGCCCAACGATTAGTGTGAGGAACCTGAGGCCTCCAAACAAGAGGGAGGCCTTGGCAGGCACTCCCAGGTTCCCACTGCGCCCCAAACACAGAGCAGGCACCCAGTGGGAAAGAGAGGATGTGCTCCCCATCCTCTGGTGGGCCAGGCTGTGAGCTGTGCCTCCTGCACCTGAGACCTGGGTCCTGCCTGAGGCCAGAGTAAGAACCAGCTCTGGGTAGGGAAAGCTCAGTCCCACCAGCACTGCTGGAGTGTTTGTCTGGGCATCTGCCCTGCCCTGAGTCTGTGCCCCATGAACAGTGTGGGGCTTGGGAGGCTGAGAGCAGAAGGTGCAGTCGCCCGTCCTCTTCCAGAGAGGTCTGCATGGTCCTCCTCCCCATGCCTCCCCTGCTGATCTTGTTGATGTCTCCTGGGTTAGGAGCAGGAGAAGTGAGGTTAAAAACCCTGGGCTGGGTTGGGGTGGAGGTGCCTCACTGCTCCAAGAACTGCCTGGGGGAGGCTTCTTCCCCTGAAGTAGGAGGCCTTGGTGTTCTTTGCTCTGACTGGGTGGTTCAGCCCAGCCCTACCAGCACCCTGGGACCGCCTGAGAGAGGAAGAGTGAGTGTGTGTGTGAGTGCCTGTGTGAATTTGTTTCCATGTGTGAGTATGTATGCATGTGTGAATGTGGGCACTGTGTGTGTGCATGAGTGTGCTTGTGTGTGTGTGCTTTGCGAATGTATGTGCACGTGTGTGCATACCTGTGCGTGTGAGGGCATATGAGGACATGTGCATGTGTGTGAGTGTATGTGTGCGACGGTGCAAGTGCATGAGTGTGTGTGTCAGAGTGTGTGTGCGTGTGTGTGTGTACTGTGCCTGTGTGTGAGTGCATGTGTGTGTGCATGTGTGAGTGTGTGTGTACTGTGCCTGTGTGTGAGTGCATGTGTGTCAGAGTGTGTGTGTGTATGTGTGAGAGTGTGTGTGTACTGTGCCTGTGTGGGCGTGAGTGCATGTGTGTGTCAGAGTGTGTGTGTACTGTGCCTGTGTGTGATTGCATGTGTGAGAGTGTGTGTGTACTGTGCCTGTGTGGGCGTGAGTGCATGTGTGTCAGAGTGTGTGTGTGTGTATGTGTGAGAGAGTGTGTGTACTGTGCCTGTGTGGGCGTGAGTGCATGTGTGTGTCAGAGTGTGTGTAATTGCATGAGTGTGTGTGTACTGTGCCTGTGTGGGTGTGAGTGCATGTGTGTCAGAGTGTGTGTGTGTGTACTGTGCCTGTGTGTGTGATTGCATCTGTGTGTGCATGTGTGAGAGTGTGTGTGTACTGTGCCTGTGTGTGTGTGAGTGTACATGTGAGTGTGCATGTGCACATGTCAGAGGCGCTAGCACCAGGGCCTCAGCAATGTCAGGCCTGTTCCTCATTCTGTGCCTTTACACTGCTTACTGCCTTTGTCTGAATTTCTCAGTGCTTTTCCTCTCCTCTCACTTTCTCTCTCACAGCACCTCCGGAAGAACAGGAAGTTGGGCGGAAGTGAGTCCCACATTGTATAGGTGAAGAAGCTGAGGCGTTGATAGAGGAAGTGATTTTACTGTGGTGACATAGTATACAAAAAGGAACACGGCTCTGCCCCTAGCTGCCCCCAGCCCTCTCCCCGAGGTCTCCTTAAGCCTCCTCCCAGGCTCCAGAGCCCCTTCCTCTCCCCCTTCTCCCCTCCCAGTCAGAGATCCCATCTAATAATAAGAGAGAATATTGACCAAGTGCTCATTAAGTGGCAAGCACCATTTGTGTAGTGTTACTGGAGCCAGACAGCCAGGGATTGAATTCTCATTTGGTCACTTACTAGTTCTGAGACTTGGGCAAGTTACCTATCTGTGCCTCAGTTCACTCATGGGTAAGATGGGGATAAAAGTAGCACTGAGGGTTGTGGCGAGGATTAAATGAGTCCCCAAACTCAGAAGGCCAGCTGGTTCCTGGAGATGCTGCACAGGCCCTGACTGCCCTGATCATGCTCACCATCATCATTGCTCTCTACTGCCTCCAAGTGCTTGGCTGCGCCCCTGGAGAACTAACTCAGAGGTCGACCTGGCCTGTGCTCAGTCCCTCGGCTCCTCCCTCTGCCTGGCTATCCCTGGGGTGGTGGGAGGGCCTTTCCTTCCCTCCTGTGGGGCTTCCCTATCCCCTTCAGCTTCCTTCCTTTGGAGGCCCTCAGACCCATGGCCTCAGGGCGGAGGTCCACACTCCCCACTTCCAGGCTTCCTTCCCACTTTCCCTTTTTTCCCACTTCACCATTTACTCACTGGGTGACCTGGAGCCATGAATTCATCTTTCCTTACATTAGTTCCTTCCTCTGTAACCTGGGATGACTAATACCCCTCCCTGCGGATATCTGTGGAATTAAATGTATTTATGAATGCAGTGCCTGGCATACAGTGGGTACCCAACAAATATCAGCTCCTCACTACTCATGGTCCTCGCTCCAGATTCATTCAGATCACTCCTGACTCCTGACCCTTGACCCAACTGTGCCTTGCAGATTGGAGCATCTCTGATGTCCAGCAATGTGGGCAGTGGCTTGTTCATCGGCCTGGCTGGGACAGGGGCTGCCGGAGGCCTTGCCGTAGGTGGCTTCGAGTGGAACGTAAGGAAGCTGGCCTGGTTTCTCCAGAATACTGAGGGTCTAACCCACCTCTGTCTCTGGCATTAGTGCTGGGAGGATCCTTAGAGATGCCTGGGAGGCTACATGGTGAATCGAGAATCCATTTCACAATTGAGAATCCATTTCACAGATGAGGAAATCAAGGTCTGGAGGAGACAGAGGGATCCATCCAAGGTCACACGGGAGGACTGGGGTCAGGTCCCAGGTCTCTTATTTCTCTGTTCGGGGGCCTCCCACAGCACAGCACTGCCTCTGGGTGGGAAGCCGCCCCTCTGTCTACATCCAGGACCTGGATACCTTCTTCTTCTCCCCACTCTCCCAGGCAACCTGGCTGCTCCTGGCCCTTGGCTGGGTCTTCGTCCCTGTGTACATCGCAGCAGGTGTGGTCACAATGCCGCAGTATCTGAAGAAGCGATTTGGGGGCCAGAGGATCCAGGTGTACATGTCTGTCCTGTCTCTCATCCTCTACATCTTCACCAAGATCTCGGTAGGTGTCACTGCAATGTGGTCACTGTGTCTGGAAATGCTAATTAGGGAACTGCTGAGTGCATCACCATGTGCGTGTTGCTGAGGGGAAGCTGACAATCACTGTTGAAAAAAAGGAAAGCAGGACCTATAAACATTTAATGCATGTTCTGCCTCAGCACTGGGGTACTCAGAGATGAATGATAAATGTTTTTGGAGTGAATGACAGCCCCTACACTCAAATAAATCACAATCCAGAGTTCATTCATTTATTTTTTCATTAATGGATTCTTTGTTCATCAACTGTACATTAGTTGCCTAGATTTTTGGAGTTAGAAAGGTCTTTAGTCCTCCTCTACTGACCTAAAATCAGGAAACAAACCTAGACAGGTCAAATGACTTGCCCAAGCCCACACAGAGGGCTAGCTCTAGAACTGAAGCTGAAGTGTGGGTTCCATGACCCAGTCCAGGCTCCTTCCACTCTGTTATGTTTTAGACCCTGTAACAGGTTCACAAAACAATCATGGAATGGTATCCACAAGCATACACTAAAGAGAACTGAATCACTCCGTTGCCAGGTCTAGGGCTGAAAAACACTTTAAGGCCCTTGTTCCACCAATATTTGAGAACATCCTAAGTCAGCTTAAGCTCAGGCTATAAGCCCATGTCTGCTAATAAACCCAAGTATGTAGATGACCCAGACCCATGCCTATCTGCACCAGGGCTCCTGCCGCATTGGGTCAGCCGTGGGCCACCTGACAGCCAAGCAGGCTCTGCTCTGCCAGGGAGCAGCCAGCAACTCTCCGGTTCTTCCTCTCTTCTCCTAAATGAGCTCTTCTTCTCCAGCCCAGCACCTTCCTTCACTTCCTCAGCCTTCCACTTCATTCCTCACCACTCCCTTCATGTCCAGCAGACCAGCTACGTGATTAAATTTATCTCAGTTTGGAGGCTTTATACAGTACTTCTCTGCTTTAAAGTCTCCATGGCGCCTCAGTGTCTGCAAGATAAAACCCACACTCCTTAGCATAGCACTTAAAGCTCATTTTCATCATGTGATGAGGGCTGAGGGTGCCTGGTGTTGCTGGGCAGGCAGGTGATGTGTCCATACAACCCTACTGAGGGCCTCGGGTGGTCTGGCCTCTTGGGTCCTGGCTCTCTGCAGACTGACATCTTCTCTGGAGCCCTCTTCATCCAGATGGCATTGGGCTGGAACCTGTACCTCTCCACAGGGATCCTGCTGGTGGTGACTGCCGTCTACACCATTGCAGGTAGGCAGAGGGAAGAGGGCAAGAGGAAAGCTTCTGACTGGCAGAGACCCAGAGAGAAAGACTGAAGGAGAGACAACCAGAGAGAGAGACAGAGTGACAGAAAGCTGATGCTGACAGAGAGGAGAAACAGGAGAGGCAGAGACAAAGAGAGGCTGAGACAGAGACGTAGAAGAGAAGAACACAGGGGAACAGAATGACAGACACAGGGACAGAGACCAGGGGGATAAAAAGGGCAGAAATGGGAGGAGGAACAGGTCAGGCAGAGACAGGGAAGGAGAGACAGTAAGAAATACCACAAAAGACTAACTGCCTGGGGAGCAGGGTAGAGAGGAGGACTATGACCCAAGCCAGAGTCACTGCAGGCTGCCCCAGGCAGAGACCACAACCCACCTCCTCCAAATCTCCTTGCACAGGGCTGGGCACCCTGGGAGGCCAGCACAGGACAGCCTTACTTATGGTTAAGTTGGGGTCCAGAGACAGGGGGGCATTTAGATGGGCATTGGGAGGAGAAAGCAGGGAGTATTCCTGGCAGAACTGCAAGTCAAGGAATGGACTTGGGATATTAAACAATAACACAAAGCTGTGGTGTGATGGCCACAGTCAGCTGCTGTCAAGACAGAAAGAAGGGGCCCCAGCACCTTTGACTGTGACCAGCTGGCATCCTGCCGGGGAGGGAGAGAGGGGAACACTAGGTGCGGAGAAAGGCAGTGGCCAGAGTTCCCCTGCTAAGAGGGCTGTGTGTCTTCTCTGGTCTCCCCAGTGTGGCCATGCACAGGGCAGGCAGCCAGAGAGGACCCCAAACTGGTGCTGACTGATGAGCCCTCTCCTTGGGTCCCCAGGTGGCCTCATGGCCGTGATCTACACAGATGCTCTGCAGACGGTGATCATGGTAGGGGGAGCCCTGGTCCTCATGTTTCTGGGTAAGGAAGAGACCTAAATATACCCCACTGTCATTCTTAAATTCCTCTCTGTCCTGTCTCTGCCACCTCCACAGTTCGATTGAAACTTTCCAGTGCATAGAGCCATGTGAGCCATGTCCCCTCTCCAGGCTGCAGCTCCCAAAGAGCAGGGTTCTCGCTACTTCAAACCAAGGGTCTTGAGCCCAAGCCCCATCTTCCTCCTTCACCCCCAATCCCCATGCCAGTTCCAACCTGAGGGCCCACATGAGGCTGGGGCTGGGCTTGCTGAGTGACAGGCTCAGTGGGGTTTCAGGGCTGCTTCACTCACTGTCTCCTCACAGGCTTTCAGGACGTGGGCTGGTACCCAGGCCTGGAGCAGCGGTACAGGCAGGCCATCCCTAATGTCACAGTCCCCAACACCACCTGTCACCTCCCACGGCCCGATGCTTTCCACATTCTTCGGGACCCTGTGAGCGGGGACATCCCTTGGCCAGGTCTCATTTTCGGGCTCACAGTGCTGGCCACCTGGTGTTGGTGCACAGACCAGGTAATCCCCCAGCCAGGCTTAGCCCAGCCTGCCAGGAAGTGGGGTGGCTTCCTGCAGAAAAACCCAGTGCCTGGATGCATAGAGGGTTGGACCTCATTCTGGGATTGTGACTGGACTGGAGTAGGGACACAGTCATGCCCAGTGTCAGGGCTCACCTGTGGCTTAATGAGCCTCTCCTCTACCTGCGCTGCACTCCTCATTTGCTGCCCTTTCAGGTCATTGTGCAGCGGTCTCTCTCGGCCAAGAGTCTGTCTCATGCCAAGGGAGGCTCCGTGCTGGGGGGCTACCTGAAGATCCTCCCCATGTTCTTCATCGTCATGCCTGGCATGATCAGCCGGGCCCTGTTCCCAGGTAAGAACGAGCCTTGCTCTCTGGGTATTGGGATCTGAGGCTTTCAAGGAGTGTCTGGAGAATGGGAATGTGGCCCTGGACAATGTTAGGCCAGAGCAGGGGTTGGCAAGGTTTGTCTATTAAGAATACATAGCCGGTCATGGTGGCATGCACCCATAGACCCAGCTACTTGGAAGGCTGAGGATCCTGAGTCCAGGAGCTTGAGTCCAGGAGGTTGAGGCTGCAGTGAGCTGTGATTGCCCCACTGCATTCCAGTTTGGGAGACAGAGCAAGAGAAACCCTATTGAAAAGAAAGAAAAGTAAAGAAAAGAGAAGAGAAGAGAAAAGAGGGAGGGAGGAAGGAAGGAAGGGGAAAGGAAGAAAAGAAGAAGAAAGAAAAAGAAAAAGAAAGGAAGGAAGGAAGGAGAAGAAAGGAAGAAAAAGAAAGAAAGAAAAGAAGAAGAAGAAGAAAAAAAGGAGGAGGAGGAGGAAAGAAAAGGAAGGAAGGAAGGGGAAGGAAGGAAGGAACGAAGAGAGGGAGGGAGGGAGGGAGGGAAAGGAAAGAAAAAGAAAAGAAAAGAAAAAAGAAAAGAAAAGAAGGCCAGGCATGGTGGCTCACTCCTGTAATCCCAGAACTTTGGGAGGCTGAGATGGGCGAATCATGAGGTCAGGAGTTCGAGACCAGCCTAACCAACATGGTAAAACCCCGTCTCTACTAAAAATACAAAAATTAGCCGGGCGTGATGGCACATGCCTGTAATCCCAGCTATTCAGGAGGCTGAGGCAGGAGAATCACTTGAACCCAGGAGGTGGAGGTTGTAGTGAGCCAAGATTGCTCCATTGCACTCTAGCCTGAGTGACAGAGCGTGACTCCATCTCAAAAAAAAAAAAAAAAAAAAAAAAAAGATAGAAAAGAACACATAATAAGCAGTTTAGGCTTTGTGGGCCAAACATATGATAAGTATTTCAGTAGAAAAAATGTGAATCAGGTAATAAGTATACGGACGAGAAATTTACCAAAGACCCAGACACCATTTGCCCCCCAACCTTGTAGACATGGGTCCCTGTCAGAGTCTCCAGTGAACATTATCCTGTAGTTTTGGAAAGCAAATACTAGGCCAACCTGAGAAGGCACGAGATCACGGACTCTAACTGCCATTACTTCTTCCACAGACGAGGTGGGCTGCGTGGACCCTGATGTCTGCCAAAGAATCTGTGGGGCCCGAGTGGGATGTTCCAACATTGCCTACCCTAAGTTGGTCATGGCCCTCATGCCTGTTGGTGAGTCTCTTCTCCCCACCCCACCCTGCACTCTCACCTCCAGCCTCCTCCAATCTCCACTGCCCAGGAGGGAAGGCACTAACATGGATGGGAAGAGGGAAGAAAACTATTCACCTCTGCACCCCCATCCCAACACATACACACACGTTTTACAGGCATTTGTACGTAAGACACCAGCTTTGTGGGCAGGTTCTGGAGATGCAGAGATAAAAGGCAGGCCCCTGCTCAGGCATCATGCGGTCTCCAGGGTACCTGGACTTGCCACAGGCACAATCCAGTGGGACCAGTGTGGTGACCCAGTATGGGCTAAGGGAGCCCTAAGAAGGCACCTGACCCAGCTGGAGGATGTCTGGAATGTCTCCCAGAGGGAAGGAAATGGAGCTACATCCCGAGTTAAATCTTAGGCAGACACAGCCGGAGGAGCATGGGAAATGTCATTCTAGGGATGAGAAGCTGTGCGTGCAAAGGCCCAGGGTGAAGAGAGGGCAGGAAGTCTGAATTGAAAGCAGCCCAGTGTGGACGCAAGAGCCAGGAGGAAGGAAGACAACCTTCCTGGTGGGGATGTCACAGCCAAGCCTTGTTCTAGAGCAGAGCGCTGGGACACTGCGGGGTTTTGGTCAGAGAGAGCATGACTGGATTTGTGTTTTAGCAAGACCAGTCTGTGTGGACAACTCTGTACGAGGCAGGCTTGTGGGTAGGCAGGGAGATTGTCCATGGGGAGTTTGCAGTGGTCCAGGTAGGTGGACCAAGTCAGTGGCATCAGAGATGGAGAGAAGGGATTTAAAGATGTTTGTGAGGTTGAATTGACAGGACTTGATTTGAGGGATAATATAGACAGAGAAATCCAAGAAGCCTCCCAGATCTTGGCCTTTAGGTGGTGGGCTTATAATAATATTGAGATTAGGGACATATGAAGAGAGGTGGGATTATGGAGGGCAGCAGAGTAGAGTTATTCCCTCCCTGTGGTAGAAGGAGGAGTGAATCCGGGAAGTAGTGGCCATGGAGGGAGGCCCAGCTAGGACAGAGCTGCCCTGAGGGGCAGGTTGGAGGTAAGCAGGGAGGGGAGCAGAGCAAGGGTCTCAGGTAGCCCTAAGGTCTGCTGTGAGGCTGGAAAGACAATAACTAAAGAGGGGAACAGAAGGCCCCAGAGGGAGATGGGCACCTGAGTTTGGAGCACTTGAGCCTGAGGCACCTGTGACACTTCAAGGGAGAGAGGGGGACATCAGAAGGTGGTTAAATATATGGATTTGGAAGGAAAGAGGACTGAGGTGGCACCAGGGCTGGGATCATCTCCCCAGGGGTGAGCAGCCATATCTCTAGAAGCTTGGTCACTGTCAGAGAAACTTCAGATACCAGTGGGTCCCATCCTCCCTTGTTCAAGTGGAAAAATAGGCCCAGAAATGGCAAGGAGCTAGTCCAAGGATCATACATACAGCTGGTTACTTGCAGAGCCAGGAAATAAGCCCAAAGCTGCTACCTCCCAAGCCAGGGCTTTAGCCCAACACCACCATGTCAATGAAGAAGGTATGGAAACACTAAACAGATCCACCCAATTATTAATAATCACCTTTCTCTTCTCCCCAGCAGCAACCCACTAACCAAGTGTCTACAAGCTGTGAAACCTAGACTGAGATGTCGAAGCTTCAGAGAACCTTAGAGATTACCTAGTCTTACATAACTTAATAGGATAGATGAGGAAACTGAGGCTTAGGGTGGGGGGTGGAGGGGCAAATGAGTCACCCAAGGCCACATAGCAAGGCAGGGACAGAGCCTGGGCAGAACCCAGCCTCTAGTTCTGTGGTCTAGGATTTCTTATCTGTGCTGGATGGGAGCCTCATCCAACCCCTTCCCTCTCTCATCCCCACCCCCAGCTCCTGACTCTACAGAATGCTCCAGCAGCCTCTGTAGTCCTGGAAGAGCCGGCCTTAATGGGCCAGCCGTTCACATGAGCCTCGTCTCTCCCCAGGTCTGCGGGGGCTGATGATTGCCGTGATCATGGCCGCTCTCATGAGCTCACTCACCTCCATCTTCAACAGCAGCAGCACCCTGTTCACCATTGATGTGTGGCAGCGCTTCCGCAGGAAGTCAACAGAGCAGGAGCTGATGGTGGTGGGCAGGTGCGCCGGCCCCTCCTTCCCTCCTTCCGAAGTGCCCTCTCCCCTCTGCCCTGCCCTGGGTTACCCTGAACAGAGGTGGCTGGGTTGGACCCTGGACTGGCAGCCAGAGCACCGGGTTCAAGCTCCAGCTCTCCACATGATTTCAAGTAAGTCCTTCGCCAACCCTGGACCACTCCTCCTTTCAGAATAATAGGAAAAAACACCTCTTCCCTGGTAACTTTATCTTGAAATTGATCAACAGGGTTGTCGAGAGATGAAAAAGTACTTAAGAAATGAAAGGTAAACTGTGTAAGTGCATGGAAAGTTAGCAAGCAGCTCACCCAAGGTATTCCCAACCAACTCCGGATGTTAAGCCCGGTTAAAAAAAAATGCTATTAATTTGATCCATCAGATTCACTCTGAACATCTACTGTGCATCACATCCCACATGCAGGGGACCCACGGATGGGTCATATGGCCCTGCCCTCAGCGTGCTCACAGTTTATTAAGGAAGGTAGAAACACAGGTAACACAGCAAGGTATTTGCGTCAATGGAGATTTTCATAGGAGGGCTCTCTCCAAATGATGCAGAGCCTTGGACACCAAGCTAAGGAATTCGAACTTTATCTTGTGGGTAACAGTTTTATGCTTTTAAAAGCATAACTTGGTGGCTAAAATTTTTGGTTTTCCATAGGCTGGAGATTTGTAGTTTACATAAGGTTAAGGGGCCCTTTTTTAGATCTTTGCTTCATAATCGAAGGTTCCCTAACTTGGATTTCTGGACTAAAGTTCTCCCACTTTGTGGATAGGTACTTGAATTTAGGAAGCTTGCTCTTTCACATCTCCCTGCCTTTGCACTCACTGTTCTTTCCACTAGGATGCCTTCTGCCCAGGGCTGCCTAATGGATTCCTACTGCTTGCTCATCTGTGCACCCCCAGCCCTAGGCAAGGGGACTGGCCATTGCAGGATCTGAGTGCAGGACAGATTGTGCAAAGAGGAGGGGGATGAGCAGCAGGGAAGCTACTTGGGGGGCTGATGCTCTAGTGGAGTCTGAGAGAGGCAAAATGGGAGGAAAAGGAGAGGAGAAGACAGGTATGCAGTGACATGTCAAAAGAAGCATTCCTTATCTGTGCATATGAACTGGTTTTGCTACCATTTCCTCAATCAGTGAGGTTTGTGCTCTATCTACTGGTCATATGTGTTATTGCACCCAACACATCCAAGAAAAGTTTTTCATCAACAACTTCACACATCTGCAAAATCATACATGCAGAATGCTTTGGGGACTTAGGTCTGAGCCACAGTTTGTTGAGAAGGAGTCAGGTGAATAAGTGGGATTCTTTCCCAAGATCAATGCCACAGTAAGGGAGAGAGGATCAGCGCGTGGAGGAAGGAGCAGTCCCTGGAAGCTGCAGTCATCCTGGGAAAGAGCTGCCCTACACAGGGCAGGGATGGAAAAGAGAAGACATTCTAAGCAGAGACCAGAGGCCTTTGACTGGGGTGGGGGGTGGGGTGGAATGTATGAATTCCTCCTTGAACAGCAACAGGTGGGTGACATGACCTTGAAGCCGTCTAATATATAAGTGCCACGGAGGCATTAGAATTATAAGGTTCTTCAGTTCCAAAATTCCTATATTCTGGGATTTTAAGACTAAGTTTCTGAATCTTAGTATTTGAGATTCTGGCTGCCAACCTTCTCTGATCTAGTGATTGTACATTCCCCTTCTTTCTCCCTTCCTGGTTCCTGTGCATCACCTTCACCCCACACCACACCATGCCCACCCGAGTGTGCCTCAGTGCCCTGTGCTCTCTCTGGCAGAGTGTTTGTGGTGTTCCTGGTTGTCATCAGCATCCTCTGGATCCCCATCATCCAAAGCTCCAACAGTGGGCAGCTCTTCGACTACATCCAGGCTGTCACCAGTTACCTGGCCCCACCCATCACCGCTCTCTTCCTGCTGGCCATCTTCTGCAAGAGGGTCACAGAGCCCGTGAGTGCAGTGTACCTGTCTCTCACATACAGCAGAGGGGCTGGAGACCTGGTCTGTCAATCACCTGGTCTCTGTGACCTTGAGAAAATCCACTTCCCCTCTAGGCTTCCATTTTCCTGACCACAGCATCCAGCCTAGATTCATTCATTCACTCAACAAACATTTATCAGCCTTATAATGGCAGCTCCAGGGATGCAGTAGTTTACGAGATTCACATAGATGGGCCATCACTTGGCTGGCAGAGAGATAACTGAATAAACAATAGTTACAAAGTATGCTGGCTGGTGGGAGAGTAAAGGGCACAAGCACCTAACCTATGGGGCTCCTGGGAGGAGTCAGGTAAGACTTCCTGGATGAAGTGACATCTGAGCTGAGGCCTGAAGGATTAATGAGAGGGGGAAGAATGTTCCAGACACAAGGAACAGTGTGTGTGAACGTGCAAGAGAGACTGTAAGATCTCTAGGGTCTGTTCCATGTCTAACAATATAAGGTTCTATGTGTAAGCAAAATAACAGCAATGACAATGATGATGACAAAGTGTGACCTTACAAGGGCTCCTGCACTTGCATTATTCATGCAGTGCCACTGAAACCTGACAGAATCTGGGAGGAAGCTAGCGGTACCCCAGGGCTGGAGCCTTGGTTACTCCCCAGGATAGCCTAGAAGAGACAGGCTGGCTGTACCTTGAGAAGCTGAGGGATATCATGGACACCACTCCACAAAAATAATGTGAGAGCTCAAGGTCATTGAAAATGAGGTCATGGAACCCCCTCCCTTGATGGTGCACCTAAGCAAGTGTCTACTGTCTGCACAGGTCTCATCTCACTGACAACCATGCCGCACAGCAGTACCTGGCTGAACTCTGGGTGTTTCTGCTCATTCCAAAGTTTTTGAAATCAGGATCAGTATCTCCCATACTCTTACATGCTGGGAACAGGTACAGGTTAGGGCCAAATGGAGCTATAAAGAAGAAAGACATGAGAAGTACCAGAGCTTTTCTTAAAAACAACAGCAACTAAAGGAAAGTCTCTATTCTGATTTCTGATTTATCATGACAGAAGTTTGGGAAGGGGATCCTGGTATTCCCTGATTATTACAAAAGTTTATTCCATTTTAGTTGAATATTAACCATCTGTTAATTAACTTAGTACTGATTTAATTTTATGAATTTTTAAATTACTGCCCCCAATAAGAAAACTCTGAGTCAGCACGGCCGAGTCATTGGTTCAGTCAGTTCACAATGGAGCCAGGATTCAAATCTTAGTCTACCTGACTCTAGAGCCCCTATTCCACTGTGCCTTTAAGTCAAGACGAAGTCTCAGTATTAATGGAGAACTCATTTTCCCATTAGTAGATGGATTTGCCCAACATGGCAATAAACCAGTGGGAGAGAGATTTGGGGAGAGAGTAGTTTTACCTTCCTAGGGTCTCCCACCTGGATCTCACCTCAGCTCTTGTCTGCCCTCTCTCACAGGGAGCTTTCTGGGGCCTCGTGTTTGGCCTGGGAGTGGGGCTTCTGCGTATGATCCTGGAGTTCTCATACCCAGCGCCAGCCTGTGGGGAGGTGGACCGGAGGCCAGCAGTGCTGAAGGACTTCCACTACCTGTACTTTGCAATCCTCCTCTGCGGGCTCACTGCCATCGTCATTGTCATTGTCAGCCTCTGTACAACTCCCATCCCTGAGGAACAGGCAAGTGTTGTGCTCATACTGAGGCCCTCCAGAAATGCTCTCCCTTCCCCCATAGCCTAGAATTCCACTGCTGACTTTTACTCTGTTGGGTTATGGTCTCCCCTGTGGCCACACAGATGTCCTTGGGAGGGAAAGTGCCTTGGGCTATGAATTCCCCATTGAAAAGTAATTCATTCAACTCGAAAATTACTCAGTGAGTACTTACTATGTGCTAGGCACTGTGCTGGGCTTACAAAGATGAATGGTCCCTGCCAGAGACTATCCTCAGGGAGAAACAGACGCTGACACAAGCTATCACTATACAAAGAGAAAGTGCAGAAGGACCAAGCTCAACCAGAGGGGCCAAGAACAGAGGGAGAGGCAGTCACCTCCTGGGGGCCCAGGGAGGGCACACTGATGAGGACACTTTGAATTAGACCCTGAAGAATGAATAGAGAATTTTTGAGTGGGCAAGAAACAAATACAAGAGAAAAGAAACAGAGAGCTTACTAGGTGAAGAACTCAAATTGAAATCCTCCCCTGTCACAAGCAACGGCCCTTGAACACTTACAGCCTAGAGCTAGGGCTGCTGAAATAAAAGACCACCGATTGGGTGACTTAAGCAACAGAATGTATGATTTCACAGTTCCAGAAGTGAGAAGTCTGAGATCAAGGTGTCTGCAGCATTGGTTTCTTCCAAGGTTTTTCTCTGTGGCTTGTAAAAGACTGTCTTCTCCTCTTTGTCTTTACACGGTCTTCCCCTATGCCTGCCTGTGACTGAATCTCCTCTTCTTTTAAGTCATAATGGATTGGTGACCTCATTTAACCTTAATTTTCTGTAAAGACCCCATCTCCAAATATAGTCACATTCTGAGGTACTGGCGGTTAGGACTTCGACACAGAAATTTTGGGAGGACACAATTCAGCCCATAACAGAGCCCATGCTGGAAGACAGTCCCTGAAACACTGAGTGGACATCATGGATAATACTCTTTTGATGGATGGTGCTTTAGAGTTTGCAAGATGACTTTATACCCTTGGTTTCACTGATTCCTACAAAAAAGCAGGGCCTTTCCAGCCTGACTTCTCCAGTGGCTCACACCAGAAATGGGCCCCTTTTCCTGCCGAATCCTCAACCTCTTCTCCATTGCCTGTTTCCTCACTCTTCTTCCCGAAGTCTTCCCCAGTTGAAAATCCTTCCCTGAATCCTGTTATCCTCTAGTTCCTGCTGCCTCCCTCTCCTCCCTTCAACAGCAGACTTTTGCAAAGAATGGTTTCCTTTCCCAGCCTCCACTTCCCACCTCTTGTCTGCTTCTCAACCCGCTGCTGTCTGACTGTTGTCCCCAACATTCTGCTGAAATCGCTCTCACTGAAGTCACTGATAACATCTTATTGCTAAAATCAAAGGTCATGTTCCTGTCTTTAAGTGAATTCCCAAGAGAACTGGACACTACTGACCACTTCCTGCACCCCGAAGACCTCTCTTCTGTTCACTTCCATGAAATATTTCTCCCCTAGGTTTTGTTTTTTTGTTGTTTGTTTTGCCTACCCTTCCAATCACTCTTTTGACTTCTTCACAGGCTTCTCTATCTGCTCCTGAAATATCAGTGTTCCTTAGGAACCCATCTGTGGCCTATAACCTGTCTCACCCTACAACACCCCTGGGCTATAAATTCAACAACTTTCTATATAAAGGTGACCCTCAATTCTCTATCTACAGCCAAAACCCCTCTCCCAAGATTCAAACCCCAAAATCCAACTGTACCCTGGTGACATAAAGAGACACAGTCCATATGCTATTTGTGACACCCATTAGAAGTATTAGGTAAGGTTTATTGAGAGATACTTACAAGCAAGGAAGCTTCCCAGGCTCTCATGATCCCAGAGAGATGCATGCTTGGGCCCAGCACAGTGGAAAGTAAGAAGTTGGGAGCAGGATAAGGGATACCCAGCTCAACATGCACCAGAAAGCTGCCTTAGAGCTCAGGCAGTGGTGAGTCCAACATCACTGATATAAGGCAGAGAACTGCTGTGTTTTAGTTTACTGAGCCACCAAAAAGGAGAAGAGAGAAAGCCACCAGGGCCATCCAAGGAAGTAAAAGTTTCATTTCTCCTCACCTGAACATCTCCACTTGGAGGACCTGCAGACTCCTGAAGCACATCATCATATTTGTGTGTGTACATGTTCTCTCTCTCTCTCTCTCTCTCTCTTTCTCTATCTCTTTCTCTCTATCTCTATCCCTTCTTTCACCAGCACTAATACCCACTCCTTGTCCTGTGTTCTCTATTCCTGGGAAAGGCACCACTACATGTCTGGTCACCCAAGGCAGGAACCCTGGAGCCATATTAGCCTCTCCCATGTCCCTCACCTGGCTCTTTCAGTCAGTCATGGTGTCCTGATTTCACCTCCTTTACCCATTTCCTCAGGTGCCCATTATTTTTGGCTTCACTTTTACAACATCCTCCAGGCTGGACCCCTTTCAATTCACTCCAAGAGAACTTTGAAGATCCTGGCACTTACAGTCTATCTGCTGCTTAAAGTCTGCAGTGACTCTCCATTGCCTACAGGGTTTTTGTTCTTTAAGCTACGACTCCTCAGCCTGACCTTTGAAGACTTGTTCTCAAGTGCCTGCCTCCCTGTCCAGCCTCATTTGCCTCAGTCTGTAAAATCCATGAGGACAGGGCCCAGGTGTGTTTCAGGTCTGTATTCCAGCACCTAGCACAAGCCTGGGGTAGAGCACCTGGTGTAGAGCAGGAATTGCTCATATTTGAAGAAAGAGGAAGTCAGGGCTGAGATCCGGGCCTCCTGACTCCCAGCCCTGGCCTTGTTCTTTGTACTCTTTGCTTTTGCTCAGATGGCCTTCCATAAATGGGCCTCTGTTCTTCTACAGCATGACTTCTCTCCAAGGCAACTGACTCCAGTGTCTTCTTTCCCTCCAGCTCACACGCCTCACATGGTGGACTCGGAACTGCCCCCTCTCTGAGCTGGAGAAGGAGGCCCACGAGAGCACACCGGAGATATCCGAGAGGCCAGCCGGGGAGTGCCCTGCAGGAGGTGGAGCGGCAGAGAACTCGAGCCTGGGCCAGGAGCAGCCTGAAGGTAGGCTGCGGCAGGCCGGGGGATACTCATCACAGAGGAACAGGGGGGACAGACCTATGTCATGGGCGGTCTTTGGGATGGGGACTCTGAGGGAGCCCAATAAATATCACCCTAACTCCTTTCCCACGTGGCTACTGAACTATTTGAAAAATAAGACAAATGAGTCAGGCAGATTGGAGCCAAAATAGTGCCCTCATTACTGATCAAGTATAAGTGGAAAGAGTTGGTTTATATCTATAGGGAGATGCACTTCCTAATACTGAACCCCTGTATTCCACAGAGGTACCCATCCAGTCACCAGCAGATCTGATCGGGGCACAGAATAAAGAGGGCATGCTTGGCTCAGTCCTGTCCTTCCTGTAAAGAAGGGCATGGCTGAGCTAAGCATGTCCTCTTTATCCTTCCCAAATCTACCAGCACGGAAGTCCCTTCACCTCCCCTAGGTTGAATGAGTACAAGGGCAGAAAATCAAAGAATGTTACACCCACGGTGTTTCCTCCACAATGAAGGAAACATGAGGCATGACAAAGAAACCCCTTACCCATGTCCCCCCCACCACTTTTCTTTATTATTTATTTATCTCCCCCTGGGCTCAACAAGTCTGCCTATAGTAATACAGAAGCGTGGTTGTCCCTCATGGGATGAGAGCAGCCATGCCTCCATACAGTTGTTTCTGTTTTCATGAGGTTCCTACAAAACACCCTCCCATACCTCTGGGTGTCTCCTCGAGCGGCTGATGGGCCATATGACATATGGAGTGCACCCCTGGAGGTTCCTACATGTGTTAGAAGATTATGTCAGTTAAATCTACTCCAAGGCCACACAGTATCTAAAGTTGAAAATTATTTTAAGACATGATTTGAGGTACCTGTGTTAGTCACAATGCAGCTATAACCTTCCTGGAGTGAAATGAAATACCAACATCAAAACATTCTGATTATAGAGTGAAAATATTATAAAGATTTTTTCAATTATAGAATTCCCAAGGAAAATGTTAAACTCTATAAAGCTCTACCTGGGTGACAAAATAATCTGTATGCCAAATCCCAGTGACATGCAATTTACCTATATAACAAACCTGCACACGTATCCCTGAAACTAAAATAAAAGTAAAAGAAAAAAAAAGGCGTCCCAGGAAAATAAATAAATAAATAAATAAATTCCAAAAAGTTAAATAAGTTTGCAAATTAAAGTCCAAAATTAATCTCTCTTGCCCTTGTGAATTAAAAATTCAGACACTTAATTCTTAAATTTATTTTCTGCCTCAGTGAAAGAAAGTCTTAATACAAGTAGATGAATAAGACATTGTCTCTGTCCCCAAGGAGGTGAGAATCTCTTGGAGGCAAACAGGTAGTGCAAAGATGTAGGGTTTACACCAAAATGGATAAAAATGTCAATAACGTAGTAATATTCGGCTTTTAAACACAATGGTATGTCATTGTTTATAACGTCCAGGCAGAGAAATAAAATGCATCTTCATGTGAAAAAACAGTAAAATCATTAAGATTTTTTTTAAAAAGAGGTCTCAGTGCCTGGACGGAGTTAGGGTTCCCTCAGCAGCTGCAGCTGCTTTCTCTCATTGGATTGGCCATAGCTCTAGTTTTATACCAGCCTCTTGTGTGCCAAACTTTAAATAATTCTAGAGAGCTAAGAGCACAGACAGGATTAGCAAAGCATCACTTGCTGCACCAGCATGGCTGGCAATGCCATGCCACTCAGTTCTCGTGACTTTGCCAGGTTTTAGGGGCCCTATACTTTCCTCCAGACCTGAGAAGGCTCCCACCTTTCTTGAGGCCCTTCACCTTTGCTTAAGGCCTTGATTCTAGAGAAACAGCCACTTGCCTAGAGCTAATGACATCATAAGCCCCAGAATCCCACCAAGGTCTAAGGCTCAAAGCTTCTTCCCACGATTCAGCAGTTAAAAGCCAATAATCCAGTATAAAAAGCTATTCATAATGATGGATATAATTTTTTCCAAACTTTCATGGTTAAAACCCACATAGGCTCACTTCAGAAGACACTACCGAAGATCAACATCACCCTGCCTGGTCTTATCAGTTGCCCCAATTACTTCATGGTATATTTTGCTTTGCAAATATATATATATATAAAATATATAATATATATAAATTATATTTATATTATATATAAATTATATTTATATTATATATAAATTATATTTATATTATATATAAATTATATTTATATTATATATATAAATTATATATATAAAACCTGTGTGTGTGTATGTATGTGTATGTGTATATATATATATATATATATATATATATATAAAACCTCTGTCTCAGAAGGTTGCCAAGGGAATCAAAAGACAGAATATTTGGAACAGCTTAGAAAATGATAAAGCCTAGTACAAATGAAATGCTGAATTCATATTATCGTTAGTGCAGTTCTGTTGCTATGTGACCTTAAATAAGTCTCTTCCTTTTCCTGAGACTTTTATATATATATATATATATAAAACTGCTCCCCCATCATCATTGCAAAGACTGGGTCCTGAGCCTTGTAAAACTTACGGTATTGAAGAAAGCAATCTGAGAGCATGAGCTTTTGTAGATGAGGCAACTGCCAAGAGAAGGAGGAAGGAAGAAGGGGCAAAGCTGCAAAGGAAGTTCCCAAAGAGAAAGAGGAAGGAGACAGCTTGTACTTTCCCACGGCTGAAACCCAGAACTAGACAGACTTACACAGAGTTACACAAATGGACCTACTCCCCAGCTGGTCCCCATGCCAAGGGACAGAGTAGTCCCTGGAGAAGCCAAGAGAAATGCCTGCTCCCTGTGGACAACTTGCTTCCAAGCAAGAAAAAGGAGGCACCAAGTCAGCCAAGAAGTCTAATGAGAGAAACCTACCCCCCTTCACAGACCACCACCATGAGGAAGTAGAAGGGTAGGGAAAGGCTGGTGCCATTATACTCTAAAGCTCCTTCCCTGCCCAGAGAAACAAACATCAGGAATATGGAAGAGGCACCCCCTCTCCAAAGGCCTGCAGGTAGGCATAGTATAATGTTGAGTCCTGAAAAGAAAAGTTAAAAATATTTAAAGGAGGCTGGCACAGTGGCTCACACCTGTCATCCCAGCACTTTGGGAGGCCAAGACAGGGGGATTGCTTGAACTCAGGAGTCAAGACCAGCCTGGGCAACATGGCAAAACCCCATATCTACAAAAAATACAAAAATTAGCAGGGCGTGGTGGTGCACACCTGTGGTCATAGCTGCTCAGGAGGCTGAGATGGGAGGACTGCTTGAGCCCAGGAGGTTGAGGCTACAGTGAGCCATGAATGTGCCACTGTACTCCAGCCTGGGCAACAGAGTGAGACCCTGTCTCAAAATATATATATAATATATAAAATATATATTTTTAAATATGAAAAATATTTAAAGGACAGCAGAGTAGATCTGAAAGAAATATGTACATCCCAGTTTTTAGATACGAATTTATTGAGTTATGGCACACCACTTAATAACTCCTTTAGTGACATAGGCTCTCCGGGCATATGAATTTAAATATGAAGCTCTGTGCATCCTCTGTCTCAGAAGGTTGCCAAGGGAATCAAAAGAGAGAATGTTTGGAACAGCTTGGAAAATGATAAAGCCTAGTACAAACGAAATGCTGAATTCCTATTATCGTTAGTGCAGTTCTGTTGCTATGTGACCTTAAATAAGTCTCTTCCCTTTCCTGAGACTTTTTTCTCCTCTGTGCAATCAGGGAGCCAGACCAGATGGCATCCAAGGTTCTTGCATCTCTGACACCCTGTGTATTGAACTTACCAGCTACCACATTCTAAACCCATTAAAATAATAAAGCAATCATTCCCAGTACATTCTTTTCAATCTCAGTGAAAGGATTTTTATATTAATTTTATTTGTAATATAATGTCTGCTGATTTTTAAAAAACTTAAAAATATTTACCTTATTACTTCTTTTGAATTTAGTTTTTAGTGAATTGTGCTACCTTTTAACCTCAGAGCAGGCCCCTTTCTCACCCCAAGGAAGCCCGTGTCTGCATGGGTTCGGTCTCGTGCACATTTAGCATATCATATACACCAGAACCTCTCCCACTGCTCCAGTACTGGTAACTTTTAAAGTGCTGTCCAATTTCCATCCTCATTTGGTAGTCAGAACAACCTGGAGAAGAATGGGGCATATGTCATTGATACATTTGAGACAGAAAGAACCTCCAGCTCAGAGAAGCTGAGTGATTTGCATATGGCCTCACAGTCAGCTAATGGCAGAGCTGGCCCTGGAACCAGGTTTCTGGCTTGCAGCCCAGTGCCCTTTCCAATTGTGGTTGTAGCAGTCTGTCTGGTTCAAACACTTCCTTCTTCCTGGGTGAGATAATGCTCCTTCCTTCTTCCCTTATTCAGGACTTGTGCTATGAATTGGGATGAATTGCATTATCCTGCCACCTTAATACACCATCCCCTCTTGAAGAAAGTGGTGCTTCCACTACATGACTGTTTGGGTGCTGTGGCCAAGATCAGAACGTAGTCTAGAGTACCAGCTCAGCACCCAGTCTGTGGTTTGCAGAAAGTACAAGTCTATGGCTTCACCCCTCCCCAGTTTCTGTGCACCCCCCATACTTTCCATCAGTATCTCACCATCTCTCTCCCTCCCCTACTCTCCTATCACTTTCCTTTCTCCAATCTTCTTTGCCTCTCCCCTCCTGCTCTCCTT
This sequence comes from Homo sapiens, assembly GCF_000001405.40. Lineage (NCBI taxonomy): Eukaryota > Metazoa > Chordata > Mammalia > Primates > Hominidae > Homo > Homo sapiens. Next base: position 48,247,311 of record NC_000001.11, read on the forward strand.
TGTCTTCTGGCTTTGTCCCTCCAGCCCCAAGCAGGTCCTGGGGAAAGTTGCTCTGGAGCTGGTTCTGTGGGCTCTCTGGAACACCGGAGCAGGCCCTGAGCCCAGCAGAGAAGGCTGCGCTAGAACAGAAGCTGACAAGCATTGAGGAGGAGCCACTCTGGAGACATGTCTGCAACATCAATGCTGTCCTTTTGCTGGCCATCAACATCTTCCTCTGGGGCTATTTTGCGTGATTCCACAGACCTGGCTTCAGTGTAGACAGATTAAACAAAGCCCAAGCCTGTCAGCCACAGAAACAGGCTCTCCTCTTACTTTGCTGTCTAAACTGGAGATCACAGAAGTCAAGACTGCAAGCTCCCCTGAAGAGAATCCAACTCAACCTGCACACTTGACAAGTGGAGAAACAGAAGCCCAGAGAGAGCACTGGGTTTGTTCAGGACCACCCAGAAGGTGTCACACGGGGTTTCCCCACTCTTTCTGATATATTGCCTTACAGACCTACCTCAAACACACTGTTTCCACCCTCTTCTTGAATGTATTCAGTAGCCTTTACTGAATGTGTGTCTTGAGAGTAGAAAAATGGAGGATACAAGAAAAGGAGCAGGAAGAAATTTGCAAAAATCCAAGAGCACCTTTGCTCCCCCTTATCCTCCTTCCTCTTCCCCTTTCTAGTTCCCCTACCTCTCTATCTTTCTATTCTCACCAATAATCTCTTTGTTGCATGAATTTACCCAGGAGAGTCCTATATTTCCATTGGTGGCTCCACAGTGGTGGCTGTCAGACCCGAAGGGGTGGGGAGCCAAGGGTGGACTTTAAGCATGGTGACAGATGGTATTTTGGGCAGAAAGCTCTTAGACAATGGACTATCCAAAGCACTATTTAAATTCTGCCTCTTCCTACTCTCTAACCCAAATATGCACAAACTCTCTATGGCCTTGAGAAGCAGTTGGAGAGACATGACTTGTTAAAACCTCAAGGAATCAAGACATGTTACTCTGTATTTAAGGGTAAGCCCCACAGCGGGCAGCACAAACAGCCTGGGAGCCACTGTGCCTGTGCTTCTCTGTCCTTCTCCCTTTGCTTGCCATGAATCCGCATACCTTGGAATACACTGTGACCCCAGTTAAGTGTCCCTTCGCCAGGAAGCTGCCGCAACGTCCAGACCTGGGTCAAGTTCCCACTCCTGCTCCCATAGCCTTGACCTGCTTCTGTCACAGCACTGATCACACTGAGATGGAAGACTCCAGGGGGCAAGGACCAAGGGCCATATCCCAAGTGACTTTGTACCCAGAAAATAACAGCTGTTCAATAAATGTGTATTGAGTTAATTAGTTCTCCATGGTCCTGGTAGACTTTGTGCTGCAGCTGGCTGGGTAGTGACTTGGAGTGTTAGCTGTTAGGGGTGAGTCTCCTTCACTTGGAGTTTAAGTAACTGAGTCTCAGACACCTAGAGTGGGATCACAGCCCCAGCCTACTGACAGACACCAGGTGAGGGCGTGCCTTTCTTCTATCTCCCAGTCAAGGCTGCCTCTACTCTCATCCATTTACACTGACCAGTAATTACAACTGGATACAAATAAAATTCTATGTTTTTGAGGTGTAGACACAGCAGACTCGATGAATACCTCATGTCACTGCAGCCTCCACATTTTTGTTTTCATTGACCTTTTGACCTCACTTGCTTCTCACCTTAGTTGGCTCTGCCCTCTCCATTGTTCCCCGTTGATCCTTACTGAGAACTCAGTTTTCCCCTGATTTCTCCCAAAACCTTTCACACTAGTATTTGTGTGTGACATATTATATTGAAGGTTTGGGGAGAAGAATTTTAAACCACAGAAGCACAATCTAAAATTGGATACTGAATATCTTATTTTTAAATGTTCCTCAGCTCCCAGAATTTCTCAGAGGTCTCTTCCTCAATCTCCAACTTCCTGCCTTCTGCCTGGCTCTTGGCACCTCCCCCTCTGTAGATTTGAGAGATGTCTCTCCATTCCTCCAATCTTGGCCCTCCTCCTCCTTTATTGTCCTGTTATTGTACTGAGCCTCTACTAAACTCCGGACGTATCTCATCTGACCCAAAGACAAGACATGCTGTTGAATACAGTAGGACTGCAGAAGGGTGGCCACTCCCCTTCCCTACCATTTTGCCTGATTAATTCCTACTTATTCTTCACATCTCAGCTCAAAAGTCACATCCTAAGTAAAGCCATATAGTCCCGGTCATGAACTTAGCACAAACACCTACATCCCAAAGATGAGCCCCTAACACCCAAGATACAGTCTCATGATCCCCCAACTTTGCCTTCAAAGCATATGTCAGTGTATACTACTAATTTGTGTGATTATTTCATTAATAGGCATCTCTTCCCCTAGATTGTGAGCTCCCTGCTGAATCCCCTTCACCTAGATAGGTACCTGGCACATGGTGGGTACAAAATTCTGTGTTATATGAATAAGTGAAAGAATAAATGAATGAAATGAGTGAGTGAAAGGGCACCCCTAGCAGAGGAAACCAAAGATTAAAAAACACAGAGGTGGGAAAAATTATGACATAACTAGGAACAAAAATAGTTTTAAATGTCGGGAGTGGAAGATACACGTGGACAGGACCACTGCTAGTCCTTATGCTTCATTGTGAAAGTGAGCAAAAGATGCCTTTCTTCTTGGCAGATACAGATCCTCACTATAGGGTGACAGGTGGCAGCCAGAGCCCACGCTCACTTCAGCTCCCACATGCCCCTATTGTCCAGGTGTATTTGTGCAGGGCACCACCTGCACATCCATGAGTGTTAGGCCTGCATGTTGGGGAATGGGTGGTGCAGTGACTGGGAGGTAAGCAGGTGATAGCTCAGGAAGGAAGGTCCATGCTAAACTTGGGACTTCATCTCTTACCTGGATCATTTCAACAGCCCTTTGACTCTTATCTCTCTTCCCAGTCTCTCTTCTTGCAATTCATCCTATGCACTATAGCAAGAATGATTTTTCTAAAATGCAAGTATTGTTCTATTTAAGACTCTCCATAGATGGTGTTTTCCAGCTTGGCATGAGATCCTATGAAAATTGCTAGAAATATATCCCAGGGTTTTGTCCTTGTGCCCCCTTCTGTACTACAGCCAAAGACAGGCTGTTATGTGCAGTGGTTAAGAAGACTGCAGGGGCTTGAAAGACTGATCTTCTGGAACCAATTCCTCATGCTGTCATTTTCTAATGACAAGATATTGGAAAAGTTGTTTAATTTCTCTATCTATCTTTTCTCATCCACAAAATGGAGACAGTAATAGCAGCTACTTCATTGGGTTGATGAGAAGATTAAATTAGTTAATTCAAATAAAGTATTTAAAATAGTGCCTCACACATAACTAAAGTACTTAATAAATGTTAGCTATTACTGAGACAGCCAGGTGGGAAGGGCTCCCTGGCAAAACTCCAACTGGCCTATGCACTGAGAGGAGTGCACACTGGGATGGAGCCACAGACGTTCGTGCCATTTGCAGCAGGGAGGAGCCTGGCCTCTCCTCTCCTTGGGTGGAACCTGGAATTCAATCTGTGAGGTGGGAATCCTACACTAGCAGGAACTCTGGCCTTGAAGTGAGTTCCTGTTCCCCGTTTTTTCCTTTTTGCCCAATAAATCCCATTATTCTCACCCTTCAAATCATCTGCAAGCCTAATTTTTCATGGCCATGCGATAAGGACCTGGCTCTTAGCTAAACTAAGGAAAACGTCCCACAACATTATTACTGCTATTAGTAGCAGGCAAGATGAACACATAAGGAGGCATGACACTACATAGCAATGTTATTTTAGATCTAGCAGAAAATGCTGTCAGAGAAAAGAGCAGGGAGGAATTAGTTCTATCAGGGCAATCAGGAAAGGGCATAACATAAAAGTGCATAATGGAGCTAGAGTTTGAAGGAAGAATGAATTGGAGTTTTCTAGAAAAAGTCATACAAGGTAGTGAGGCAGCATGTGCTAAAGGGTTAAGGTACAAAAGTGCACAATGAATTCCCATAAAATAGGGATACTATTTATTCATTTGCAAATGTCAACCCTGCATATTTAATTTCCCCTTATAAATCCTGTCTGTATTTAGCCTCTTGCCTCTAAGGCAGAGCTGTGAAGATTACTGACCAGGGACTGAAGATAATGGGCATTGCACCACTGGGGCAGAGGCTGTCAGTCTCCTTGCCCACATCCCCTAGGTCTCAGCAGTGCTGTTTACTGTGACTTCCTGCTGAAAGCCCCTTCACCTCTCTGCTGAGGGCTTTCTCTGACTGTAGAAAAATGTTCGGTCCCCTGCATACAACAAGCTAGAAGTGCTTGGAGTTAACACACCTGGGAGCAGCCCTGAACCAGCGACAAAAAAGAGTTTGAGGATAAGCACTGTCAGCCCCTTGCCCTGAAGTGGGACAACTTGGAGCCTTGCTCTAAAATATCTTTCAGAGGGACAATGAGGCGCAGCTACCCACCGTGTTAATATGTCCATTAACACACCCTGCATAGCTCCCTTCCCTTCCCTGTCTCATTTCCCCATTTCCTTGGAGGTGTTTCCTGGGATCTCCTCTGAAATAAACCGCTGGCACCTGGTTTCATGTGCTGCTTCCGAGAAACCAAAGACAGTTTTTTAACAGGAAATCAGGCTTTGAAGTTGGGCTTTGTGGAGAGGGAAAAGGGCAAAGTCTGGAGGATTTTGACCATAAAGTCTTACCCACAGGGAGAGAAGCTCTCCTGTCTAGTATCAAGTCTTAGCCCTGCTGCTGGCCACAGGAAGTGGGTGCTGAAGGGAAGGTTTTCAGGCAGAGGGAACAGCCCATACAAAGAGATCTATTAGGTTATCTCCAGTTTTGAGGTTTTACAATCAAGATTTCTTTCATTTTGGCACTAAACACTACAAATAATGTCATGGGCCGCACCCTGTTCCAGGCACTAGGGGTACCATGGTGTTCAAGCTTTGGTGCCTTCTTAGCTCTCAGCTAGACTCAGTTCTCTGAGGAACAGGATGTTTCTCCTTTAACTCTTATGATACAGTAAAACAGCCAATGTGGTGGAAAGAAAAGAACCCTAAGCTGAAAGTCAGGAGACCTAAGCTCCATTCCCAGAGTGTGGGGGAGAGTCAGAGGCAAACAGTGAATCACTGCAGTGTAGGAAGCTCACAAGTCAGGGTCAGTCCTAGAAGGGACCTCAGTGACCAGCTAATCAGACCCCCATATTTCACAGAAAGAGACACTGGAGACTTCTAGAAGGGATGGGACTTGCTTAAGGCCATGCAAGGGTTCAGCAACAATTATCCAGGCCCTTCAAGATGAAAAGTGTTTCAGGGGTAGTGGGCAAGCCAAGAATGACATAGGAGGGGCTGGAGAAAAAGGCATGTTGAGGCCTATATTACCACCAAGCCCTGGGCAGGTCTACTGAAGGCACACACATCACACACACATTTACATTTTCGTTAATGTGTCTGTCACACTTACCATTTGAAGGGGTCTCCAAGGTCCTCTCATTCAGCCCTACTTCCCCTATCCCATGCCATTGTTCATGTCGCTCCCTTTGCCTGGAACACTTACCCTTGACCTTCTACCACCATTGCCTATCTCCTACTCACCTCAGGAATCATTTCCTACTAACTTTTCATGCTACTTCCTCCACTCACCCAAGTTGGTTTTGTGTCCTTCCTCTGAGCCTCCACAGGCCCCTGTGTTTCTACTATAGCAAGTTTCATGCAAGTGTTATAATTATTTTCATCTCTTCTTTGCCACAGACTGGTGCTCTTTGAAAGTAGGTGTGGTATTCATCTAGGGGTTGCATTGTTTTAGGACATTTAGTAAGCTCTTCATAAATGTTCAATGAATGAGTGAATGAATGCATGTTCAATTTACTCCATCATATTTTGGCTCTGGATTCCTTAGTTCTTAGCCACAATCAAGAGAAAGAATAATAGACAATATCTGTACAATCTGTACAGACTTTGGAGTTACAAAGTCCCGCCACGGGTGAGGTCTCATTAAATCCTACAACTCTTAGAGGTAGGTAGACAAGTTTCATCTCCGTTTCAGAAAGGCCAGTCAACACCCAAATGTGAGCTTCAGGACAGCCTGTAAAAATTAAAAAGCAAAGCAGCCTCTTTTGCCTCCAAGTTCCAACAACCCCCTTCACATTCAGAATGTCCTCAATGTATCTGAGGAATCTCAGATGGTAGCATTCACCATTTGTGCCTCAGTTGTTCCAGTCTCTAATGTGGACCTTCAGTCTCATTGACTGTAATGCTCCTGTGGCCCCTTTCCAAACCTCTCATCTTTGCCATGCTTTCTCATTCCAGCAGGACCTTGTTCTCAGGTTGATCTCTCCATCACTACCTGCCAATATGTACATATGAGATGTCACCCGGCTCTCTCTATATGTATATATTTCAGCAGGGTTCTTAGCCCCTCATTCAATTGCAAGATGATGTCAGGCCTTCTACCAAGTCACTTAAAAGGAAACTGCCTGTCCATTGGGTCAGTTGTCAGTCACCACAGTGAGAGCTGTAACCACCTCTCTGAAACCTTTCAGAGCCCCTACCCCAACTCACCTCCAGTCGGTGCATGGGGCAGTGGTTAAAAGTACTAGATAAGCAGGTAAAAGATTTGTATCCTAGCTTAATTTTGTCATTACTTGCTTTATGACCCTCCCTAGCCATCCCTCAGTTGCTTCTTCCTTAAAAGAGGAGAGGCGCAAAGGCTTGAATTAGATTAGATGAAATCTATGGACGCTTCTCATGTTGACATTGTGTGCTTCTAATTTGTTTCCACAGTTTGTCTCCTTGGGGCAGGAAGTGGATGGATTGGTTGGTGGTAGTGGAGGGTATACAGGGAAAGTCATATGTCAGCTTGAGAGGCAACAGCACAAATAGAAAAACATTGCAGAGTAGCTTTCAGAGAATTGAAATGGGTTTACCATGAGCAATAATAACATTAAGAAGCAGCTTTGAACTGTGAAAGGATGGTGTTTTAAAAAAAAATAGCACTCTTAAAAATATCATGAAGAAAATGTTTTCTAAAGTGTTTTTGTTATTGAGTTTGGACTACAAAAGCACTCAATTTAACATGAGAGACTCGTAACCATGTCCTTGGGTGTGAGAGTTCACATCAGTCAGAGGGGATGGAAACTGCTAGAAGCCCAGGCAAAGCAGTGTCAGTTATCCATTAACCTAGAATGAGTGTCTGTCTAGATTTCTAGCCTTAAGTAAGATTACTGTAATTTCTTTTTTTCTCCAGGGTGAAAATTTGGGAGAAATTTAAAGGTTATATATAAATGTAAATCCTACAGGCTTAAATTAAGGTAGTTACAGTTTACTTTCATATTTCAAAATCAAATTTCAGCTTCAGCCCAGACTCACAAAGTAGAAATGTCAGACTTTTTACTGTGGTCTTATACAAAATCTACAACTTTCTCTTAAAGAGGAAAAAATAAAACCCAACCTTTATACCTTATCTCCTGAATAGACTACAAAAGCAGCATTGGTCTCTCTCTCAGTATGCCTTGTATGTAAATTTTAGGATTATAAACATTCAGAATGAGAAGGAACCTCAGAGTCAGCTAGTGCAGCTCTCCTCCCTCTTCATTCTGGGTCAGAATTTATCTGAACAGTCTCCCTGACAGGTAAACTTAGCCAGCCCTCTATTAGAACTTGCTAATTGGCAGGGTGGTCCAGAGATGGAGCAATGATGACCTCCTGAGAGCATTCATTACTGGACCACACTGCCAATTAGAAAGTTCTTCCTTTTGCTAGCTAAATTCTGCATCCCTGAAATTTCTAACCACTTAAGCAAACAAAGCAAACATCAGGTATTCCAAAATTATATTTCCACTATTTATGATTTCTTCTTAAAGGAATGATTCACAAACTGGGAACTTCCTATAGAATAGTAAATTTATCTGGGATGAGAAGTACATGAAGACTAGTAAGACTGATAATTTTTAAAATCCTCGCAATTATTTTATAAAGAGTGCTCCCACATTAACCATCTCATTTAGTTCTCAACACCAGTCTAGGACTGATGAATGAAGAAACAAACTCAGAGAGGTGAGGTAATGTGGCTGAACTGGTCTTTAAGCCCAGATTTCTGACTCCACATTCAACCCTACCCTCATTGTACTACTACTCACTCATGCAGCATTCTTCATGAATGTTACAGTTTCCAGGTTCATGACATAAATATGGAAAACAGCTGCAATCTACGCGGAGGTCAGTTGAATAAAAAAGGCAGGCAAGTCAGCAAATTATTGCAGAACAATTAAGCACTGAAATTCTAGGTGGGAACAAAATACTTCAGAAAAACAGAGAAAGGAGCAACAAATTACCTCGTGGAAATGGGGAAGGCTTCATGGGAAATAATGTTTAACTTAGATTTAGACATTTAACTCTACTTGGAGTGTAGAGATTTCTGTGTAGACAGACAAAATGATTATATGAGAGACAGAAGAAACTGCACAAAGCAAGACAAGTATGTAAAAGGCCATGGCATCTCTAAGGTAGAGTGAGGTACCTTTTGTGGCTGAAGCACAGGGTCTGTGAGAGTGTAACACAGATGACATTGGAGAAGAGGTAGAGGTGAGCCTAGGGACACTGGGTGCCACGGTATAGCCAAGAATGGGACAGAGTCAGGAAGGGTAAGGGCAACTAATATATACAAAGAGCATCTTATCTTTAGAAAGATCATTCCAGCAACAGTAAGAGAATAAATGATAGAGCCAGAGGCTGCTAAGGGATGGCAATTTTTGAGGTTGTTGCAGTATCACTGAAAAAAAGAAAGGAAAAATCCATCAGTAGATAAAGGGATAAACAAAATCTTATACATACACATAGAATACTATTCAGCCATGTAAAAAGGACAGCTAAATGATATCTCGTGGACACAAAGAGGGGAACAACACACACTGGGGCCTACTTGAGAGTGGAAAGTGGGAGGAGGGAGAGGATCAGAAAAAATAACAATTGGGTACTAAACTTAGTACCTGCATGATAAAACAATCTGTATAATAAACATTCGTGACACCAGTTTACCTGTGTAACAAAGCTGCACATGTATCCCTGAACCTCAAATAAAAGTTTTTTTAAAAAGGAATGAATTTTTGATATATACTATAACGTGAATGGACCTTGAAAACATTACATTTACTGAAATAAACCAGACAGAGAAAGGCAAATATTGAATGATTCTACTTACATGAGGTCCCCAGAATAGGCAAATTCAGAGAGAGAAAAAGCTGAATAGAGGGCAGGGGAAGAGTAGGCAAGGGGGAGAAATTGTTTAGTGGGTACAGAGTTTATGTTGAGGATGATGAAAAATTTGGGGTATAGATAGTGGTGATAGGTATACAGCATTATGAATGCTGTACATTATGTACATTATGAATGCTGTAACCAAATGTGTACATTTGGTTAAAATTATAAATGGTTAAAATTTGTATATTTTACAATGGTTAAAATTATAAATATTATGTTATGTACATTTTACCACTGTTTAAAAAAGGATTGATAAATTAATACTGTACTAAAGCAAACACATCAAAATGTTAATTGTAGAATAAAAAATTATGGAAGGAAGAGCATGGAAGATTAATTTGGCTAAAGAAAAGAATGTAAATGTTACAACTTTGACAACATAAACATGTAGTTGACAAAAGATAGAATTGAGAGGGCAAAGACAGAAGTGTTAATATCTGTCTTCTTACAAAGTAGGTAGTCAACAGATTGTTGAAAGTAGGTGGAGCAAGAAATAGAGGTTTAAGTCTGTTACTGAAAATTACATATGTAATCAATAAAATAACTAATAATAACATGAATATCAAACACTGGGAAAAGAAGGGAGGAAAGGTAGTCAACATTAAATTTTCATCTTTCATAGTAGAGATTGTTCTTGGCTTGTTGAAGTCAAGATAAAAGGTATTATATCTACATAATATCAAAAGGAGTTGTGGAGGAATCCACCAGAATACCTAGGCAGACCATTCACAGAAGGTCATCCCTGGGTACCTGCAGGTATGGGGTAAGAAAAGAGAATATCATAAGCTGTACTACACTATTTGCAACAACATACTATTTTAACTTTTAAAAGTTAGTACAATTACAAAAAGATAACCTCCTTTGAATGAGGGCCTGAATTAGGACAGTAGCCGTGAAGGAGGGGAGAGGACTGGAGGAGGGGAGAAGGCTGCTAAAAGGCATTCGTGAAGTTAAATCTGCAGGACTTACTGACTCTGGGGGGATGGAGAGAATTAAGAATAATTCCCAGGCTTTAGATCTAAAGAGTAGGTACTCTAATGTATTAAGATGTGGAAAGCAGGTTTGGTCTTGAAAGAAGAAATTATGAGTTCAGATTTGAGCACACCGACTTGGAGGTACCCATGGGATATCCCACTGGCATAGCCAGATAGTTTTTGTATCTGTGAATCTGGAGCTTGATAAACAGGTTAGGGCTGTACACCTTCCTTATAATTACTGCTTGGGAAAAACACTAACTCTTCATAGGCCTAGTATTAGATCTATGGTTTTGTGTTGGGAATGGTGGTGATGTCCAGTGGTTTAAGTCACTTTTGGAACAGTGAGCTACTTGAGACTTTATTTTGTGGAAGAAACTGGGAGAGTGAGAGGGTGGAGCCTCTTTGTCCAGCCATGTTTCTGCAAACTGGTTTGGATCATATATGTTATAATAGAACTTGGGGAGGCAAAGGCAGGGTGATGTGTCACCAGATTCCTCTTCAAGAAAAGGTCTGTTGCCCCAGCTGCTGGCAGTTCTGTGGGGAGGCAGCCCTCAATTGTCAGCATTTCTTTACCCACAGATCCACCTTGCCAGAGGTCCCACCCTTCCAAGAGCAGTCCACATCCAGTGAATAATAAGTATAAAAACATGGCCATTTCAGCCTAACATGAGTTTATTCCAATGGACCATTTTAGCTCCAGCGCTCCCTGTGAGTTTGAGCAAGGTTGCTATCAGGCCTGCATTGCAGCTAAAATTATCCCCTCTGCCCAATCCTTCCCTCCCACTGGTATAGATCCAAGGTCACTACATAAAAAGCATCCTGCAATCCAAACTCCAGTTTAAGAGTCCATGATAGGTGTTAAATGGCTAAGCAAGCTCCTTTGACTTTGCCTATTTGTAGTACTTGCTATAATCCCATGCTATGAGGACTAGATTGCTGCAGACAGACCCTAACTGAAGCACAACCCTCTGCATTTTCCATATATACTGGTGAGTAGCTAATGGCTATTTTCTGTTTTACAAGATAGAGTGAAAACAGGCTTCAATCAATCCAGCTGGACAAGTAACAAAAAGACTATCATGTGTTCAGCAAATAACTCCATCCAACCTGCCCCAAAGACCCCCATAGCCAAAGCCATTAAACTTTATGTGTTTTATTTTCTCCCTCCTGCAACCCTGAAGTCTTTGCTGACGTTTGAAGACTGGTAATAATCAATGTCCCCATCCATGTTTCTGAATTCTCAGCCAAATTCATGGCTGTCTCATTTTCTGAGTCAGATGTCCTAATCAACTAATCCATTCCAAATAGCCTTGCTTCTGGATATAAAGGGGGAAGAACAAATAAACATCTTTAAGTTTCAGGGACATAAAACTGTGATGGAAAATGTTCCTTATGGAAACATCAGATGGTAACAGAAGGGGTGTTTTACAAATAAAAATAAATATATTTGGGACTTCTATGCAATGGCATGAATAAAATGAACCATCATTGGAGAAAAATGTTCATTCAAAATGATTTAGGGGGATTTAATTTATTTGTTGTTTTGTTTCTCTTTGGTATGTTTTTGTCTTTCTATATTTCCTGGACAACAAATTTTGAAGCCCAGTAAATGAAGCAAAATATATCTTGCATTCTACTCAAATTAATCTCAGGAACACATAGATTGTTTTCCAAGGGTAGAGATACATAAGGCTTTACAAATAAAAGGGATTTCAAGTGAATCCATTTTTTAAAATGACAGTTGCCTGATTAACAGTAGTGAATGTTTATTGAGCACTTACTATGTGCCAGCCACAGTGTTAAATACTTTATATGTATTGTCTCATTTAATCCTCCCAGCCCACCTGAGATAGCTAGGGCCTCTGTACAATGTGAATGATGCCTCCTACAGTTGCACAACATGGTAGCCCTCAGGTTAGGCATCATTTTCCCTTTCTCAGATAAAGAAATGGAGGCACAGAATGATTCGGCACCTTGCCACCAACCTACACAGTTGGTGCATAATACTGACAGGTCTCAAACCAAGCTCATTTGGCCAAGTCCGTGGTTCTTACTACATTACACAGTACCAGCTACTGTGCTGTAAGGCGTAACAATTAATTGTGGCAGGAGAGTGTCATCCTCATTACCACGCCTTCTTTGATCTTTATTCTGGCTGTTCCCTTGGCCTACACCATTTCTTTGCACATCTCTGCCTACTGAAATCACATGGATCCTTTAAGGCTCACCTCAAGTACCTGTAAAATTTTCCCTGGACCATTCCTTTCTCTAGCAGAATTAATCATATCCTCCCTTTGACTTAACAATATTCTGTGCCTGGATGTTTTGTGTTTTTTCAAGATGGGATAGTAACAGCATTCAAAAATGTTTCATGACTACAACTCCAGTATTCATAACATTGAGTCGAGGAGATATATTTCTCTTATTCTTTGAAACAGGATGGAGCATTTTTCTTTCCCCACTACCCACCACTCCTCACTTTATTCCTTTTTTAAAAAAATTTCTCAGCCTCTAAAGGTGATGATTAAATTTGTTTATACCTATTATAGTATTTTCCATATTGAAATGTAACTCACCTATCTGTGTCTTTCTTTTTAGGACTCTAAGTTCCTCAAGAGCAGGGATAGATGAATCTGTATCCCCTATCCTTGGCAGCTACCACTGTCCCTAGTACATAAGTGCTCAATAAATGTTCTTTGCATGAACAAACATCCTCATGCAAGACACATGGGGGTATTTCTGTGACCTACTAAGCTTGTCTCCTGGGTGTGGATTTTTATGTCTTAGTTCAGGGAGAGAAAAAAATGCTTATCAACTGTACTAACCTATAGGATGTAATTCAGTGTGTATTTATTGAAGTTAAGTCAAGTGTTACTGAAAGAATAATTTATTAAGCCATTTAAAAATGGCTATACTGAATGTGCAAAGCTTTCTATTTTAGCTCTTTCATTTGTGTTGTGATTGAAGAAAAGTTTCCTTTCAGAAAGAAAACACCATGAACTTAAATAAAATGTACCATAAGGTCTGTATTGGTACAATGATAAATTTTGCATCATAAATTGTACAATACTATAGTTAAAGATGTGCATTCTAATCTGTCTGGGAGTGGATGGTATATGATATAGTAAATCATCATATAAAGAAATCTAAATGTAGTCTACATGCTTTTATGTTTCTGTTATATTAAAATGTATATAAAATTAGAACATTTAATCAATGTAATTTTATCCTTACATATTAAATTGGATTTGGGGAGATAGACTGTTGACATCTACACTGACATACTCTTTAAATGCACCAAGTTCATGCATCTAAATGGAGCAGGAAGCAAGCACAAAATTCTTATAATAGTCAAAGCTGATGACATAACACCAATACTTAAAAGGCCCTGACACAGAACATTTTCATTCTTGTTTTATGCAATCATATCAAATTGGTAACCTGGTCCCCAAGCCTACTCTGCATCATATGCAGCAAATGTGAAAATATAAATTCTAAAAACAAAACAAAATTGAGACATATTAGCATGGAGGCAGTCATTGCAGACATAAATGATTCTACTCTATCTCAACAGTCCTACGTTTTATGCTGGCTGACACAATAAGTGATCTTCATATTGGGAAGCCAGAATCATCAAATGTATTCACATATCAAAACATCACATTGTACACCTTACATACACAATTTTTGTTTGTCAATTATACCTCAATAAACCTGGAAAAAATATATTCAGTATGTTTGAGGAGGTTAAAAATGATGTGATAAATTAGGAAGTGTTCTAGTCAGTAAAGAACAAATTAAATATAACTCAGAACTATTTGAAAAATTCGGATGTTCAGAACTTAGAGTTCACATAGTGGAGGTTTTATTGCTTTAGGATATTCTATTACGAAGAATGTAAAACCTATTATGGCTAATAATTTTTTTTACTTAAAGGCAAACTTTCTAATGCTGATATTATTGTCTTTTCCAATTTAGATTCTATGTAAACATCACTACTTTTTAAGTTAGTTCATCTCTCGACTTTACCTAACTTGAGGTATAACACAACTTATCTCAAAACCACTCGCGTGAGTCAGACCATCCTGCAGAGACTTTCAGATGAGGACATATGGTGCATTCCTGAAAATAAAAGGGATGATCTGATTATTATTTTTCCTCTCCACATTTCCCCAATCTTCACATTTGGTATAATACTCAATACAAAGAATTGCAATTTCTATAATATATGTTGTTACCAAATAATATCCATAGCACCTTAACTGTAATTATTCACACCTGGCAAGACTTCAGGTGTCATTAGACACATTTTCTCTTCATACCTTACAAACATTAAGATTACAAGAAAGGCCACATCCTTTAGAATCATGAAAACTCTAACTTACCAGAGTACTATTCACTGTTTCCAGTGTGTTATTTTACCTTCTGACAAGTTTTATAAAGGAGAAGGGAATAAAACTAACTTACATTACATACAAGATGTTGCCTACATAGATGCCAGAAAGGGAAGCAAATGAACAGCTAGAACATATGGCAGTGAGCTGAGAGCATAAAGAAACTAGTTCTGCATGAGCAACAAGAAACATCTTGAAATGTTCAAGACATATGTGTTTTTAGGAAGAAGACTGAAGTGTTTCATAATAAAAACAGGACAAAGTGAACCATGAGTGCTGAATAAAGTTTTAATTAAAAAAGGGTTTTTAGCCTTCAATGTGAATATACAATATGCTTCACAGATGGATTTTATATTTAAGTCTTATCCAAACCAAAAAAGTAAGTGAGACAAATAAAGCTTCTGAAAATGGCACCAAGGCTAAAATGTATGTAAACAATGAAGAGTTCTGGTACAAACAAACAAGGAAGGAAGAACAATCCTTCTGCCATCCATTTTCCACTTGCACATTGCGTAAGTAGATCATATAACCTACCTTTGGTGCAAATACATGTCTCTCCAGTTTAAATATATAATAGACACACATAATTAGGGAACAATCTAAATGTCCAATAGAGGAATGGTTAAATTACTTTCTATCAATGGGATATTAGCCGTTAAGAAATACACTTATGCATCATTTTAGAAAAATGAAGAAATGTACATGTATTAATGCTAAAATAGTAGGATACAAAATTTGTAAAAGAACCCCAACTTTAAAAATGCAAGAATATTGCAATAAAATATACAAAAATATTAGCAAGTTACCTCAAAGTTTTTACTTTCATATAACGACTTCTCTGACTCTTCCATTAATAGTTTTTACGTAACACTGCTTTTTAAAATCACAAAATAATGGACATTTGAAAAGTCTAATTAAAGTTGAAATATTTATCTAGAAAACCTGATATAAAACAAAAATGGTTCTAAGTTTATCAGAAAATATTTTCATATTAATCTTTGATGTCTAAATAATGGTGACCATTATCTATATAGCTTCATTCTTGTTTCAAGACAAGAAAAAATTATTCCTGAAGTTCACTGGCTATAGGCAAACAAAGAATGACAGGTAATCTCTACACTAAAAATCCAGGCACCTAGCAGATGAAGATCTGACAATAACGTATAAGAAGCACACAGGGCCAATGGATATACTTTTCTATTTTTTCCTTGAAAAAAAGTTTAAAGCAAACATAAAATGATATCTAAAGCTCTTTACAACACATCTAAAAAGCATGGGTTTAAGCTGGAAAATCTCTTGGCAGTGAGTTTGGTATTTGAGCATATCTTAATGCCAGGAAATATTTTTATATTGCAAAATATTTATTTTTAAAAGTTCAGCTGAAATTGGAGTTTTTTATGAGATCTTTAAGATGGATCAAAAGTATATTCAGAAATAGCTTTCCTTACAAGGTTTTTTGAAGGTTTCATTTCATTTAGAAGCCATATTTATTTATTGTCAATACCCACCGATGTGCGCCCCTACATGACACTCTAGCTCAAGAAAAGTGATCAATTTGCTGCTCCCAAACACACTTCATTAACCCTTGTTTCCATACCTTTATGCCACTGCTTAATTTTTCCCAGTTAACAGTAATTTTCTCCTTTCCTACCTATTGCAATTCGACCTGTCCTTCAGACTGAAGTCATGTCCCTACTCTACTCATAAAGCCTTTTCAGATAAATAACTTTAGTTCTCTCCATCCTTTGAACTCATACTACTCATTGACTCCTCAGCAAATATGAATTCCTTTGTGATATCTCTTACTATGATCTTTTCAAGTATTTATTTCATCTGCTAAACTACGTTGAAAGTTCTGTGAGAACATTTAAGAAGCCAGTTTTTGTTGTTGTTGTTGTTGTTTTGAGACAGGGTCTCACTCTGTTGCCCAGGCTGGAGTGCAGTGGTGGAATCATGGCTCACTCCATCCTTGCACTCCTGGGCTCAGGTGATCCCTCCTACCTCAGCCTCCCAAGTAGCTAAGGCTACAGGCACATACCACCATGCCCAATTAATTTTTGTATTTTTTTGTAGAAGCTAAGTCTTGCTATGTTGCCCAGGCTAGTATTTTTTCTTTATGTCATCCAGTGTGTAGTTCACAAGTGCTCAATAAATATGCTGAAAGATGAGAAATGGCTGGAGAAACACTGACTACAAAACTCTTACCCTTGGCTTTAATGTAACCTTTGGGATGTCAGATATATCTGCTCAATCATATTATGAAAATGGAAACCCATTATTTGAGTACCCAAATATTTTTGGGGGAAGAAGACAAAATTTAAATTCTATTATAAGGCATACAAAGGATCTTCATGTGATTTCAACACACATTTCCACCTTATCTTGATCCCAATTTCACCATATACCCTTATACTCTAACCATATTAAAAATCTTTTTTTGTTGTTATACTTTAAGTTCTGGGATGCATGTGCAGAACATGCAGGTTTGTTACATAGGTACACACGTACCATGGTGGGTTGCTGCACTCATCAACTCGTCATCTACATTAGGTATTTCTCCTAATGCTATCCCTCCCCTAGCCCCCACCTCCCGACAGGCCCCAGTGTGTGATGTCCCCCTCCCTGTGTCCATGTTTTCTCATTGTTCAACTCCCACTTATGAGTGAGAACATACAGTGTTTGGTTTTCTGTTCCTGTGTTAGTTTGCTGAGGATGATGGTTTCCAGTTTCATCCATGTCCCTGCAAAGGACAGGAACTCATCCTTTTCTATGGTTGCATAGTATTCCATGGTATATACGTACCACATTTCTGTATCCAGTCTATCGTTGATGGGCATTTGGGTTGGTTCCAAGACTTTGCTCCTGTGAACAGTGCTGCAGTAAACATATGTGTGCATGAGTCTTTATAGTAGAATAATTTATAATCCTTTGGGTATATACCCAGTAATGGGATTGTTGGGTCAAATGGTATTTCTAGTTCTAGATCCTTGAGAAATCACCACACTGTCTTCTACAATGGTTGAACTAAAAGTTCCCTGAATATGCTGTGCCTCTTCATGCCTCCATGCAAGCTCTAATGGCCTACTTCTCCTCTTCTGACAAAATCATCCTTTAAGATCAAGATGAAAGGCTGAATCCTTCATCATATCTTTCTTCATTTGTTAAGGAAGTGGTTGCTTCCTCTTTCATGCTCCATAAGTACCCACCTAAACATTTCCTTCATATATTTACTTATATTGTACATATCCATAATACACAACATTTTATAACACACTGTAATGCATTTGTGAGAGATCCGGATACATCTTATTTATTTTATTTTATATTTATTTATTTTATATTTTCCTAGTGCTACTGATAATATCTGTATTATCAGCTTCATTATAAGCAAATATCAATATTTGCTTAATGAATGCATAAATGAACGATTTTGATAACTGCTTATATTAAAGGAGAAAAAAAAAACCCCTGGGATTTAAAGGTTAGTCATGGATAAACCAAAAGGTATATAGTTCACATGGAATCTAGAGCCAAGCATTATGTTTCTTGGAGCTCAAGGTATTTTTGCCTGTTTTTATAAAAAATAAAAATAAAATCAATCCAGATGGTGAAGAGGCTAACACAACGAAAATATTTTAAAAGAAGGAAAAATTAAAATCAGAAAAAAAGTCCCATATGCTCCTTCCCACAGAGAAAGCTGTGAATAGGTGCTAGATCCATGGTTCTCAAACCTGGGTAAGCATTATAATCACCTAGAGAGACTAAAAACTTACAGATGTTAAATTTACTGCTTCAGGATCTCCAGAGGCTGGGATTTTTAACAGGCTTCCTGAGTGATTCTGATCAGTTAGGATTTGGAACCACTGACCTTGAACATAAATAATCAAAAGCCTCATCAGCTTTAGACCTGGATGTTATATAGTCATGCTTATCCCCCTAAATAGATTAATATTAGATATGTCTCAGATATTCTAGTTCTGAATCCTACACCTAGGAAAAGTTCTTCACAAATTATGACAATTTCCAATTATGCATGGTGAGTAGATTACTGCATTTTAAAAATCCCATGCACTCTTCATTACTAAACATTTCTAGTAGAGCTGCTAACAAATTACAAGTTGACTAATTTCCTTTCCTATTCAATGTAGCAAAGGTGGGTTAATAAGTAGGTGAACTAACCAACAGGGACAGAGTAAGAGCAGAGAAAGCAAATGTTTGGAGCTATTCACAAACATATTAAAAATGTTTAAATAATGGAAAACTAGCTTCCTCCAATATAGCAATGGATCAATCACTGAAAATCAAATACCACCTCTTAAAATCCAACATTAAACTCAATACCTAAGGAAAATCAAACAATAGTAGGGAAAAGTTCTATAGACTATTTATGAGAAAATACTAACATTTGAATGTAAGTCCTAGTTCAGACACTAACACTCCCACCGTGTGACCCACAGGAGACACTTAACCCAAACTTGAGTTTTCTTGTTTGTAAAAAATGTAAATTATAATCCCTGTTCTACCTAATTCACAAACGTGTCATGGAAGGATACAATGAAATAAGTTAAATGCTTGAAAAGGATAATGGATGATATAAAATGCAAGCTATTATTTATGAAAAAAAGCTTATTAGAAATAGTTTTTCCAAGGTTTTAAATATTTGGTAGACAAAAATTCACTAAAGTCAAATGTTCTTTGTTTTCCATTTTCCCAACATAAACACTTGAAAATACTTCGTAATTCAAAAGCTGGCATCTTTTCTTTCATTTGGCAAAAACAATTCCCCTCCAGGTTTCCAGTGGAAGTGAAATTATTTTGACTGTTTTTGTTTAAGATTATCAACAAAAACCTCTCCAAATTATGCTGCTTCTATGCCAAAACACATTCTTTATGCAGCACAGTTGTAGGAATGTATTATATGTGAGCCACTGCTGGACCACAAAGGGGAATTAGGATAGCATATTTTTTTCTATCCGTTAGGAATATTCAAAATATTTTCAACATGTCCTTGTTAAGTGATAGATTCCTTTTCAATATAATATTTTCTTTAACCACAGAATATTAGGAGCTATGCTAAGTAATTATTTCCGAAATAAATATTTTAGATGAGTCAAATAGTGAGCTATATAATAATAATAATAATAAATATTATTTATAGAGCCCTTACTGAAATGAGAAAAGTTCCCTTATCCCCATCTCAGGGCCTGCGATGGGAGTGTGGCTCACTTCTTCGGTGCCCCTGCTCATATCCCTAGGGTGTGCATGCAGACGGGCAGGTCGTGAGGCGGGCACCGACCCCACGGCTGCATCTAGGGTTTAGTGTTTACAGCTCCTGAAGCCCCAGTGGGCATGTGTTACAGTGCACTCTTTCAGTTTTGCCATCTGCAGGTGGCTTGCATTAATCAGCTCGATTAGACTCTCTGCCTTATTGCAAGGACAGAGGGCTTTCTGTATTCCAGGCTCTCATCTGAGTGTACTGGAAAAATCGAATCACACGTGGGCTTGGAGAATGAGTGCAAAGTTTTACTGAAGGATGGAGGTAGATCTCAGCAGATGGATGGGGAGCTAGAAGGGGGATGGAGTGGGAAGGTGGTCTTCCTCTGAAGTTGGCCGCCCAGCAGCTGGACTCTCCTCCAACCACTGCTGGCCAAATTCTGCGTTGTCCTACCTGGTCTACAGGCGTCTGTTCCTCCTCATCAGTGTGCACTTCCGCTACTCTGCTCCTCTTGATATCCAGCCGCCTGTGTGTGTTCTTCTGCAGTGTGTTCCTCTCGACGTCCAGCGCTCGAGTCTGTGACCACTAGGGTCTGGGTTTTTTTTTTTTTTTTTTTTTTTTTGAGATGGAGTCTCGCTCTGTGGCCCAGGCAGTGACACGATCTCGGCTCACTGCAAGTTCCGCCTCCCGGGTTCATGCCATTCTCCTGCCTCAGCCTCCCGAGTAGCTGGGACCACAGGTGCCCGCCACCACGCTTGGCTAATTTTTTGTATTTTTAGTAGAGACGGGGTTTCACCGTGTTAGCCAGGATGGTCTCGATCTCCTGACCTCGTGATCCACCTGTCTCGGCCTTCCAAAGTGCTGGGATTACAGGCATGAGCCACCGCGCCCGGCCAGGTCTCAGGGTTTTTATAGTCACAGAATGGGGTACGTGGGGGGCCAGGGTGGTCTTGGAAAATGCGACATTTGGGTGCAAAAACAGGAGTGCCTGTCCTCACCTAGGTATGTGGGCACAGGTCCAAGGGTGGAGCCCTTGCCAGGGACCCCACCCTTCTCTACCCAGCACTTCTGTGCCCCCATCCCATATCATTATCATGTGCTAGGCATTCTTTTAAGCACTTGAGATGGGTCTACTTAAAAATAAAAATATGTGTGTGTGTGTGTGTGTGTGTGTGTGTTTGTGTGTGTGTATCTATCTGTATGTACATATGTAATCATATGTTATAATCTTCTGAAAAAGGTGAAATCACATTGAACATTCCTAAGAGCTATGGAAACATTCATCTGGCTGAGCTCCTGTAGGGTCACTTCTGCTGAACTAGAGTGATTAACTTCTACCTCTAACATTCTCCAAATTGGAAAAATATGGTTAATTTTATAAAACGTAAGTGTGCTAAATTAAAAAAAAAATCCAGAAAAAACTTCCTAGGATTGAAACTGGTTTTAGAGAACATACTCTCAAACTAAATTTATTTTTGTTTTAAAAATACTACCTTAACTGTATAACATATAAATGGATAATATTCTCTAACTGAACTCGTGTTTAGCTTCACATGTAAAACCTACATAGAACTTCCTTACCAATATGCACAAGGTATAAAAGGTTAATAGAATGTTTTTAAAAACTGAAATAATGACACTAAGGCAGCTGTCTATGCCTGGATGGATTTGTGCACAAAACAATGAAACTAATGACAGGGAAAAAGGTACAAAATTATCTTTATGCATCTACTATTTATCAGGTACAGTCTAGTCACTTTGCATCTTTTACCTCATGCAGTCTTCATAGTAACCATCCTAGGTGGGTATTATTCCCATTCCATGGACAGTAAAATTAAGGTTTGAGATCTCTAGGTATTCCCACATTACAGACTCTAAGCCCACATATATAGTGCTGTTTTTATTATCTCACACAGCCTACATAAATTAAATAACTAGTAAATTTAAGAGCCATATCAAAATATCTGAACACAGTAATTTGGTCCTATGTCTTAAAATAATTCTTAATATTTTTCTATACGTATTCAAATAGCCCATTTTTTTCTCTGATCAAATCCTCAACATCTTCCCAAGTACTATCTCTACTGACTTTGAATTTTAGTCATCACAATGACCATTTAATGAACACCATGCATTGTACTAGGTACTCCATGTACATTAGCTCTTTAAACAATTACAACAACTCTATGAAAATATCTTCCATTCTACCAGTGAGAAAGCATGTTTCCATAAAAGTTGAAGAATACAGAGGTGACAAATTTAGAGAATGAAATCCAGGGTCTGTTCAACTGTAGAACCAACAGTACTGCCATTATGCCAAATGGAATATTTTTCAAACTACAAATACTGTTTACCAGATCATTCATAAAAGCAAGGTATTATGATAAGGCCTAATATATGACAAAGAATGTCCATATATATTTTCCCATTTAATCATAACACTTATCTGAAGAATGGAGGACATTTATTATCCTATTTCATAGGTAGACAAAGATGAGGTTCAGAAGGTTGAAAGGCAGTGCTTTTTCTATGATACAATGTTGCTGTCAGTCTTTTGGTAATAGAAATACATATATAATATAATAAATATGCAAAGTATAAATACACTTATATAACAAACATAAATAAATCATATGTATTTCAAATATACATTTGGTATATAAAATTTAAAATATATATATAAATAAATCCTTCTCCAACCTTTTGTCTGCTTATATAACTAATTTTACCTTTAAAAAAAAAGAAATCAGTAAATTAGTGAAGAGTTATTTTCATTGATCAATGAAAGTCTCTAACAAGATACACTTATTCTCAATTCTATGGCAGCTGTTCAAAGACACTGTCTTTCATTAAGAGTTTTTCCTCACCTTCCTTCTGAATTCTATGATATACCAAAAAAAGCTAAACTTCTTTAAATTTTTACTGAAACAGAAATGTAGTGATGCTTAAACTTGTGGTTACTCAGCTAAAGAGGTGACTGGGGTTCCAGAGGAAGTGCATCCTAAGTCTTTACCTAGAACTATCCCATACATAACTCCGGTGCCCATGAACTCTCAGGTCAGTTAAAATAATTCTGCATTGATGTGCCTTTCATACACTTCCGCCAATTTCTTCCTTAGTTGATGAGATAATCTCTTTGTTTTTAGTGCTCAGATGTTGGAAATTTGCTATAGGTTTTAATGCGTAAAGGTAAGTTCACTTATTTTATCCACTGAAGTTCTTTCTGAAGAGATACCAGCTCCACCATTTAAAAACATATGAACTATAACAAACTGAGTTTTTTAACCACTTATCTAGTTGAGAGGCAGAGTTGGGTTTACCTTCAAGTCCAAGCTTTCTCATTTACTGGTTGTGTTTATCACTGGCTAATCACAGCAGTTTAATTTCTCAGTTTCCTAGTCTGTAAAACTGAGATTACACATACCTACCCCCTACTACACAGATATGTTGTGAAAATCAAATAAAAAAAAGATGTAAATTACCGAGTACAGATGGCAGTCCTTAATAAATATTAGTTTAATTCCCTTGGCTTAAGACCTTTAAAAAATATACTAAGGTCAGAAGAAGAGGAAAAAAAAAAAACCATCTTCCCACTCCACAAAAAAACCTGTAAACTTTCATATACTATACAAATTAGAGGAGAATATGTTATCCTCCATCAGGCTCCTCAGCTTGAATGCAACATACCAAGATTTAAGATATAACTTAAACAATGCTGCATTTCACTGAGATGATTTTGTTTGAATATTCACATAAATACCCTACTTATCATATTAACTCTTAATTAAGACAGCTAACCATAGTTTCTAGATTAAGTTGGTTGCATTTGAAAGCTAGAAGATAGAGAATTATTCAATCTTTGAGTCAAAAATGAACTGTTTGTGAATGACAAAAGATAAGGCATTGGGACAGAAAATATTTAAGGCTCATCTTTGGAACCAAGAAATTTGCATTTAATAAAAGAGGTTTAAACTCCATTGAAATATAAGGTGCTCAAAACCATTGCAGGCAATTGCTACCTCGATCCACTTTCTAACATTATACTTATCACCCCTTGCAGTAGCAGTTTAGGAGCTGGTCTTAGTCACCTGAGCTCCATGTATATTAGTTAATTAACCAAGTAATAAACAAAAAGGCAGGCCATTATATTAGAAAACTTCTTATTTAAAAAAATTTAAGAGTATCCATTTGAAAATCAGATTTCATTATGGAAACATTAACTCTGAACTGAGGAACTATTTCTTTCTTCTTGAGTACTGTGGGTACAACCAAGATGTTTCTCTCATCCTTTTCATTTTTATGTCTCTTGGCTGCAAGTACAGGTAGACTTGCTGATAGCAACAACCCTGTTAGACTTCTCATCTCCTATATCCAAATAGAAATAGGCTTTGTATTGCTTTTGCTGGCCCTTCGATGTGTTTTTTCTTTCATGCAGTCATTCAACAAAATTTGATTGAACAACTAGGCCATGGGATGCACAGTTAAACAACTAGAATAGCAATCTGCACTAGGGATGCAGATTTAACAACTAGGCCATGGGATGCAGAGGTAAACAAGGCCCCAAATCACTGACCAGTAAAAACAGGTAAGATAGTCACTGATAATTCAGTTTGCTAAGTGCTATAATAAAGATATGTCCAGTTTGTGATGCCATGGATATAAAAATGAAGAAATGACCCTTCCCTAGAAGAGCCTACACACAATATGCTAAACATGAGTCAATCAATAGATATTGTACTGTAATTGTTGACTTGTCTGTCCCACCATCAATAGTCAGGGTAAGCTCCTTGAGTTCAGAAATCCTGATTTATCTCACTCTCATGTCCAGTACTTTCATGAAGGTCATCTACAAATATAGCAAAATGCACTTTCTTGAAAATCTCCTTAGTAGCTTTATTGAGGTATCATTGACATAAAAAAATTTATGTAATTAAGGCATAACTTGACGTTTTGATATATGTATACACTATAAAATGATGTCAATCAAGCTAATTAACATATCCATCACCTCTACATAGTTACCATTTGTGTTTGTGTCTGTTGAGAAGATTTAAGACCTGTCTTCTTAGCAAATATTAATTATACAACACAGTTTATTAACTATCATCACCATGTTGTACATTAGATGTCCAGAAGTTATTCATCTTTCATAGCTGAAACTTTGTACCCTTTGATCAATATCACCCCATTTCCTTCTCCCCTCAATCCCTGGCAACCACCATCCTACTTCTACTTCTATGAGTTTGACTATTTGAGATTCTCATATGAGTGAGATCATGAAGTATTTTTCTGTGTCTTGCTTATTTTGCTTAGCAAGATGCCATAAAACTCCATCCATGTAGTCACAAATGGCAGGATTTCCTTCTTTTATTAAGGCAGAATAGTATTCCTTTGTGTATATATATACTACATTTTATTTTCCATTCATCCATTGGTGGACACTTAGGTTGATTCCATATCTTGGCTATTGTAATACTGTAATGAACATAGTAATATAGATACCTCTTTGCAATTCTTATTTCAATTCCTTTGAATATATACCCAGAAGTGAAATTGTTGGATCATATGATAGTTCTATTTTTAATTTTTTAAGTCACCTTCATACTGATTTCCATAACGGCTATGGAAAAACACTTGTTATCTTTTGTCTTTTTGATAGTAGCCATTCTAACCTGTGGGAGGTGATATCTCATTGTGGTTTTGATTTGCATTTCCCCTGATAATTAGAGATGTTGAGCAACTTTTCGTATTCCTGTTGGCCTTTTGAATTCCTTCTTTTGAGGTCCTTTGTCCATTTTTAAATTGCTATTTGTAATTTCGGTATTAAGGTGTATGAGTCCCTTATATATTTAGGATTTAACCCCTTATTGAATATACGGTTTGCAAATCTTTTTTCCTCATTCCGAATATTGTCTTTACATTTTGTTGATTGTTTGCTATACAGAAGCTTTTGAGTTGGGTGTAGCCTCAACTCTTTATTTTTGCTTTTGTTGTCTGTCCTTTTGTTATCATATCCAAAAATATTATTGCCAAGACCAATTTCAAGGAGATTTTCCTTATGCCTTCTTGTACGGTTTTGTGGTTTCAAGTTTTACATTTAAGTCAATCCATTTTGAGTTGATTTTGTGTATGGTATAATGGTCCAATTTTATTTTTTGTTTTGGCACTTGGATATACAGTTTGCCAAACATCATTTTTTTTATTATACTTTAAGTTTGGAATACATGTGTAGAATGTGCAGGTTTGTTACATAGGTATACACGTACCATGGTGGTTTACTGGACCCATCAACCAGTCATCTACATTAGATATTTCTTCTAATGCTATCCCTCCCCATCCTCCACCCCACAACAGGCCCCGGTGGTGTGATGTTCCCCTTGCTGTGTCCATGTGTTCTCATTGTTCAACTCCCACATATGAGTGAGAACATGAGGTGTTTGGTTTTCTGTTCCTGTGTTAGTTTGCTGAGAACGATGGTTTCCAGTGTCATCCATGTCCCTGTAAAGGACATGAACTCATCCTTTTTTTATGGCTGCAGAGTATTCCATGGTGTATATGTGCCACATTTTCTTTATACATTCTATCATTTATGGGCATTTGAGTTGGTTCCAAGTGTTTGCTATTGTGAACAGTGCTTCAGTAAACATATGTGTGCATGTGTCTTTATAGTAGAATGATTTATAATCCTTTGGGCCTGTGCCCTGTAATGGGATTGCTGGGTCAAATGGTATTGCTGGTTCTAGATCCTTGAGGAATCGCCACACTGTCTTCCACAATGGTTGAACTAATTTACACTCCCCCCAACAGTGTAAAAGCATTCCTATTTCTCTACATCCTCTCCAGCATCTGTTGTTTCCTGACTTTTTAATGATCGCCATTTTAACTGGCATGAGATGGTATCTCATTGTGGTTTTGATTTGCATTTCTCTAATCATCCGTGTGATCATGAGCTTTTTTTCATATGTTTGTTGGCCACATAAATGTCTTCTTTTGAGAAGTGTCTGTTCATATCCTTCGCTCACTTTTTGATGGGGTTTTGTTTTTTTCTTGTAATTTTATTTAAGTTCCATAGATTCTGGATATTAGCCCTATGTCAGATGGATAGATTGCAAAAGTTTTCTCCCATTCTGTAGGTTGCCTGTTCACTCTGATGATAGTTTCTTTTATTGTGCAGAAGTTCTTTAGTTTAATTAGATCCCGTTGTATATTTTGGTTTTTGTTGCCATTGCTTTTGGGGTTTTAGTCATGCAGTCTTTGCCCAGACTTATGTCCTGAATGGTATTGCCTAGGTTTTCTTCTAGGGTTTTTATGGTTTTAGGTCTTACTTTTAAGTCTTTAATCCATCTTGAGTTAATTTTTGTATAAGGTATAAGGAAGGGGTCCAGTTTCAGTTTTCTGCATATGGCTAGCCAGTTTTTCCAACACCATTTATTAAATAGGAAATCATTTCCCCATTTCTTGTTTTTGTCACGTTTTCAAAGATCATATGGTTGTAGATATGTGGCATTATTTCTGAGGCCTCTGTTCTGTTCCATTGGTCTATATATCTGTTTTGGTACCAGTACCATGCTGTTTTCATTACTGTAGCCTTGTAGTATAATTTAAAGTCAGGTAGCAGGATCCCTCCAGCTTTATTCTTTTTGCTTAGGACTGTCTTGGCTATGCAGGCTCTTTATGGTTCCATATGAAATTTAAAGTAGTTTTTTCTAATTCTGTGAAGAAAGTCAATGGTAGCTTGATGGGGATAGCATCGAATCTATAAATTACTTTGGGCAGTATACTCATTTTTACTATATTGATTCTTCCTATCCATGAGCATGGAATGTTTTTCCATTTGTTTATGTCCTCTCTTATTTCTCTGAGCAGTGGTTTGTAGTTCTCCTTAAAGAGGGCCTTCACATTTCTTGTAAGTTTTATTCCTAGGTATTTGATTCTCTTTGTAGCAATTGTGAATGGGAGTTCACTCATGATTTGGCTCTCTGTTTGTCTATTATTGGTACATAGGAATGCTTGTAATTTTTGCACATTGATTTTGTATCCCGACACTGTGCTGAAGTTGCTTATCAGCTTAAGGAAATTTTGGGCTGAGATGATGGGGTTTTCTAAATATACAATCATGTCATCTGCAAAGAGAGACAATTTGACTTCCTCTCTTCCTATTTGAATACCCTTTATTTCTTTCTCTTGCCTGATTGCCCTGGCCAGAACTTCCAACACTATGTTGAATAGGAGTGGTAAGAGAGGGCATCCTTGCCTTTTGCTGGTTTTGAAAGGGAATGATTCCAGCTTTTGCCCATTCAGTATGATATTGGCTGTGGGTTTGTCATTAATAGCTCTTATTATTTTGAGATACGTCCCATCAATACCTAGTTCATTGAGAGTTTTTAGCAAGAAGGGGTGCTGAATTTTATCAAAGGCCTTTTCTGTATCTATTGAGATAATCACGTGGTTTTTGTCATTGTTTCTGTTTCTGTGATGGATTACATTGATTGATTCGCATATGTTTTTATGGTATGTTTTTATGTTTAACATAATTGATTTGCATATATTGAAGGCAACTTGATCATGGCAGATAAGCTTTTTGATGTGCTGCTGGATTTGATTTAGCAGTTTATTTAGGATATTGGCCTGAAATTTTCTTTTTTTGTTGTGCCTCTGCCAGGTTTTGGTATCAGGATGATGCTGGACTCATAAAATGAGTTATGGAGGAGTCCCTCTTTTTCTATTGTTTGGAATCGTTTCAGAGGTAATGGTACCAGCTCCTCTTTGTACCTCTGGTAGAATTCAGCTGTGAATCAGTCTGGTCCTGGGCTTTTTTTTTATTGGTAGGCTATTAATTGCTGCCTCAATTTCAGAACTTATTATTGGTCTATTCAGGGATTCGACTTCTTTCTGATTTAGTCTTGGGAAGGTGTCTGTGTCCAGGAATTTATCCATTTCTTCTACATTTTCTAGTTTATTTGCATAGAGGTGTTTATAGTATTATTCTCTGATGGTATTTGTATTTCTGTGAGATCAGTGGTGACATCCACTTTATCATTTTTTATTGTGTCTGTTTGATTCTTCTCTTTTTTCTTCTATATTAGTCTGGCCAGCCTTCTGTCTATTTAGCTGATCTTTTCAATAATCCAGTTCCTGGAGTCATTCATTTTTTTGAAGGGTTTTTCATGTCTCTTTCTCATTCAGTTCTTCTCTGATCTTATTTCTTATCTTCTGCTAGCTTTTGAATTTGTTTGCTCTTGGTTCTCTAGTTCTTTTAATTATGATGTCAGGGTGTCAACTTTAGATCTTTCCCACTTTCACCTGTGGACATTAAGTGCTATACATTTCCCTGTAAACACTGTTTTAGCTGTGCCCCAGAGATTCTGGTATGTTGTGTCTTTGTTCTTATTCGTTTTAAAGAACTTATTATTTCTGCCGTTACGTCCTTATTTACCCAGAAATCATTCAGGAGTAGGTTTTTCAGTTTCCATATAGTTGTGCATTTTGAGTGAGTTTCTTAATACTGAGTTCTAATTTGATTGCACTGTGGTCTGAGAGAATGTTTCTTATTTTTCCATTATTTTGCATTAACTGAGGAGTGTTTTACTTCCAATTATGTGGTCAATTTTAGAATGAGTACGATGTGGTGCTGAGAAGAATGTATATTATGTTGATTTGGGTGGAGAATTGTGTAGATGTATATTAGGTCCACTTGGTCCGGAGCTGAATTCAAGTCCTGAATATCTTTGTTAGCTTTGTGTCTCATTGATCTAATATTGACAGTGGGGTGTTCAAGTCTTCCACTATTATTGTGTGGAAGTCTAATTCTCTTTGTAGGTCTCTAAGAACTTCCTTTATGAATCTCGGTGCTCCTTTATTGGGTGCATATATATTTAAGATAGTTAACTCTTCTTGTTGCATTGATCCCTTTACCATTAGCAATGGCCTTCTTTGTTTTTTGCTTTTTTTTTTTTTTGTATTTTTTAGTAGAGATGGGGTTTCTCCTTCACTTTTGAAGCTTAGTTTCGCTGTATATGAAATTCTGAATTGGGAGGCTGGAGCCAAGATGGCCAAATAGGAACCGCTCCGGTCTACAGTTTCCAGCGTGAGCGATGCAGAAGATGGGTGATTTCTGCATTTCCATCTGAGGTACCGGGTTCATCTCACTAGGGAGTGCCAGACAGTGGGTGCAGGACAGTGGGTGCAGCGCACCATGCGTGAGCCAAAGCAGGGCGAGGCATTGCCTCACTTGGGAAGCGCAAGGGGTCAGGGAGTTCCCTTTCCTAGTCAAAGAAAGGGGTGACAGATGGCACCTGGAAAATTGGGTCACTCCCACCCCAATACTGCGCTTTTCCGACGGGCTTAAAAAACGGTGCACCAGGAGATTATATCCCGCACTTGGCTCGGAGGGTCCTACGCCCACAGAGTCTCACTGATTGCTAGCACAGCAGTGTGAGATCAAACTGCAAGGTGGCAGCCAGGCTGGGGGAGGGGCACCCGCCATTGCGCAGGCTTGCTTAGGTAAACAAAGCAGCTGGGAAGCTCGAACTGGGTGGAGCCCACCACAGCTCAAGGAGGCCTGCCTGCCTCTGTAGGCTCCACCTCTGGGGGCAGGGCACAGACAAACAAAAAGACAGCAGTAACCTCTGCAGACTTAAATGTCCCTCTCTGACAGCTTTGAAGAGAGCAGTGGTTCTCCCAGCACACAGCTGGAGATCTGAGAATGGGCAGACTGCCTCCTCAAGTGGGTCCCTGACCACTGACCAATGAGCAGCCTAACTGGGAGGCACCCCTCAGTAGGGGCGGACTGACACCTCACATGGCCAGGTACTCCTCTGACACAAAACTTCCAGAGGAATGATCAGACAGCAGCATTCACGGTTCAAGAAAACCCACTGTTATGCACCCATCACTGCTGATACCCAGGCAAACAGCGTCTGGAGTGGACCTCTAGCAAACTCCAACAGACCTGCAGCTGAGGGTCCTGTCTGTTAGAAGGAAAACTAACAAACAGAAAGGACATCCACACCAAAAACTCATCTGTACATCCCCATCATCAAAGACCAAAAGTAGATAAAACCACAAAGATGGGGAAAAAAACAGAACAGAAAAACTGGAAACTCTAAAAAGCAGAGCGCCTCTCCTCCTCCAAAGAACACAGCTCCTCACCAGCAACACAACAAAGCTGGATGGAGAATGACTTTGATGAGTTGAGAGAAGAAGGCTTCAGACGATCAAACTACTCCGAGCTACAGGAGGAAATTCAAACCAAAGGCAAAGAGGTTGAAAACTTTGAAAAAAATTTAGACGAATGTATAACTAGAATACCCAATACAGAGAACTGCTTAAAGGAGCTGATGGAGCTGAAAGCCAAGGCTCGAGAACTACATGAAGAATGCAGAAGCCTCAGGAGCTGATGTGATCAACTGGAAGAAAGGGTATCAGTGATGGAAGACGAAATGAATGAAATGAAGCGAGAAGGGAAGTTTAGAGGAAAAAGAACAAAAAGAAATGAACAAAGCCTCCAAGAAATATGGGACTATGTGAAAAGACCGAATCTACATCTGATTGGCGTACCTGAAACTGACGGGGAGAATGGAACCAAGTTGGAAAACACTCTGCAGGATATTATCCAGGAGAACTTCCCCAATCTAGCAAGGGAGGCCAACATTCAGATTCAGGAAATACAGAAACGCCACAAAGATACTCCTCGAGAAGAGCAACTCCAAGACACATAATTGTCAGATTCACCAAAGTTTAAATAAAGGCAAAAATGTTAAGGGCAGCCAGAGAGAAAGGTCAGGTTACCCACAAAGGGAAGCCCATCAAACTAACAGCGGATCTCTCGGCAGAAACTCTACAAGCCAGAAGAGAGTGGGGGCCAATATTCAACATTCTTAAAGAAAAGAATTTTCAACCCAGAATTTCATATCCAGCCAAACTAAGCTTCATAAGTGAAGGAGAAATAAAATCCTTTACAGACAAGCAAATGCTGAGAGATTTTGTCACCACCAGGCCTGCCCTAAAAGAGCTCCTGAAGGAAGCATTAAACATGGAAAGGAACAACCGGTATCAGCCACTGCAAAAACATGCCAAATTGTAAAGACCATCGAGGCTAGGAAGAAACTGCATCAACTAACGAGCAAAATAACCAGATAACATCAAAATGACAGGATCAAATTCACACATAACGATATTAACTTTAAATGTAAATGGGCTAAATGCTCCAATTAAAAGACACAGACTGGCAAACAGGACAAAGAGTCAAGATCCATCAGTGTGCTGTATTCAGCAAACCCATCTCATGTGCAGAGAAACACATAGGCTCAAAATAAAAGGATGGAGGAAGATCTACCAAGTAAATGGAAAACAAAAAAAGGCAGGGGTTGCAATCCTAGTCTCTGATAAAACAGACTTTAAATCAACAAAGATAAAAAGAGACAAAGAAGCCCATTACATAATGGTAAAGGGATCAATTCAACAAGAAGAGCTAACTATCCTAAATATATATGCACCCAATACAGGAGCATGCAGATTCATAAAGCAAGTCCTGAGTGACCTACAAAGAGACTTAGACTCCCACACAATAATAATGGGAGACTTTAACACTCCCCTGTCAACATTAGACAGATCAACGAGACAGAAAGTTAACAAGGATACCCAGGAATTGAAGTCAGCTCTGCACCAAGTGGACCTAATAGACATCTAAAGAACTCTCCACCCCAAATCAACAGAATATACATTCTTTTCAGCACCACACCACACCTATTCCAAAACTGACCACATAGTTGGAAGTAAAGCACTCCTCAGCAAATGTAAAAGAACAGAAATTATAACAAACTGTCTCTCAGACCACAGTGCAATCAAACTAGAACTCAGGATTAAGAAACTCACTGAAAACCGCTCAACTACATGGAAACTGAACAACCTGCTCCTGAATGACTACTGGGTACATAACGAAATGAAGGCAGAAATAAAGATGTTCTTTGAAACCAACGAGAACAAAGACACAACATACCAGAATCTCTGGGACACATTCAAAGCAGTGTGTAGCGGGAAATTTATAGCACTAAATGCCCACAAGACAAAGCAGGAAAGATGCAAAATTGACACCCTAACATCACAATTAAAAGAACTAGAAAAGCAAGAGCAAACACATTCAAAAGCTAGCAGAAGGCAAGAAATAACTAAAATCAGAGCAGAACTGAAGGAAATAGAGACACAAAAAACCCTTCAAAAAATTAGTGAATACAGGAGCTGTTTTTTTGAGAGAATCAACAAAATAGATAGACTGCTAGCAAGACTAATAAAGAAGAAAAGAGAGAAGAATCAAATAGATGCAATAAAAAATGATAAAGGGGATATCACCACCGATCACACAGAAATACAAACTACCATCAGAGAATACTACAAACACCTCTACACAAATAAACTAGAAAATCTAGAATAAATGGATAAATTCCTCGACACATACACCCTCCCAAGATTAAACCAGGAAGAAATTGACTCTCTGAATAGACCAGTAACAGACTCCAAAATTGTGGCAATAATCAATAGCTTACCAACCAAAGAGAGTCCAGGACCAGATGGATTCACAGCCGAATTCTGCCAGAGGTACAAGGAGGAACTGGTACCATTCCTTCTGAAACTATTCCAATCAATAGAAAAAGAGGGAATCCTCCCTAACTCATTTTATGAGGCCAGCATCATCCTGATACCAAAGCCGAGCAGAGACACAACCAAAAAAGAGAATTTTAGACCAATATCCTTGATGAACATTGATGCAAAAATCCTCAATAAAATACTGGCAAACCGAATCCAGCAGCATATCAAAAAGCTTATCCACCATGATCAAGTGGGCTTCATCCCTGGGATGCAAGGCTGGTTCAATATACACAAATCAATAAACATAATCCAGCATATAAACAGAACCAAAGACAAACACCACATGATTATCTCAATAGATGCAGAAAAGGCCTTTGACAAAATTCAACAACCTTTCATGCTAAAAAATCTCAATAAATTAAGTATTGATGGGATGTATCTCAAAATAATAAGAGCTATCTATGACAAACCCACAGCCAATATCATACTGAATGGGCAAAAACTGGAAGCATTCCCTTTGAAAACTGGCACAAGACAGGGATGCCCTCTCTCACCACTCCTATTCAACATAGTGTTGGAAGTTCTGGCCAGGGCAATTAGGCAGGAGAAGGAAATAAAGGGTATTCAATTAGGAAAAGAGGAAGTCAAATTGTCCCTGTTTGCAGATGACATGATTATATATCTAGAAAACGCCATCGTCTCAGCCCAAAATCTCCTTAAGCTGATAAGCAATTTCAGCAAAGTCTCAGGATACAAAATCAATGTACAAGAATCACAAGTATTCTTATACACCAATAACAGACAAACAGAGAGCCAAATCATGAGTGAACTCCCATTCACAATTGCTTCAAAGAGAATAAAATACCTAGGAATCCAACTTACAAGGGACGTGAAGGACCTCTTCAAGGAGAACTACAAACCACTGCTCAATGAAATAAAAGAGGATACAAACAAATGGAAGAACATTCCATGCTCATGGGTAGGAAGAATCAATATCGTGAAAATGGCCATACTGCCCAAGGTAATTTATAGATTCAATGCCATCCCCATCAAGCTACCAATGACTTTCTTCATAGAATTGGAAAAAACTACTTAAAGTTCATAAGGAACCAAAAAAGAGCCTGCATCACCAAGTCAATCCTAAGCCAAAAGAGCAAAGCTGGAGGCATCACACTACCTGACTTCAAACTATACTACAAGGTTACAGTAACCAAAACAGCATGGTACTGGTACCAAAACAGAGATATATATCAATGGAACAGAACAGAGCCCTCAGAAATAACGCCACGTATCTACAACTATCTGATCTTTGACAAACCTGACAAAAACAAGAAATGGGGAAAGGATTCCCTATTTAATAGATGGTGCTGGGAAAACTGGCTAGCCATATGTAGAAAGCTGAAACTGGATCTCTTCCTTACACCTTTTACAAAAATTAATTCAAGATGGATTAAAGACTTAAACGTTAGACCTAAAACCATAAAAACCCTAGAAGAAAACCTAGGCATTACCATTCAGGACATAGGCATGGGCAAGGATTTCATGTCTAAAACACCAAAAGCAATGGCAACAAAAGCCAAAATTGACAAATGGGATCTAATTAAACTAAAGAGCTTCTGCACAGCAAAAGAAACTACCATCAGAGTAAACAGGCAACCTACAAAATGGGAGAAAATTTTCACAACCTACTCATCTGAGAAAGGGGCTAATATCCAGAATCTACAATGAACTCAAACAAACTTACAAGAAAAAAACAAACAACCCCATCAAAAATGGGCAAAGGACATGAACAGACACTTCTCAAAAGAAGACATTTATGCAGCCACAAAACACATGAAAAAATGCTCACCATCACTGGCCATCAGAGAAATGCAAATCAAAACCACAGTGAGATACCATCTCACACCAGTCAGAATGGTGATCATTAAAGTCAGGAAACAACAGGTGCTGGAGAGGATGTGGAGAAATAGGAACACTTTTACACTGTTGGTGGGACTGCAAACTAGTTCAACCATTGTGGAAGTCAGTGTGGCGATTCCTCAAGGATCTAGAACTAGAAATACCATTTGACCCAGCCATCCCATTACTCGGTATATACCCAAAGGACTATAAATCATGCTGCTATAAAGACACATGCACACATACATTTATTGTGGCACTATTCACAATAGCAAAGACTTTGAACCAATCCAAATATCCAACAATGATAGACTGGATTAAGAAAATGTGGCACATATACACCATGGAATCCTATGCAGCCATAAAAAATGATGAGTTCATGTCCTTTGTAGGGACGTGGGTGAAATTGGAAATCATCATTCTCAGTAAACTATCGCAAGAACAAAAAACCAAACACCGCATATTCTTACTCATAGGTGGGAATTGAACAATGAGAACACATGGACACAGGAAGGGGAACATCACACTCTAGGGACTGTTGTGGGGTGGGGGGAGGGGGGAGGGATAGCTTTAGGAGATATATCTAATGCTAAATGACGAGTTGATGGGTGTAGCACACCAGCATGGCACATGTATACATATGTAACTAACCTGCACATTGTGCACATGTACCCCCAAAATTACAGTATAATAATAATAAAATAAAAAATAAAAAAAATTTTTAAAAAAGATATTCTGAATTGAAAATTCTTTTCTTGGCTGGGCGCAGTGGCTCACACCTGTAATCCCAGCACTTTGGGAGTCCAAGGCAGGCAGATCATGAGGTCAAGAGATTGAGACCATCCTGGCCAACATGGTGAATCCTCATCTCTACTAAAAATACAAAAATTAGCTGGGCATGGTGGCAGGTGCTTGTAATCCCAGCTACTCAGGAGGCTGAGGCAGGAGAATGGCTTGAACCAGGGAGTCGGAGTTTGCAGTAAGTCGAGATCACGCCACTGCAATCTAGCCTGGGTGACAGAGCAAGACTCCGTCTCAAAAAAAAAAAAAAAAAAAAAAGAAAGAAAGAAAGAAAGAAAGAAAATTCTTTTCTTTAAGAATGCTGAATATTGGTCCCCACTCTCTTCTGGCATTTAGGGTTTCTGCAGAGAATT
The DNA here is from genome assembly GCF_000001405.40 of Homo sapiens. Taxonomy (NCBI): domain Eukaryota; kingdom Metazoa; phylum Chordata; class Mammalia; order Primates; family Hominidae; genus Homo; species Homo sapiens. The sequence goes on from NC_000001.11 coordinate 48,283,796, forward strand.
CTACTGTTATTCTGATGGGCTTCCCTTTGTGGGTAACCCGACCTTTCTCTCTGGCTGCCCTTAACATTTTTTCATTGATTTCAACCACGGTGAATCTGACAATTATGTGTCTTGGGGTTGCTCTTCTCAAGGAGTATCCTTGTGGTGTTCTCTATATTTCCTGAATTTGAATGTTGGCCTGTCTTGCTAGGTTGGGGAAGTTCTCCTGGATAATATCCTGAAGAGTGTTTTTCAACTTGGTTCCATTCTCCCTGTCACTTTCAGGTACACCAATCAAATGTAGGTTTGGTCTTTTCATGTAATCCCATATTTCTTGGTGGCTTTGTTCATTCCTTTTCATTCTTTTTTCTCTAATCTTATCTTCACACTATTTCATTAAGTTGATCTTCAATCCCTGATATCCTTTCTTCCACTTGATCAATTTGGCTATTGATACTTGTGTATGATTCAGGAAGTTCTCATGCTGTGTTTTTCAACTCCATCAGGTCATTTATGTTCTTCTTTAAACTGGTTATTCTAGTTAGCAGTTTCTCTGAACTTTTTTCAAGATTCTTAGCTTCCCTGCATTGGGTTAGAACATGCTCCTTTAGTTCGAAGGAGTTTGTTATTATGCACCTTCTGAAGCCTACTTCTGTTAATTCATCAAACTCATTCTCCATCCAGTTTTGTTCCCTTGCTGGGGAGGAGTTGTGATCATTTGGAAGATAAGAGGCATTCTGGTTTTTGGAAATTTCAGCCTATTTGACCTGTATTTTCCTCATCTTTGTGGATGTATCTACCTTTGGTCTTTGATGCTGGTGACCTTCGGATGGGGTTTCTGTGTGGACATCCTTTTTGTTGATGGTGATGCTATTCTTTTCTGTTTGTTAGTTTTCTTTCTAACAGTCAGACCCCTCTGCTGTCTGTGCTGGAGTTTGCTAGATGTCCACTCCAGACCCTGTTTGCCTGGTTATCACCAGCAGAGGCTGCAGAACAGCAAAGATTGCTCCCTGTTCCTTCCTCTGGAAGCTTTGTCTCAGAGGGGCATCCACCAGATGTCAGCCAGAGCTCTCCTGTATGAGGTGTCTGTCGACCCCTGCTGGCAGGTGTCTCCAGTCAGGAGACACGGGGCTCAGGACCCACTTGAGGAGGTAGTCTGACCCTTAGCAGAGCTCGAGCGCTGTGCTGAGAGATCTACTGCTCTCTTCAGAGCCAGCACGCAGGAACGTTTAAGTCTGCTGAAGCTGCGCCCACAGCCACCCCTTCCCCCAGGTGCTCTGTCCCAGGGAGATGGGAATTTTATCTATAAGCTCCTGTTTGGGGCTGCTGACTTTCTTTCAGAGATGCCATGCCAAGAGAGGAGGAATCTGGAGAGGCACTCTGGTTACAGCAGTTTGCCTAGCTGCGGTGGGCTCCTCCCAGTTCAAACTTCCCGGCAGCTTTGTTTACACTGTGAGGGGAAAACTGCCTACTCAAGCCTCAGTAATGGCGGACACCCCTCCCACCACTAAGCTCAAGTGTCCCAGGTTGACTTCAGACTGCTGTGCTGGCTGCCAGAATTTCAAGCCAGTGGATCTTAGCTTGCTGGGCTATGTTGGGGTGGGATCTGTTAAGCTAGACCACTTGGCTCCCTGGCTTCAGCCCCCTTTCCAGGGGAGTGAATGGTTGTGTCTCACTGACATTCCAGGTGCCACTGGGGTATGAAAAAAAAAAAAAAAAAAAACTCCTGCAGCTAGCTCGGTGTCTGCCCAAATGGCTGCCCAGTTTTGTGTGTGAAACCCAGGGCCCTGGTGGCATGGCACCCAAAGGAATCTTGTGGTATGTGAGTTGCGAAGATCATAGTAAAAGAATAGTATCTGGGCCAAATGCACCGTTCCTCATGGCACAGTCCCTCACAGCTTCCCTTGACTATGGCAGGGAGTTCCTGACCACTTGCACTTCCTGGGTGAGGCCCCGCCCCACCCAGCTTCAGCTTTCCCTCTGCAGGCTGCACCCATTATCTAACCAGTCCCAGTGGGATGAGCCAGCTACCTCAGTTGGAAATGCAGAAATCACCCACCTTCTACATTGTTCTTGCTGGGAGCTGCAGACCAGAACTGTTCCTATTCAGCCATCTTGCCAGCCACCCCCCAACATCTTTTTTTGAGGAGACTATCCTCTCCACATTTTGTATTCTTGACACCGTTGTTGAATATTAGTTGACCATATATGCATGAGTTTATTTCAGGGCTCCCTATTCTGTTCCACTGATCCATGTGTCTGCTTTTATGCCAGGATTACACTGTTTTGTTTATTATAGCTTTGTAATAAAATTTGAAGTCAGGACATGTGATGCCTCCAGCTTCCTTTTTCTTGCTTAAGATTACTTTGGCTATTTGGGGACATTTTTAGTTTCATATGAATTTTAGGAATTTTTTTTCTTTTTCTGTAAAAAAAAAAATGCCATTGGGATTTTGATAAGAACTGCATTGAATATGGAGATTGCTTTGGGTAGTACAGACATTTTAAAAATATTAACTCTTTTAATCCATAAACATAGGATGTCTATTTGTGTCTTTCTGAATTTCTTTCATCAATGTTTTATGATTCTCAGCATTAAAATCTTTCATCTCTTTGGTTAATTCCTAAGTATTTTACTCTTTTTGTTGCTAATGTAAATGGGATTGCTTTTTATATTTCCCTTTCAGATAGTTGTTAGGGTATAGAAGTAATACTGATTTTTTATGTGCTAATTTTCTATTCTGCAACTTTATTGAATTTATTCTATCAGCTTTTTTGTAGAGTCTTTAGGCTTTCTATATATATGATCATGCCAAATGCAAACAGAGATAATTTTATATCATCCTTCCAATTTAGATGCCTTTTTAAAATTTTGACTGATTATTCTGGCTAGGTAATATAGTTTTGTATTAGTCACGTCTTATATTGATATAAAGTAATACCTGACACTGTGTAATTTATTTTAAAAAATGAGGGTTTGGCCAGGCACAGTGGCTCACATCTGTAATCCCAGCACTTTGGGGAGGTCAAGGCAGGCAGATCACTTGAAGTCAGGAGTTCCAGACCAGCCTGGCCAACATGGTGAAGCCCTGTCTCTACTAAAAGTACAAAAAATTTATCTGGGTGTGGTGGCGGGCACCTGTAGTCCCAGCTACTTGGGAGACTGAGGCAGGAGAATCACTTGAACCCAGGAGGCAGAAGTTGCAGTGAGCCGAGATCACGCCACTGCACTCTTGCCTGGGTAACAAGAGTTAGACTGTCTCAAAAAAAAAAAAAAAAAGGGAGGTTTAATTGGCTCACTGTTTTGCAGGCTGTAAGGGAAGGATAGTGGCATCTGCTTCTGGGGAGGCCTCAGGAAGCTTCCAATCATGCCAGAAGGCAAAGGGGGAGCAAGCATGTCACATGTCAAAAGCCTGGGTTAAGAGAGTGAAGGGGGAGGTGCTACACATTTTTAAATGACTGGATCTCATGAGAACTCACTATCACAGGGATAGTGCCATGAGGGATGGTGCCAAACCATTTATGATAAATCAGCCTCCATGATCAAATCACCTCCCACCAGGCCCCACTTCCAACATTGGGGGTTACATTTCAATATGAGATTTGTGGGAGGACACACATCCAAACTATATTATGTTTTCATGTTTGTCCCCTCCAAATCTCATGTTGAAATGTGATTCCCAATGTTGGAGGTGTGGCTTGGTGAGAAGTAATTGGGTCATGGGGGCATATCCTTCATGAATGATTTAGCACCATCCCCTTGTGATAAGTGAGTTCTTTCTCAAGTAGTTCACATGAGATCTGGCTGTTTAAAAGAGTCTGGGGCCTCTCCCTTCTCTCTCTCTCTTGCTCCCTTTCTTGCCATGTGGCACTGCCAGCTCTCCCTTTGCCTTCTGCCATGATTATGAGCTCCCTGAGGCCCTCACTAGAAGATGCTGAAGCCATGCTTGTACAGCCTGCAGAAACATGGGCAAATTAAACTTCTCTTTATAAATTACCCAATCTCAGGTATTTCTTTATAACAATGCAAAAACAAACTAACACACTGGGACTTCCAGTAGAATACTGAATAGCAGCAGAGGGAGTGAGCATCTTTTCCTTGTTCATAATCTTAGAGGAAAAGTTTTAAGCTTTATCCAAAAGATTATAATGTTAGCAGTGGGTTTTTCATATATGGCTTTTATTGTGTTGAAATAAGTTTCCTGTATATCTATTTTGTTTAAAGTTTTTATCATAAAATGTTGTTGAATTTTGTCAAGTACCTTTTCTGCATATATTGAGATTATCATGTGGTTTTTGTCTTTCTTTCTGTTAATGTATCTCACATTGATTTATTTTTGTATGCTGAACCATCCTTGCATCCCAGGGATAAATATCACTTGGTTGTGGTGTATGATCCTTGTAATGTGCCATTGAATTATTTTGTTACTGTTTTATTGAGGACTTCCATATCTATGTTAATCAGAGATATTGGCTGTTTTCTTTTCTTGAAGTGTCTTTGGAACTGGATCATGATGATGCTAGCCTCATAAAGTGAGTTTGGGAGGGTCTTCCCTTTTCTAATTATTGAAAGTTTAAGAAGCCGAGAGAATTCCTCAAGATGGCTGAACAGGAACAGCTCCAGTCTACAGCTCCCAGTGTGACTGATGCAGAAGACAGGTGATGTCTGCATTTCCAACTGAGGTACTGGGTTCATCTCACTGGGGCTTGTCAAACACTGGGTGCAGGACAGTGGGTGCAGCCCACAGAGCATGAGCCAAAGCAGGACAAGGCATCACCTCACCTGGGAAGTGCAAGGGGTCAGAGAACTCCCTTTCCTAGCCAAGGGAAGCCATGACAGACAGCACCTGGAAAACCAGGTCACTCCCACCCTAAGACTGTGCTTTTCCAATAGTCTTGGCAAACGGCACACCAGGATATTACATCCCGTGCCTGGCTCGGAGGGTCCCACACCCACGGACCCTCACTCATTGCTAGCACAGCAGTCTGAGATCGAACTGCAAGGTGGCAGCAAGGCTGGGGGAGGGGCGCCCACCATTGCTGAGGCTTGAGTAGGAAAACAAAGCGGCCAGGAAGCTGAAACTGGGTGGAGCCCACTGCAGCTCAACGAGGCCTGCCTGCCTCTGTAGGCTCCACCTCTGGGGGCAGGGCATAGCCTAACAAAAGGCAGCAGAAACTTCTGCAGACTTAAATGTCCCTGTCTGACAGCTTTGAAGAGAGTTGTGGTTCTCCCAGCACAGAGTTTGAGATCTGAGAACCAACAGACTGCCACCTCAAGTGGGTTCCTGACCCCGAGTAGCCTAACTAGGAGGCACCTCCCAGTAGGGGCTGACTGACACCTCATATGGCCAGGTGTCCCTCTGAGACGAAGCTTCCAGAGGAATGATCAGACAGCAACATTTGCTGTTCTGCAATATTTGCTGTTCTGCAGCCTCCGCTGGTGATACCCAGGGGAACAGGGTCTGGAGTGGACCTCCAGCAAACTCCAACAGACCTGCAGCTGAGGGTCCTGACTGTTTGAAGGAAAACTAAAAAACAGAAAGGACATCTGCACCAAAACCCCATCTGTACATCACCATCATCAAAGACCAAAGGTAGATAAAACCACAAAGATGGGGAGAAACCAGAGCAGAAAAGCTGAAAATTCTAAAACTCAGAGAGTCTCTTCTCCTCCAAAGGAATGCAGCTCCTCACCAGCAGTGGAACAAAGCTGGATGGAGAATGACTTTGACAAGTTGAGAGAAGGCTTCAGAGGATCAGTAATAACAAACTTCTCCAAGCTAAAGGAGGACGTTCAAACCCATCGCAAAGAAGCTAAAAACCTTGAAAAAAGATTAGATGAATGGCTAACTAGAATAAACAGTGTAGAGAAGATCTTAAATGACCTGATGGAGCTGAAAACCATGGCACAAGAACTACTTGATGCATGCACAAGCTTCAGTAGCCGATTCGATCAACTGGAAGAAAGGGTGTTAGTGATTGAAGAATCAAATGAATGAAATGAAGTGAGAAGAGAAGTTCAGAGAAAAAAGAGTACAAAGAAACAAACAAAGCCTCCAAGAAATATGGGACTATGTGAAAAGACCAAATCTATGTCTCACTGGTGTACCTGAAAGTGACAGGGAGAATGGAACCAAGTTGGAAAACACTCTGCAGGATATTATCTAGGAGAACTTCCCCAACCTAGCAAGGCAGGCTAACATTCAAATTCAGGAAGTAAAGAAAACGCCACAAAGATACTCCTTGAGAAGAGCGACTACAAGACACATAATTGTCAGATTCACCAGAGTTGAAATGAAGGAAAAAATGTTAAGGGCAGCCAGAGAAAGGTTGGGTTACCCACAAAGGGAAGCCCATCAGACTAACAGCTGATCTCTTGGCAGAAACTTTACAAGCCAGAAGAGAGTGGGGGCCAATATTCAACATTCTTAAAGAAAAGAATTTTCAACCCAGAATCTCATATCCAGCCAAACTAAGCCTCATAAGTGAAGGAGAAATAAAATCCTTTACAGACAAGCAAATGCTGAGAGATTTTGTCACCACCAGGCCTGCCCTAAAAGAGCTCCTGAAGGAAGCACTAAACATCGAAAGGAACAACTGGTACCAGCCACTGCAAAAATATGCCAAATTGTAAAGACCATCGAGGCTAGGAAGAAACTGCATCAACTAACGAGCAAAATAACCAGATAACATCATGACAGGATCAAATTCACACATAATAATATTAACCTTAAATGTAAATGGGCTAAATGCTCCAATTAAAAGACACAGACTGGCAAATTGGATAAAGAGTCAAGACCCATCAGTGTGCTGTATTCAGGAGACCCATCTCATGTGCAGAGACACACATAGGCTCAAAATAAAGGGATGGAGGAAGATCAACCAAGCAAATGGAAAACAAAAAAAAGCAGAAGTTGCAATCCTAGTCTCTGATAAAACAGACTTTAAACCAACAAAGATCAGAAGAGACAAAAAAGGCCATTACATAATGGTAAAGGGATCAATTCAACAAGAAGAGCTAACTATCCTAAATATATATGCACACAACACAGGAACACCCAGATTCATAAAGCAAGTCCTTAGAGACCTACAAAGAGACTTAGACTCCCACACAATAATAATGGGAGACTTTAACACCCCACTGTCAACATTAGACAGATCAACGAGACAGAAAGTTAACAAGGATATCCAGGAATTGAACTCAGCTCTGCACCAAGCAGACCTAATAGACATCTACAGAACTCTCCACCCCAAATCAACAGAATATACATTCTTCTCAGCACCACGTCGCACTTACTGCAAAACTGACCACATAGCTGGAAGTAAAGCACTCCTCAGCAAATGTTAAAGAACAGAAATTATAACAAACTGTCTCTCAGACCCTGTGAGGGTCCTCGATTTAATTTTTGTTAAGTTCACTGGTTTTGTGTTGGCCTCCAGCCAGGAGGTGGCACTTTCAAAAGCATATCAGCTGGGGTTGTATGGGGAGGATCAGGTGGTAGGCAGGGCCATAGAGCTCCCAGGAGATTATGTCCCTTGTCTTTGGCTACCAGGGCGGGTAGAGAAAGATCATCAGGTGTGGGCAGGGTTAGGCTGAGTTCAGACTCTCCTCGGGCTGGGCTTGCTGCAGCTGCTGTGGGGGATGGGGGTGTGGTTCCCAGGCCAATGAAGTTATGTTCCCAGGAGGAATATGGCTATCTCTGCTGCATCACACAGGTCACCAGGGAAGTGGGGGAAAGTCGGCAGCCACAGGCCTCAACCAGCTCCCACACAGCCCGCAGACGAAAAGGCTGGTCTCACTCCCTCTGTGCCCACCTGCCCCCCTCACCCAGTAGCACTGAGTTTATTTCCAGGCAGCCAGTGAGCAGGGCTGAGAACTTGCCCCAGGCTACAAGCATCCCAGCTGAGAAAGCAAGCGGACTCACAGTTCCTTGGCTGTCCCAGGGAGCCTGCAGTGGCAGTCCACTTCCTTCAAAGGGTCTGTGGATTCTCTAGGCTTTCCTGGTGTTCCTGCAGTAGTTCTAAGAGCAAGAGTTCATGCTGTGGGTCTCCACACACTGCTCTATCTGTTGAAGTGGGAGGTCCAAGTTAGCCCTGCCTCCTAGCCACCATTTTCCCCCATTGCTTCTTTATGTTTATGGGTTTTTTAAATCTCTTTGTTGAAGTTGTCATTTTGTCCCCGCTTTCCTAATTTTGTTATATCGTTTACCTGTGTTGTCTTGTAGCTCACCAAGCATCTAAAGGACAATTACTTTAAATTATTTGGCAGCTAACTCATGAATACCCATTTCTTTGGGGTCAGTTACTGTAAGTTTGCATTCCTTTGGTGGTGTCATAGTTTTCTGAATTTTCATGCTTCTTTTATCCTTGCATTGGTGTCAGTGCATTTGAAGCAGCACTTACCTCTTCCAGACCACCTTTGGTAAGAAAAGTTCTTCACTGAGAGGGGGAGCAGAAGTATGCTGTGACACTGAGTCTAATGGCATGTGAGATGCCAACTGCTGTAACCTGTCACAGCTCTGTGTCCAGGAGGGACAGGAGTGGTGGCACAGGAGCTGAAGTAGCCAGGGTCCACAACATTTGGCAACTATGTTGTCCTCAGCTGTGAATGTTGTGGGGGTTTTGTGGTGCCCATGAGGGCTGCTGGGGTCCTTAGTGGTGCCACTGGATATAGCAGCAAGTGCACCTGCATAGATAATGCCGAAGTTGGCAGTCAAGACTGGGGAGAGCTAGGGGTGCACACAACAGGAGGGTTGGTGGCAAGTATGCCTGTGGCACTAACAACCAAGACCAGCAGCAGGTGTTTATGTGGTGGCAAGAGGTGGCCATAGGCAGGCATATGTGCAGCAGTGCAAACCACCAGTGAGTATGTGGCTGCAACAGCCAAAGCCAATAGCAGGCATATGTACAGTGGTGAGAGCTGGGTAAGGGCATGCACGCAGTGGTGCAAATAAGCAGTGCTTGCATGCACTGTCATTAACAGCCAGGGCCAGTTGTGTGCATGCACATGCCCATGAGAATTGGTCACAGATGAATGTGGTGGTTAAAACTGGGGCTAGTGGGTCAGTGCCAACTGCAGGCATGCATGCAGTGACTGCACTGGTTCCCAGGGTTTGGGTGCCCACAGAGGCGCTGGCTGGGGCAGCTCCACTGGAGGTAAAAATAGCCTAGTCAGCTGGGGTCCATGAAGGAGAAAGCCAGAAGGCCATCTGCGGTGAAAGCCATGGGAATTCCAAGCCAGCTGGGAGGTCTTCAGTGGAGAAGGGTGCTGGGGTCATCTGAAGACCAGGCCGCTATGAACCATGGTATCCCCTGCCACGTGGCTGACACAATGCCCTCTGTCCTTCTTTATTCCTAGCTGCTTCCAGATATCTCAGCTATGCCAGTCTTCCCCGGGATTTGAGTGGGATAAAACCAATGTGGATCTTTTGGGCAGTACCCACAAATTGTGAAGAGGCTGGACACTCACCCTGCTCTCATTTTCACCTGAGGGTAACATTTGGTAATGAGCTGTGCCAGCCTGACGGATGGCATAAAGATAAAATGAGACTTCTTCATACCCATTCTGTGTGGTTATTCTTGTTTTTGTTGTTGTTGTTTTGGTTTGGTTTTGCTTTGCTTTTTTGCTCTACTATGCTGCCGCAGCTTCTTATCTGGACTCCAAAGCCCTCCCACAGCTATTTCCATTCCTGGATGTCTATCAGATTGTTGTTTGTGGGGTTGAGGGCCAGGGTCTCCTACTCTACCATCTTGTTGGTAATACTTCCTTCTTGAATATCTTATATGTTTTTCCCCTCAAAAGCAGAAGTACCTTGGTAATGAGAGTAATGCTAAGTTACTGTTAAGTAATGTTAAGTAACTTTATTAACTTTTAGAGAACAGTATATCAGCTGATATCTGTTCTGTGTTAGCTTATTTCCTTCTTACTTCACAAACCTTAGTAAGTGGAATTTCTAAGGCTTATGCTATCCAAGACAGCTAGAAAGAATATCAAGTAATTTCAATTATTATCCCTCAAGTAAATGCCAGTCTCTCCCCAACCCCCATATACACACACAAACTTTGATTGAGAACTGTGTTTCTGTTTATCTCTGGGTTATCACTCAATGTCTTGCAGATTGCCTGGAATATTTTGCGAATGGGTGAACAGTCACAAGTACTGATTATCTGAGGAAACATCATATAATTAAACTCAAAGTATATCATTCAGTGATAATAAACACATTAACTTAACAAAATGTTGGATTTTCTCTCTTACTTACCTCTTCGTTTCGTACATTGAAACTGTAGCTAGTTAGAAGGAGGATTTCTTTCTTAATTATTATTATTTTGAGCTCTGTCACCTAGGCTGAAGTGCAGTGGCACAGTCTTGGCTCACTGCAGCCTCCACCTCCCAAATTCAAGTGGTCTTCCTACCTCATACTCCCGAGTAGCTGGGACTACAGGTGCATGCCACTACGCCTGGCTGATTTTTGTATTTTCAGTAGAGGCAGGGTTTCACCATGTTGGCCAGGCTGGTCTCAAATACCTGACCTCAGATGATCCGTCCACCTCGGCCACCCAAAGTGCTGGGATTACAGGCGTGAGCCACTGCATCCGGCTGTCTATCTTATTTTTAAAAGGGCTGCCCTCAAACTATCTCACTACCACCAGAGCCTCCTTAATTAGCAAAACATTAAATTACTTGAGGTCCAGCACTCTCAGGGTGCCTATTATGGTCACATATAAATTAGGAGAAAAACAAAAAGCAGAGCTTTCATTTGTTTTTATCTGACTTCATTATTTTTATCTGACTTCAAAATGTGTTTTGTATTCTTGAGTTCTCCCAAGTTCTAGATCTTTATTCTTAACTGACTCTGGATATTTTAAACTCCATCTCCACTCTTGTAAAATCTGATCAATATTTAGTTTATTCCACCTTGTTTTCCTATTCTCAAAAGTCCTTTCAATCTTTCAATATTCAGCTCAATGGTCACCTCTTCTAATGCTGCTCTAGACTTCTTTGTAGTTCTCTTACTGCATTAGTCATATTCTACCATAGCATTTGCAACCTTGCACACCACTTCTAGCTAAAGCACTTGGAGGAGTTTCCTGATCAATCATGCTCCCTCCCATTTTCATGCCTCTGCATGTTCTGTTTCATCAAGCTAGAAGGCCTTTATCCCCATTCTTGCATTTTCATACCATGGAAGTTACCAAACGACTGCAAATGTTTAAATACACTTTTTGTTTTCATACTTTTAAAGATACATTTTTATATACCCTCTATTTCTAACATAGTTCTTAATATATATGTGATGAATAAATTGATGAGGCTTGAATGTATAACTTGCCTAAGATCCTAAGATAAAGATCAACACAGTTGATCTTTGTAAAATGGCACGTTCACTTTGAAAAACAATTTGGTAGTTCTTCAAAATGTTGAACATAGTTTCCATAGGACCCAGCAAGTCAACTCCTAGATGTATACTCAAGGGAAATAAAATCATATGTCCACACAAAAAACTTGTATACAAGTGTTCAGAGCAGCATTTCAGAATACCTAAAAAGTGGAAACAACCAAAATATCTATCAATTGAATGGATAAACAAAATGTGGTATATTCATATGATGGATTATTATTTAGTAATAAAAAGGAATGAAGTATTCATACGTGTTACAACATGCATGAACTCTCAAAATATTTTGCTAAGTGAAAGAAGCCACATACAATAGGTCACATGTTGTATGGTTCCATTTATATGAAATGTCCAGAATAGGCATGGAGACAAAAAGCATATAGTGGTTTCCAGGAGTTGTGGGGAGGAGGTAGTGGGAAGTGATCACTAATGGTTACAGGATTTCTTTTGGGAGTTATAAAATATTCTGTAATTAGTGAGTGGTTATTGTTGCACAACTCTGTGAATATAGTAAAAACCACTTAATTGTATACTTTTTCAGAGTGAATTATATCTCAATAAAGCTATTATTAGCAAATGAACACAATAATGAAAATTCTCTATTTGTTCCAGATTTTTCATCAGGGGCTTAATCTTTGGAAATCAGAAAACAACTCTGCCTGCCTAGGACTTCCTGATCGTACATATTAATTGTACAATTATGAAATGTCAAAGGATCATTCTAAATTAACCCTTTTATCACCTTGTTGGTGAGAAAACTGAGCTCCAAGAAGCATAAATGACTTAAATAAGGTTATATAACTAGCTAGTAGAACCAAGGAAGAGTCTCATTCCAATGATTCATCTTTATTTGTCGATTTTGACATTTTTCTAAATCCCAAGGTTTTTTATGATTTAAAGAAAAAAATTAAAAAGTAAAAAGAAAAGCCTATTTATCTTTCATATTAACTCCAATAATTATTTCTAGATTTGTGGGAAATACAGGAAAAAAAAAAGGCTAAGAGAATAAACAACTGCACCTTTCTGCTCCTGTGAATGAGAAAAGACAACTATTAGTACTTAAAGGTTTTACTCTTTAAAAACAATACAGCATAAGCACTCATAGTAGTAGTTACAGCAACATGGACCACTCTTTCCTCCTAGGGGATAGAAGATAATCAGACACTTAGCAAAGATGCTATTAGTATCTGGGAATTTGCCCCCAACTTTCAGAAAGACACTAAATTTAATCCATAGGAAAACATCTTTCAGAGTATTAGTTTCTAAAGTTTCCCTTTCAGCCCTACTTTTTGCAGCCTTTTTCACAGCCAATGGCAGATACAGGTGCAATAAGTAATTTCTGTGGTACTTATTCACTTGGGAGATTTTGGTGATAGTAAAACATTTTCTTTGAAAGTCATGTTTGTTCTTTTCACCAAACAGCAACTCTTAAAAGAATTTTCACTTATTTTTCCATGGAAAAACACTGAGGATATAATTTTTTTAAAAGAGCATTATTCAATGTTGACCTTCAAAAGCTGATTGTAAAATACCTCATCATATAATCTACAGCCAGAGAGTAACTCAGCAATTGTGTAGTCCAGCATTTCTACAACCTAGGTATCCACATGTACCTTAGGATGACATTGGCAGGTAGTGTGAGGAGCTAGGGGAATGGGGGGTGGTGGCAAGAATAACAAATAGTGGTACATGCTAAATTTAGTTTAGAAAATTCTGGGTTAATTCGATAAATATTTAAGGAACATCAATTACATGCCAGGCTGTCTACTAGATGCAGAGTAAGACAGATTTATACCAGAATTTTCTTAAAGCCTCGAACAAGCTACTGTTCACAATGAGCACAGTGACCATATATCCTAATTTGCTGTAGACAGCCCCAGTTTACAGGCGCTATTCCAGCATTAATATCATCTCTTTTTACCTCTATAATCCTACATATGACTCTCTAAGAGGTGTGTGTGTGTGTGTGTGTGTGTGTGTGTGTGTGTGTATGTGTGTAGCAAACAGATTTTCCTAAACTTAGATGGCCAATTACATACTTATACCTACATTCCTACGATTATCTCCTAAAACAGTGATCTTGGTCCACAGAACATAGTTTGGGGTCTACTACATTCTTATCATTTGATAGCTGAGGAAACAAAGGATCTGAGAATTAAATAGACTCAGCTAGAAAACGGCAGACATGGGATACTAAAGCCTAGGACTCCTGGCTCATAGAGATAGCTCTAATGCCCTTTCTGATATATCACAGACTGTGATACTAAAGCACCCTTAACATGATGTTAACAAGTTCTACTACAAAAATAAGTCAGCAAGTTTCACATTTTAATTTCATTTTAAAGGAAGTTCATTTTGTTCTTTTTCAATCATAACTGTAAAATTAATCAAAAACAGAGTCAATGAGAAAATATTATCTTTTAGGCAACTCTTCAAGACTATAAGCCCAGTTCACTTATTCCTACACTCTCCTTTCCCTCCCCTCACTCTCTATTAAATATAAAGTAGCTGATTTCTTTATGTCTTTATAGTATCATTGGCTTCACAGGTGTGTGCTGGGGTGGGGGAGGAGAAGTTAATTCTATCCATCAATCAACAACATTTTCAGTGTCTACCACAAAGCGTTCTGCTATAATATTTTACTCACATTGTGGTTCCAAGTGTTTTTTTTTTTAAAGTGAGGATACTATAATAGTGCCTTGGGCCATATGGTACTTACACAAATTCCAAGCAGTCAAATTACAATATAATTCCATTATTATTTTTAGGTTTCTATAAGCTTACTAACAGAGGCCATTTTCTGATTCTGGTTGCACCAAAAGGTATGGCCCTAGAAAAAAAATCATGCAAAGAATTTTATCTTTAAAAATTAGTTATTCAAATTTTTGATCATCCATGGCACTGATATTTCTAGCTAACTGCTATGCATTTTAAGCAACTTACACAGTTCTTCCAGAGAAAAAGGAGTGAATGATCATATAGTCTTTAAAAAGAAAGCCTATGAGCTAAGAAATAGAATAGCCTGTTCTGAAAAAGGAAAAAGTAGAAAATGTTAGTGAAAACAGGGTTTAAACCCTTAGGAAATTCATTTCTGTATAGGATATCATTTTGTTCATCACCAAGAAAAGGTAGTCAATATTAATTAAATCTTACACAGGCAAGATAACCAGTTAAGTAGATGAGAAGAAAATTGCAAGGTGAGTAAGGCAAAAAAAACATTTCTAGAAAGGAACTATTCTTGGATTTGCAGATGGAATATGAGGTGTACATGTAACAGAATATCCTTGTCACATATTGGAAGTTGTGATTGTGTGACAGAGCTCTAATGTTTGTAACACAGCAGACTCTTCTGTAATAATTATTTTAAAAGGCTTGCCTATGATAATTTACCATTTGAAGTAATGAACTTATTCAAGTATAACTATTGTACTTAGTTATAATCCCATTTTTTTTAAAAAAAGGAATACAGATATTGATCACATCAAACATTTTCATTGAGAAATTGACACGGACACTAATGAGGTTTATCATGGATGGTCTCAGAAGCTTTCCTGTGTATGTGAAGCAGAACTACAGGCCTTTTTGTATAAGTTCCTGTACATCTTGTCCATGCTGTTCTCAAAGATGGGTCGGTGGGATTTTCCCTTATAAGAGGCTGCCCTGTTGGACCAGTATTCACCGTCATCCAAATGGAAAGTGCCACGTGGCTGCTGACATGAGCTATAAAAAGGGATATAAAAGGTTCAAAACAATAATGAAACAAAATTAGAGATAGTACTATGTAAATCAAATATTTATTGAGTACTCTATGGCTATTTAATTCTCTGCTGGGGCTGTGAAAAATAAAACAGAGTAAGGCCTGTGCTTTCAAAGAGGGACATTTTAAAAGGGGAGGCAGAAGTATCTGTGTAAAACTGTTATAAAACAGTAAAATGAAAATTTTGTGTTAGAGTGAAAAAGGAATTCAGAGAACAGACACAGGTACAGCATAATAAAAGCAGAACATAATAAAAGCAGTTCTTATACTGGCCTGGTATGGCCAGTATAAGAATGCACAGCCCAAGGCACAGTGGCTCACGCCTATAATCCCAGCACTTTGGGAGGCTGAGACGAGCAAATCACCTGAGGTCGGGAGTTCGAGACTAGCCAGACCAACATGGAGAAACCCCATATCTACTAAAAAATACAAAATTAGCTGAGGATGGTGGCGCTTGCCTATAATCCCAGCTACTCGGGAGGCTGAGGAAGAAGAATCACTTGAAACCGGGAGGCAGAGGTTGCAGTGAGCTGAGATCACGCCATTGCACCCCAGCCTGGACAACAAGAGCAAAACTCCGTCTCGGAAAAAAAAAAAAAAAAAAAAAGAATGCATAGTTGCTAAAAGTCAGGCATACCTGAAACTGAATTCCAGCTCAGTCCTTTATAAGCTGTGAGACCTTGGGCAATTTATTTAACTATCCAGAGTCTCAACTTCCTTAACTTTAGTTTTACAGGATTGTTTTAAAATTTAAACACAGACGTTATTAAATATGAGACACTAAACCAGGTACTTTATATCTATTTATGAATACATTTTACAACACATAGAAGTTGGTAGATATAGAAATGAAGACTCAGTGAAGTTAAGTGACTTGCCTAAGACTGCTCAGCTAGTAAGTGGCAAAATGAAAAAGACAACGTGTGTGCTCTAAGACCCTTTCTACTATGCCATGCTGCTATTGCCCTCAAGGAGTAGAAAATTAGGCTAACTGTGAACATTTGTGGAAAATGGAAACAAGGCAGAAGAGTTTGAAGTGAAAGGATCAACTGTAGTTTTGAGGGTCTTAAGGAAAAAAGAAGGTGGGAGAGAGAGAGAGAGCGAGCGCATGCAAGAGAGCACGCATGTAAGTGAGAGGAAGCCCATAGGAAGCTAATGAAATAGACTAAGACTGGGCTAGCTGTGATGAAGATAGAAAAGAAAAGGTAACTCTTTCTTAAGGATTAATAGCACTTTTTATGTTATCAGTGTTATAATTTTACTAACATAAATTCCGGAATTACATTTTTTATGGATAAAATGTTGAGTTTATTTTCTTATATAAATAATTGACCTTCTTCAAGGTCAATGAAATACTTTTATAGATTAGACCTTCCAGGCCTGTTAGAGATTGTAAAGTTTCTTCCCAGATACACACAACCTACAAACCAAGATTATACTATGAACAAATACAAAACCTGAACAGACCAATAATGAATAACAATATTGAAACAGTAATAAAAAGTCTCCTATAAAAGAAAAGCCCTGGATCTCTGGCTTCACTGCTGAATTTTACCAAATATTTAAAGAAGAACTAATAAGAAGTCTACTCAAAATATTACAAAAAATTAAAGATATGAGAAAACCCATTTTATAAGACTAGCATTACCCTGGTACCAAAACCAGACAAAAACAACAACAAAAATAAACTACAGGCTAATATTCCTGATGAACAGATGCAAAAATCCTCAACAGAATATTAGAAAATTGAATTCAAAAACACATGAAAAAGATCATTCACCATGATCAAATGGTATTCATTCCAGGGATGCAAGGATGGTTCATCATGGGCAAATCAATAAATGTGATACATAATATCAACAGAATTAAAACAAAAAAAAAGTATAATCATTTCAATGGGTGCTGAAAAAGCATTCAATACAATTCAACATCCACTCATAATAAAACCCCTCCATAAACTGGGCATGGAAGGAACATACCTCAAAATGATAAGGGCCATATACAACAAACTCACAGCTAATATTATACTGAATGGGAAAAAGATCTGAAACAGGACAAAGATGCCCACTTTCGCCACTTATATTCAACATAGTAATGGAAGTCCTAGCCAGAGCAATTAGGCAAATGAAAGAAATAAAGGGGATCCAAACTGAAAAAGAAGTTAAATTATTCCCTTCCATAGAAAACATGATGTTTTATTTAGAAAAACATAAAGACTCCACCAAAAAATTAAAATGAATAAACACATTTAGTAAGGTTGCAAAATAAAAAATTAACATGCAATAATCAACATTTCTATATTCCAACAGTAAACAATCTGCAACAGAGATCAAGAAAGCAATCCCATTTCCAATACTAAAAGAAAAAAAAAAGCCAGAAAAGTGAAAGACTGCTATGACAAAAACTATAAAACACTGATGAAAGAAACTGGAGAACACAAGAAAATGGAAAGATATTCCATGTTCATGGATTGAAAGAATCAATATTGTTAAAATGCCTATACTACCCAAAGCAATCTAGTCAATGCAATCTCTATCAAAACACTAATGACATTCTACACAGCAATAATAATAAAAAAATCCTAAAATTTATTTGGAACCACACACACACACACACAAAAAAAAAAACTAGAATAGCCAAAGCAATCCTGAGCAAACAGAACGAAGTTGGAGGCATCACATAACCTGACTTGAAATTAAACTGTGACGTTATAGTAACCAAAATAGCATAGTACTGGAATAACAACAGACGAATAGACTAATGGAACAGAATAGAGAATGAAGAAATAAATCCACACATTTACAGTAAACTCATTTTTTACAAAGGCACCAAGCACATACATTGGGGAAAGGACAGTCTTTTCAATAAATGGTACTGGGAAAACTGGATATTCATATGCAAAAAAATAAAAATAATGCCTATATCTCACCATATACAAACATCGAACTAAAATGGATTAAATACTTAAATGTGAGACCTGAAAGGATGAAACTATTGAAGAAAATATTGGGAAAATGCTTTAGGATATTGATCTAGGCAAAGATTACTTGAGTAGCATCCAGTTTCCAGTAATTCATTTTTCATGTATATGGGTCATACTTTCTTCTTTACATGTCTCAGAGTTTTTGTAGAAAACAAAGTTTTAGATCTAGTTGAGATTGCAGAAACTCTGGATTCTTTCCGATTCTTTGTTCAATGATTTGCCTGGACTGATATTGTGAACTATTTCTTCACACTGTCCAATTCCTTGTGTCTCTTGTTTCTTTATTTTTTTAATTGTTGCTATTTTATTTTTATAGATTTAGAGGGTGCAAGGGCAGTTTTCTTACATGGATATATTACATAATGGCGAATCTGGGCTTTCAGCTTTTAGTGTACTCATGGTTCAATAGTGAACACTAACCAACAGGTATTTTTTCAACCCCATCCCGCCTTTTAGAATCTCCACACCTTCCCACCTTTTAGAATCTCCAGTGTTTATTATACCTCTCTGTATGTCCATGTGTACCCATTGTTTAGCTCCCATTTACAATGAGAACATGTGGTACTTGTCTTGGCTTCTCAGGGGCTACCCCGGAGTTAACATAGCTTAGTGGCCAGCAAATGACTAGTCAGAGCCAGTAAGCCTATAAGGCTTCCATATTTTGCCAATGGATCTGTATGTGGCTTTGGTAATATATTCAAAGTTTATCTAGTTTATAATTCTGCCCTGGATTTTACTTTCTGCCTTCACAAGGCTTCACATTCAGCCATAAATTAGTGGCTCATTAGGGCCTTCACCAATATCTCTCATGCATATGTACAGCCTTATGCATAAACATAATCTTCTACCCAACCAGGAATAAGTAGAACTTTATCAAGGCCAGCCAACTGTGGCTATCTTCTCTCAGGATCTTTACTGTCTGCCCCAACCAGTATTAAAACTTCAGGCCTCCTCTGCTTGTTTGCCAAGTAGTATTAAAACTTCAGTCCTCCCTTGCTTGTTTGCCAACAAACCATTATTGTTTCTGTTAATGGAATTTCCCATGCTCTGCTCCATATAGTTAGTTATTTCTGGGAGCAAAGCTGCCAGTATTTCAATATGACTTCCCTAGTAGAACTTTTGTGCCATGGAGCTGGGGAGTGGTAGACGGGGATGGAACCTCCAGGTTATAATGTCACAGACTCTAACTGTTCTTACTGATATTCAGTAAATTTTTAAAGTTAATTTTTAAATCGATACATAATAATTGTACATATTCCTAAGGTACATATGATATTTTGATGCCTGCATACAATGTGTAGTGAATCAAATCATGGTAATTAGGATATCACCTCAAACATTTATCACTTCTTTGTATTGGAAACATTCCAAATCTTTCTTCTAGCTATTGTGAAATATACAACAAATTTTTGTTAACTATGGTCACCCTACTGGGCTATCAAACTCTAGAACTTAACCCTTCTTCATAACTGTATTTTTCTACTCATTAACCAACCTCTCTTCACCCTCTATTCCCTCCTCCCCTTCCCAGTCCCTGGTAATCACCATTCTACTCTCCACTTCCATGAGATCAACTTTTTTAGCTGCCACAGATGAGAACATGCAACATTTGTCTTTCTGTGCCTGGCTTATTTCACTTAACATGATGTCCTCTAGTTCCATCCATGTTGTTGCTAATGAAAAGATTTCATTTTTTTATAGCTGAATAATATTCCATTGTGTATATTTTCCACATCTGCTTTCATCCACTGATGGGCACTTAGGTTGATTTCATAGTTTTGTTATTGTGAATAATGCTACAATAAATATGGGAGTGCTGATATTTCTTCAATATGCTGATTTCCTTTCTTTTAGGTAGTATAACCAGTAGATTTTCTTGATAAATGCTTCTCAATTTGTTATATGCTTTTGGTCAATTCCAAGAGTTCTTAAATTGTTTTTGACAATTCTGTTCTGTTTGTTTCTTTGGGGGAAGAGGATTTGCTGAGCTCCTCACTCAGTCATTCCAGAGGTTCATGCGAACTTCTTCATGATGCCTGTGTCAAACGGCATCTGTAGAGGATTGATAGTAAGTCAAGACTGCAAACTCTCTCTTGACTTCTGCTGACAGAAACCTCAAGGCTGGCAAGGAGGTTGATTACTTTGAGTGTAGTTCCTCTAACCTTTGAGATGGAAAGCAGAACGGGAGGACTTCTTGGCCTACTGCATAATATTACTTGAGGATAAAACTAAAATAATATCCTAATCATTTCAATAGCTTCTGGAGCTAATATCAAAGATACTCTTCTGAAAGGTCTTGAAGGACTGACCACTTCATCCAATTGATTCAAGTATATATATAAGAGAAGCAGCAAAGATTATAAAGTGATCTCAAAAATGTGTAAGCAGAACTTTTCTGACACTCTGCTTAACTCTCATTTGAGAGGTACCAAATTGTTCAGGGTGATCAAAAGCTTAATCAATAACACTGCTTGGTAGCTGAAAAAAGAACCAATATTGGGGTTTACGGCAAACTTTAAATTGACAGCAGCACTTCTGAAAATGTAGTATTTATCTACCTACATTAGAATTACCCATGATATCCCATTTTTTATTTTATTGTATTTATTTTGTAGAGACAGGGTCTTGCTATGTTGCCCAGGCTATTCTCAAACTCTTGGCCTCAAGTGATCCTCCGATGGGGGCCTCCCAAAGCACTGGGATTACAGGCGTGAGCCATTGCACCTGGCCCCATGATATCTCTTAAAATACAGATTTCCACATCTTACTTATATATAAGAACCAGCATCTATGGGGGTAAAAAGTGGAAATCTATATTTTTTAAAAACAACTTAGATAATTTGAAAATGAGGCTCTTTCCTGTATCAGTTCTTCTCACTTCTTGCCCAAATTAGAATTAATTATATGGGTTAAGCACCCAAAATCGGGATGCTAATCCATGTAACAATTTAGGGAATATGCCTTTAATGAAAAATAACAAACGGTAAAAAATACTCTTCCTCAGGGTGTGTACCTCTGAATCTTTCTTTTCTTCTTTGGATTGCTTCACCTTCAAATTTACCTATAATAAACTGTTTAAAGAGAGGCCTAGGTTGCTTCTTGCTTGGGAGGCAATAACTTTGAGAAAGGAAGTCACACTCCCACTTATAGTCTGTGTAAGGGGCATAAGGAAAAGTCCTCACATGTTCATAGATGGTCTAGCCTAGCTTACGAGAGTAAAGATCAGAGATTTGAATGCAAAACCCAAGTTAGCAATTAAAAAATATTCCATTCTTTGGAGCTTTGTTTCTTATGTTTGTTCCTCAGGAATCTCAGGAAGGTGAAAGCTATATATTGCAGTAACTAGTGGTATAACATCCAAGAATTCAAAGAACGTTTGGCTGTATAAATCCAAAATTTACACTTTTTAATACTGCATTAAAATTATGTCAGTTGACACAGAGCTGTCAAAAATCTTGATGAAATTTGCTCATATAAACTTGTACAAATGTTATTATTAACATTCCTCAAATTATAGGCGAGAATAGAATTTGCTCTTACAGAATTTGATCTCAAATTATTAAAAAAGGTTGGTTCATGGTGTAAAATTATAAGAACTATTTTTTATATTAAAATAAATACACATTCTGAAGTATGTGAGTTTTCAGGGCAGACAAATCTTAAGTAGGATGAAGGGCATCACCAATAATTGACTATATTTGTTTTTACAGATAAGTTTCAGTAATGCAAACATTAAAATTTTAATAGGAATTTACAGTTAGAAATAAATACTAATTATCCTTTTGAGTCTAAATTTCCCATAAATTCAGCATATTATAAAACAGTTATTTTTATCAGAACTATGAGAAGGATATACATATATTTCATTCATACCTATACTCGGGGTCACTGTCATAGGCAGAGTCTCTACATAAAAGACTTCTTTTCAGTTCCAGTTCATCATCTTTCTCTAGGTCTCTCTCATCCTGAAAAATTTTAAAGATTTCCATTAACTCACTGTCTCATTGTCCCCAAAATGATGCATATGTTTCTTCATAAAATGCTCTTCCCCTCCCTTTATAAATTTTAATTCATAAGAAAGGGAATTAAATGCTAGTGTTTCTTTGGGGGGAAAAAGGTTAAGTGATGATTTACTATCCTTTTCAACAAAACAATACAGTTTTATTATAGTTTTTGCTAATATTGCTTATCAAAGACTAGGTATCCAGTAGATACCTCTTGAATCCATAAAAATAGAGGAATGAATCCTGTGTCATGATATGTAAATTAACATTATCTTATACATTGTTATATGAACTCAAGAGATTGTACCTGCATTTTGAGGAATAAGTATTTGAGAAAATTATGTAGATACAAGCATTCTAACATGCACCTATGACTTACAAAGGAAATGGCTTAGACTTATTAATCAAAAGCCAAAATGCAAAATCAAAAGCCAAAATAACAAGCCAGAAAAGGCAAAAATGAAAGGCAAGATAATTGGAATGAAAATATATGGTTACCCCCACCTTGTATGGGCAGCCTGTTCTTAATTTCTAATAGACACATACAAGGACATAAGAAATAGTATTCTGAAGAGATGGCTTTGTTAACTATATCATTCACAGTTAAATTCATATGTGTGGTAATGGTATATAATTTAATACCAAATATCTTTTTCAACTACTAGCCAATATCCTTGTGTTCCTTAGTCAAACAAGAAGAGAAATAAACAGAACTGATAACAAAAGAAACTAGTAAGCACAAATAAGGATTAGTATTAGTAAGGGGTTCATTCACTTTATGTAAGAAATCAGCTGAATGCACATTGTGAAGAAAAATGATTTTAAAAATTTGCTGATGGCATGAAACTAGGAAGAGAGCATTATGTGTAAACGTGTGCAATAAATGATAGAGCTTGTTTAAAAATCACAGAAAATATGCATACAAATTTAGAATTGTTATAGTTTCTCGGTTTTATCATTATGAAGTAGCCTTTATTTCTGTAACTGCTTTTTTTTCCCTTAACTTATTTGGTCTACTATTCATATAGATACAACCACTTTCTTTTAGTTAGTGCTTTAATGGTATATATTTGTCCTTTTATTTTCAGCCATTCCTTACTATTAGATCTTTTTCTTGAATGGCATATTATTGGATGTTCCTTATTTTTACCTATTCCGAGAAGTCAATGCAGTGGAGCATTTACTGTATTATCAAAGAAAATGTAATTGCCTGTAGTGAGTGTGAAAGACTTGGCAAAGAAACGAAATAAAAAGGATAGCTGTCTTAAAGGGAGTAAAAATACAACTACTAAAACTATTCCTGTGGAGTGATGATGCCCATCTAGATCAAGGATATCATATAGGGGTATTCAGACCTGAGAAACAAAAAGGAACAGATTAGCTTAAAAGTTATTCCTTTCAAATTTTCAGACTATATTTTGTGATATTTTATATATATATAATTATATATTTATGTTTATATATAATCATATACATTTATATTCATATATATATAACTTGCCCTTTGAAAAAATAATCTATACAAGGACCCATCTTTTGTAAGAGTCCCTGTATAGATTATTTTTTCAAAGGACAAGTTATTCACAAACAAGGAGGCAACAAGGATCACATCTTATTATAAGCTATTAACTATGTATTGGTCTTTCTTGCTTTGTTGCACATCTTGTAATTTTGTGTAGACATGTGGAAATTTTAAGTAATATAATGTGACATATCTGGAAGGAATATTTCCTTATTTATCTTCTGTCTGTCCTATCCACTGGTGAATATGGGATACTGAGGTCTCTATTATATTGCATATCTATTTCTTCTTTCTATTCTATCAGTTTTTCCTTATATTTTTGGGATCTCTTTTAAGTGCATATATATTTGTAATGGTCATATCTTCCTGATGGTTTGGCCCTGTTGCCGTTATAAAATATTTTTATTTGTCTTTAGTATTAGTAAGAAAAAAATTCTCTTAAAGTCTATTTGTCCAATATTTGTGTAGCCACTGCAATTCTCTTATGCTGAATGCTATGCTTTTGTTTTCTTTTACACTGAACTTATTTGTGCCTTTGAATCTAAAGTGCATCTCTTGTAGACAGAATATAGTATAATCACGATTTTTATCCAGTCTCCAAAATTCTACCTCCTAATTGGAGTGTTTAATATTTTAAATATCATGAACCACCTATAGGTATGTTTACATACCTATATGATTTACATTTGCCATTTTGCTATTTTCTATGTCTTTTTTCATTTCTCCATCGTTGCCTTCTTTTGTGTTAGATATTTTCCAGGGTTCATTTTTAATTCCCTATACACTATATTTTTGAGACATTTTCTTACTACTTTCCATGAGGATTACAAATAACATCTTAATACAGAAGAATCTAAGTTTAGATGATATCAACTTAATTTCAACGGGATATGGAAACTTTGCTCTTACATGTTTACAGTCCCTCCCCTTTTAATTGCTATTTTTACATAAATTACATCTTTATATACTATGTTCCTACCAACAAATATTTATAATTATTGTTTTGTGAGGTCATCTCTTAAATCAGATATAAGAACTAAAGAGTTACTGGCAAAAACTGTATTTAGCCTATCTTTTATATTTACCTAGTTACCATTATCATTGCTCTTTATTTCTTCATGTGAATCTGAGCTACTGTCTAGTGTCCTTTCACTTCATCCTGAAGAGCTCCTTTTAGTATTTCTTGTAGTGCAGATCTGCTAGTGATAAACTTGGTTTTATTTGAGAATGCTAATTTATTCCATATTTTTGAAAGACAGTTTTGCTGGATATTCATGGTTGAGAGTTCTTTCCTTTTCAGTACATTGAATATATCATTACACTGCCTTTTGGACTCCACAGTTTCTGATTTAAACCAGTTTTAAATCTTATTGAGGAACACATTTATGTGATGAATTCCTTCTCCCTTGCTGCTTTTAAGATTCTCTTTTTGACTCTGGCTTTTTTCAAAACACTTTTTTTCTAGATATAGGGTCTAACTCTGTCACCCAGGCTGAAATGCAGTGGCGAAATCATAGCTCACTGTAGCCTTGAACTCCTGGGCTCAAGTGATTCTCCCATTTCAACCTTCTGAATATTAGGGATTACAGGTACTTGCCACAATGCCAGGCTTATCTTTGGCTTCAGACTTACGGTTTATAATGAGTCTCAAGTGTGGATCTATTTGAGTTTATCCTACTTAAGAGTTTATTGAGCTCCTTAGATAATAATTTTCTTCAATTTGGCAAGGACCATTATTTCTCCAAATATTCCTTCTGTCCCTTCCTTTCTCCCTCTTTTTCTGGAATTCTTATTACAGTATGTTGGCATGCTTAATGGTATCCCACAAATCCTTATGTGTTCATTATTTTTATTCTTCTTTCTGTTCCTCACACTGAATTATCTCATTTGACTTGTCTTCAAGTCCAATAATATTTTCTTCTGCCTGCTCGTAGGGTGCCAATGAGTCCTTCTAATAAATTTTTCATTTCTGGAGATTTTCATTTCAAAAAATTTTCATTTCTGAATATGTACTTGTCAACTTCAGGATTTCTATTTGGTTACTTAAAAAATAGTTTATAACTTTTGATTGAAATTTTATATTTTATGAGACATAATTCTAACACTTTATTTCTTTATAAATGCTTTCTTTTGGTTCTTTGAATAACTATATTTAACATAACTGATTTATGGTCTTTGTTTAGTGAGTCCAATGTGTAAGATCCTCAAGGACAGTTCCTATTCATTGTTTTCTCCATTTCCACTGTTTATTGTTGTTGTTTATTCTAGTTATTAGCATAGTGATTTTCTGACTTAGTTCTGCAAAGTCAACATTCCTTTTTGTGGGTGATCACTGATATCTCTATTCTGTTAGCTGAGTCATCAAGTAATGATTGGACAGACATTTCTATAAACGCTTAGAACCATTAAGTCTCCCAGTGTTTGCTGAGCAGCTCTGTATGTTGAGAGTACACTTTCAACACTTAGCCTAAGCCGTAACTGATTGTTTATGCAGAGCCTTAAGGTAGGCTGGAATTGAAAGCTAAGGGCCTTCTTGTCTTTTCTAATCAAGTACATAGCCTTGGACATATGCACAGTCCTACAAATATGAGTGGTATTCTAAAATCCCAGGAATGTGTGGTAGCTTTTCAAAGCCCCCTATGCACACATTCAGCTTTTTCTTTGAAGGTTTTTCATTGGTCTATTGTTTAATTCAATGGCTATCCACCATTTCAGTTGGCAATGAGGTTTAACAATTGCCTGTAATTATTTCTTTTAAAAATGCCCTCCAGGGCAAAGATTTTGCACTGGGAAAGCTCTCACTCAAAGTGGGGTCTTCCAGGCAATCTCCAGCAAGTCAAGTAATTACAATTCTCTGGGAATGGTCTTTGAAGAAATCCTAACTTTATTTTACCTCTAACAGTGCCTGCCAAAATTTTGGTTTTCACTGAGATTGTGACATGTTGGTTATCAAGCCTACTATGCAGCTAGAGAGCAGGAGATGGGACTCGGTCAAGTTAAAATGCCATAAAACTTACTGTCCCTACCAATATTTAGCTGTTTTTCATGTTGAAGCATTTGCTTGAGTTTCTAGAGATAAAGTGTATGAACTTGTGAGAGCCCCCTAGGACTCTGGCCCCAAGGAGTTTTTTACTCTCATGCTGTATTTGTCAGGATTCTCTAGAGAAAACAGAACCAACAGGATGTGTGTACAGTTCGAAGACAGCAATATTTGATTTTTCAACAATGAACAGAACAATCAGGCAGAAGATCAACCAGTAAATGGAAGACCTAAACAACAATATAAATCAACCAGACCTAACAACATCTATAGAACATTCCACCCAACGATAGCAAAATACATATTCTTTTCAAGTGCATATGAAAAATTCTTGAAGAATGTTAGGCTATAAAACAAGTTTCAATAAATTTGAAAGAACTGAAATCATACAAAATATGTTACCTGGCCACAATAACATGAAATTAGAGAATAATAGCAGAAGAAAATTTGGGTAATTAATAAATATGTAGAAATCAAACAATATACTACTAAATGATCAGTAGGCCAAATAAAACAGCACAAGGGACACTAGAAAATGCTTCAAGAGAAATTTAAAATATAACAAAACATATAAAACTTAATAATGAAAATGAGGCAGTGCTTCTAGAGGAACATGGCTATAAACACCTACATGAAAAAAGAAGACCTCAAATCAATAACCCAAAGCTTTTACTTCAAAAACTAGAAAAAGAACATCAAACCAAATCCAAAACAAGTAAAATACAAACATTAGGATGGAAATAAATGAGATCAAAAATAGAAAACTGGATAAAACCAATGAAAACCAAAGTTGCTTCTTTGAAACCATAAAACATTTGACAATGTTTTAGTTAGACCAAGGCTCTAATTACTAACATCAGGAATGAAAAATGGGACATTACTAGAGATCTTACAGAAATAAAAAGGGTAATAAGGAAATGCATGAAATAATTGTAAACCAAAATAATTATAGAATTGTCTAGAATGGTATCTATAAATAAAAGAACAAATTACTAGAAAGATAAAAACTATTTAAACAGATCCAAGAAGAAACAGGAAATCTGAATACACCTATAATAAAGAAAGAGAGTGAATTAGTAATCAAAAAAACTTAAATTAAAAAAACTTAGGGAGCCAAGATAGCTGAATAGGAACACCTCCAGTCTACAGCTCCCAACGTGAGCGACACAGAAGACAAATGATTTCTGCATTTCCAACTGAGGTACCAGGTTCATCTCACTAGGGACTGTCGGACAGTGGGTGCAGGACAGTGGGTGCAGTGCACCGAGCGTGAGCCGAAGCAGGGCAAGGCATCACCTCCCCCGGGAAGTACAAGGGGTGAGGGAATTCCCTTTCCTAGCCAAGGAAAAGGGTGACAGATGGTACCTGGAAATTCGGGTCACTCCCACCCTAATACTGTGCTTTTCCAATGGTCTTAGCAAACGGCACACCAGGAGATTGTATCCCGCGATTGGCTTGGAGGGTCCTACGCCCACGGAGCCTCACTCATTGCTACCACAACAGTCTGAGATAAAACTGCAAGGTGGCAGCGAGGCTGGGGGAGGGGCGCCCATTGCCCAGGCTTGAGTAGGTAAACAAAGCGGCCAGGAAGCTCAAACTCGGTGGAGCCCACCACAGCTCAAGGAGGCCTGCCTCCCACTGTAGACTCCACCTCTGGGGGCAGGGAATAGCGAAACAAAAGGCAGCAGAAACCTCTGCAGACTTAAATGTCCCTGTCTGACATCTTTGAAGAGAGTAGTGGTTCTCCCAGCATGCAGCTGGAGATAAAGAGAATGGACAGACTACCTCCTCAAGTGGGTCCCTGACACCCGAGCAGCCTAACTGGGAGGCACCCCCCAGTAGGGGCAGACTGACTACTCTGAGACAAAACTTCCAGAGGAAAGATCAGGCAGCAACATTTGCTGTTCACCAAGATCCGCTGTTCTGCAGTCTTCGCTGCTGATACCCAGGCAAATAGGGTCTGGAATGGACCTCCAGCAAATTCCAACAGACCTGCAGCTGAGGGTCCTCACTGCTAGAAGGAAAACTAACAAAAAGAAAGGACACCCAAACCAAAAACCCATCTGTACGTCACCATCATCAAAGATCAAAGGCAGATACAACCACAAAGATGGGGAAAAAACAGAGCAGAAAAACTGAAAATTCTAAAAATCAGAGCACCTCTCCTCCTCCAAAGGAATGCAGCTCCTCACCAGCAACGGAACAAAGTGGGATGGAGAATGAATTTGACGAGTTGAGAGAAGAAGGCTTCAGATGATCAAACGACTCCAAGCTAAAGGAGGAAGTTAGAACCCATGGCAAAGAAGTTAAAAACCTTGAAAAAAGATTAGACGAATGGCTAACTACAATAACCAATGCAGAGAAGTCCTTAAAGGACCTGATGGAGCTGAAAACCACGGCAAGAGACAAACGTGACGAATGCACAAGCCTCAGTAGCTGATTCAATCAACTGTAAGAAAGGGCATCAGTGATGGAAGATCAAATGAATGACATGAAGCGAGAAGTTTAGAGAAAAAAATAAATAAAAAGAAACTAACAAAGCCTCCAAGAAATATGGGACTATGTGAAAAGACCAAATCTGTGTCTGATTGGTGTACCTGAAAGTGACGGGGAGAATGGAACCAAGTTGGAAAACACTCCACAGGATATTTTCCAGGAGAACTTCCCCAGTCTAGCAATGCAGGCTGACATTCAAATTCAGGAAATACAGAGAATGCCACAAAGATACTCCTCGAGAAGAGCAACTCCAAGACACATAATTGTCAGATTCACCAAAGTTTAAATGAAGGCAAAAATGTTAAGGGCAGCCAGAGAGAAAGGTCGGGTTACCCACAAAGGGAGGCCCATCAGACTAACAGCTGATCTCTTGGCAGAAACTCTACAAGCCAGAAGAGAGTGGGGGCCAATATTCAACATTCTTAAAGAAAAGAATTTTCAACCCAGAATTTCATATCCAGCCAAACTAAGCTTCATAAGTGAAGGAGAAATAAAATCCTTTACAGACAAGCAAATGCTGAGAGATTTTGTCACCACCAGGCCTGCCCTAAAAGAGCTCCTGAAGGAAGCACTAAACATCGAAAGGAACAACTGGTACCAGCCACTGCAAAAACATGCCAAATTGTAACGACCATCGAGGCTAGGAAGAAACTGCATCAACTAATGAGCAAAATAACCAGATAACATCATAATGACAGGATCAAATTCACACATAACCATATTAACATTAAATGTAAATGGGCTAAATATTCCAATTAAAAGACACAGACTGGCAAACTGGATAAAGAGTCAAGACCCATCAGTGTGCTGTACTCAGGAGACCCATCTTATGTGCAGAGACACACATAGGCTCAAAATAAAGGGATGGAGGAAGATCAAGCAAATGGAAAACAAAAAAAGGCAGGGGTTGCAATCCCAGTCTCTGATAAAACAAACTTTAAATCAACAAAGATAAAAAGAGACAAAGAAGCCCATTACATAATGGTAAAGGGATCAATTCAACAAGAAGAGCTAACTATCCTAAATACATATGCACCCAATACAGGAGCATCAAGATTCATAAAGCAAGTCCTTAGAGACCTACAAAGAGACTTAGACTCCCACACAATAATAATGGGAGACTTTGACACCCCACTGTCAACATTAGACAGATCAACGAGACACAAAGTTAACAAGGATATCCAGGAATTGAACTCAGCTCTGCACCAAGCAGACCTAATAGACATCTACAGAACTCTCCACCCCGAATCAACAGAATATACATTCTTTTCAGCACCACACCACACCTATTCCAAAACTGACCACATAGTTGGAAGTAAAGCACTCCTCAGCAAATGTAAAAGAACAGAAATTATAACAAACTGTCTCTCAGACCACAGTGCAATCAAACTAGAACTCAGGATTAAGAAACTCACTCAAAACCGCTCAACTACATGGAAACTGAACAACCTGCTCCTGAATGACTACTGGGTACATAATGAAATGAAGGCAGAAATAAAGATGTTCTTTGAAACCAATAAGAACAAAGACACAACATACCAGAATCTCTGGGACACATTTAAAGCACTGTGTAGCGGGAAATTTATAGCACTAAATGCCCACAAGAGAAAGCAGGAAAGATCTAAAATTGACACTCTAACATCACAATTAAAAGAACTACAGAAGCAAGAGCAAACACATTCAAAACCTGGCAGAAGACAAGAAATAACTAAGATCAGAGCAGAACTGAAGGAGACAGAGACACAAAAGACCCTTCAAAAAATCAATGAATCCAGGAGCTGGTTTTTTGAAAAGATCAACAAAATTGATAGACCGCTAGCAACACTAATAAAGAAGAAAAGAGAGAAGA
The DNA here is from genome assembly GCF_000001405.40 of Homo sapiens. Lineage (NCBI taxonomy): Eukaryota > Metazoa > Chordata > Mammalia > Primates > Hominidae > Homo > Homo sapiens. The sequence goes on from NC_000001.11 coordinate 48,314,825, forward strand.
ATCAAATAAACGCAATAAAAAAATGATAAAGGGGATATCACCACCGATCCGACAGAAATACAAACTACCATCAGAGAATACTATAAACACCTCTATGCAAATAAACTAGAAAATCTAGAATAAATGGATAAATCCTTGACACATACACCCTCCCAAGACTAAACCAGGAAGAAGCTGAATCTCTGAATAGACCAATAACAGGCTCTGAAATTGAGGCAATAATTAATAGCTTACCAAACAAAAAAAGCCCAGGACCAGACGGATTCACAGCCGAATTCTACCAGAGGTACAAGGAGGAGCTGGTACCATTCCTTCTGAAACTATTCCAATCAACACAAAAAGAGGGAATCCTCCCTAACTCATTTTATGAGGCGAGCATCATCCTGATACCAAAGCCTGGCAGAGACATAACAAAAAAGAGAATTTTAGACCAATATCCCTGATGAACATAGATGCAAAAATCCTCAATAAAATACAGGCAAACTGAATCCAGCAACACATCAAAAACTTATCCATCATGATCAAGTGGGCTTCATCCCTGGGATGCAAGCCTGGTTCAACATACACAAATCAATAAACATAATCCAACATATAAACAGAACCAAAGACAAAAACGACATGATTATCTCAATAGATGCAAAAAAGGCCTGTGACAAAATTCAACAACCTTCATGCTAAAAACTCTCAATAAATTAGGTATTGATGGGATGTATCTCAAAATAATAAGAGCTATCTATGACAAACCCACAGCCAATATCATACTGAATGGGCAAAAACTGGAAGCATTCCCTTTGAAAACTGGCACAAGACAGGGATGCCCTCTCTCACCACTCCTATTCAACATAGTGTTGGAAGTTCTGGCCACGGCAATGAGGCAGGAGAAGGAAATAAAGGGTATTCAATTAGGAAAAGAGGAAGTCAAATTGTCCCTGTTTGCAGCTGACATGATTGTATATCTAGAAAACCCCATCATCTCAGCCCAAAATCTCCTTAAGCTGATAAGCAACGTCAGCAAAGTTTCAGGATACAAAATCAATGTGAAAAAATCACAAGGATTCTTATATACCAAGAACAAACAGAGAGCCAAATCATGAGTGAACTCCCATTCACAACTGCTTCAAAGAGAATAAAATACTTCGAAACCAATTTAAAAGGGATGTGAAGGGCCTCTTCAAGGAGAACTACAAACCACTGCTCAAGGAAATAAAAGATACAAACAAATGGAAGAACATTCCATGCTCACGGGTAGGAAGAATCAATATCATGAAAATGGCCATACTGCCCAAGGTAATTTACAGATTCAATGCCAACCCCATCAAGCTACCAGTGACTTTCTTCATAGAATTGGAAAAAACTACTTTAAAGTTCATATGGAAACAAAAAGGAGCCCGCATTACCAAGTCAATTCTAAGCCAAAAGAACAAAGCTGGAGGCATCACGCTACCTGACTTCAAACTATACTACAAGGCTACAGTAACCAAAACAGCATGGTACTGGTACCAAAACAGAGATATAGACCAATGGAACAGAACAGAGCCCTCAGAAATAATGCCGCATATCTACAACTATCTGATCTTTGACAAACGTGACAAAAACAAAAAATGGGGAAAGGATTCCCTATTTAATAAATAGTGCTGGGAAAACTGGCTAGCCATATTTAGAAAGCTGAAACTGGATCCCTTCCTACACCTTATACAAAAATTAATTCAAGATGGATTAAAGACTTACTTGTTAGACCTAAAACCATAAAAACCCTAGAAGAAAACCTAGGCAATACCATTCAGGACATAGGCATGAGCAAGGACTTCATGTCTAAAACACCAAAAGCAGTGGCAACAAAAGCCAAAATTGACAAATGGGATCTAATTAAACTAAAGAGCTTCTGCACAGCAAAAGAAACTACCATCAGAGTGAACAGGCAACCCACAGAATGGGAGAAAATTTTTGCAATCTACTAATCTGACAAAGGGCTAATATCTAGAATCTGCAATGAACTAAAACAAATTTACAAGAAAAAAACAACCCCATCAAAAAGTGTGCAAAGGATATGAACAGACACTTCTCAAAAGAAGACATTTATGCAGCCAACAGACACATGAAAAAATGCTCATCATCACTGGCCATCAGAGAAATGCAAATCAAAACCACAATGAGATACCATCTCACACCAGTTAGAATGGCAATCATTAAAAAGTCAGGAAACAACAGGTGCTGGAAAGATGTGAAGAAATAGGAACACTTTTACACTGTTGGTGGGACTGTAAACTAGTTCAACGATTGTGGAGGTCAGTGTGGTGATTCCTCAGGGATCTAGAACTAGAAATACCATTTGACCCAGCCATCCCATTACTGGGTATATACCCAAAGGATTATAAATCATGCTGTGATAAAGACACATGCACACATATGTTTATCGCGGCATTATTCACAATAGCAAGACTTGGAACCAACCCAAATGTCCAACAATGATAGACTGGATTAAGAAAATGTGGCACATATACACTGTGGAATACTATGCAGCCATAAAAAATGATGAGTTCATGTCCTTTGTAGGGACATGGATGAAGCTGGAAACCATCATTCTCAGCAAACTATTGCAAGGACAAAAAACCAAACACCGCATGTTCTCACTCACAGGTGGGAACTGAACAATGAGAACACATGGACACAGGAAGGGGAACATCACACACTGGGGCCTGTTGTGGGGTGGGGGGAGAGGGGAGGGATAGCATTAGGAGATATACCTAATGTTAAATGATGAGTTAATGGGTGCAGCACACCAACATAGCACATGTATATATATGTAACAAACCTGCACGTTGTGCACATGTACCTTAAAACTTAAAGTAAAAAAAAAATAAAAAACTTAACACAAAGAAGAGCTCAAAAGCACATGGCTTCATGGTGTTATATATTTAAGAAGAAAGAACACCAAATCTTTACAACTTCTTCCCAAAAATTTAAGAGGAAGAAGAACTCACCAACTCATTCTATAAGGTCTTTATTCCTTTGATACCAAAAGCACAATTTAAAAAAACCCTGAAAACCAATACATTTTATGAATACAGATGCAAAATTTCTCAGTAAAATACTAGCAAGCCAAATCCAGCAAGACATAAAAAGAATTATACACCACAACCAACTGGGAATTATCCAAAGAATGCAAGGTTGACTCATATAAAATTCAATCAATGTAAGGTCATATTAACAGAATAAAGGACAAAATGATAGGATCATCTCAATAGATGCAGGGAAAGCATTTGACAAATACCAAGAACATTCAACAAACTAGGAGTAGAAGGAAATTCCTCAAGATGGTAAATGCCATCTGTTAAAAACATATAGTTAATAGCATACTTATTTTTAAAGGAGTGAAATCTTCTAAGATCAGGAATAAAACAAGGATGGGCACTCTCCCCACTTCTATTCAGCAGTATATTGGGGGTGCTATCCAGAACAATTAGCCAAGAATATGACATAAGAGAAATCAAGATCAGAAAGGAAATAAAAATATTTCTATTTGCAGATAAGATGATTCTGTATTTTAAAAATTCCACACAAATACACAAAATAACTATTAGAGCTAATAAGTTCAGCAAGATTTCAGGATTTAAGATTAACATATGAAAATGCATTGTATTCCTAAACACTATCAATAAACAATCTGAAAATAAAATTAAGGAAACAATACCATGTAAAATAGCATCAAAAATAACAAAATACTTAGGAGTAAACTTGATTTTTTAATGGCTTAAAATGAACACTGAACTATAAAACATATTTCATATAAGATGACATAAATAAATTTTTAAAGTGCTATCTTCACAGATCAAAAGATATTTAAACAATTATTATTAAGAAAGCAATATCCTCCAAAATGATCTAGAGAGCTAACACAATTCCTATACAATTCCGGCCACAGTTTTCTTGCAAAAATTGAAAAGTTGATCCTAAAATTCATACAGAAATGCAAAGGACCTAGAATAGTTATTCTTGAAAAAGAAGAAAAGGTGGAAGACTAACAATTCCTGATATCAAAATTTACTACAAAAGCCATCACAATCAAAATAGTATGATAATAGCATAAGGACAGATATATAGATCAATGAAACAGAATTAAGAATCCAGAAATAAACCCATACATTTATAGTCAACTGATTTTTTTATAAAGATGCCAAGACAATTCAATGGGGGAGCAATCTTTTTAAGAAATGGTGCTGTGACAACCAGATTTCCACATGAAAAAGAATTAATTTGGACTCTCTATCTCACACAAAATACAAAAATCAACTCAAAATTGATCAATGACCTAAATGTAAAGGCCAATACTGTAAAACTCTTAGAAAACATAGGCATAAATTTTTATGTCCCTAGACTAAGCAACAATTTCTGAGATATCCTAAGCAAAAGTAACCAAAGAAAACATAGAAAAGTTGGATTTCATCAAAATTTTAAAAACTTTTATGCTTCAAAACACAGTATTAGGAAGGTGGAAGACAAACCACAAACATAAGAATATATTTGCAAACCTTATTATCTAAGATGGGACTTGTACTCAGAATATATAAAGAGCTCTCAAAATCCAGTAATAAGGCAGATAACTATAAGCAGCTAGTGAGCGCCTCTGTCATGGAGAGCAATCAAAATAGCAAGGAAATGCTAACACTTCAAGTAGATTGTCTAAGAGAGCACAATGAAATTCACCAGAGAAGCCATGAAAATCAAGGAAAGAAGATAGTGAAGTCAGGCAGCCCTCCAAGCAGGACTGGCGCAGAGCTAGGAAAGGTTCCCTAAAGCAGGAAAGGGATGACTAAATAAGAGATCCTCAGTATTCCACCCTTCCATCACAGAACATTGTAATCCTATTCACTGCAGAGCCCTGTTGACCCTGCACCCCTGCTCCAACACCTCCAGACTAACACAGCGAGCCACCTGGAGATTGTGTACAGGCACTGCTCAAGCCCAGGTGGAATCCCACAGGCTTGTGATCCCTGAGCATCCCGGTGACAACTGCTGCACCCAACCAAGGAGGAAGGCCGAGCACTTTCACATGCCCCAAAGACAGATACCACATCCACAGTATGGAGAAGAGGGCAAACTATGCACTGTGCAACTTCCCACTTCCACTGCTCCCTGCAGAAAAAGGCACCCCTGCCTTAGTGTCATGCCCCCAGTGCAGCCACCCTTCCCCGCCTGTGGACTACCACTGCAGCTCAGCATTTCTCTGAGAGCCCAGTCCCCAGAGGCTGTTGATGAGCCCTTTGTCTCCTACAACAGTCACCACCATTGCTCAAATAGTCTCAAAAGGACAAATCTAAGAGATATTGGCCTTAAAGAGGAGGTAGAAAAAGAGATAGGGTAGAAAGTTTATTCAAAGGGATAATAACAGAGAACTTCCAAAGCCTAGATAAAGATATTGGTAATCAAGTACAAGAGGGTTATAGCAAACCAAGAAGATTTAACCCAACTAAGACTACCTCAAGACATTTTACAATCCAACTGCCGAATACCAAAGATACAGAAAAGATCCAAAAAGCAGCAAGAGAAAAACAAGTAACACACAAATGAACTCCAAAACATCCGGCAGCAAGCTGACTTCTCAGTGGAAACCTTACAGGCCAGGAAAGGGTAGCAACATGTATTTAAAGTGCTGAAGGAAAACCTTGTATTGTAGAATAGTATATCTGGCAAAAAGATCTTTCAAACATTAAGGAGAAATAAAGACTTTCCCAGACAAACAAGAGCTGAGGGACTTCGTCAACAGCAGACCTGTCCTATGAGAAATGCAAAAGGAAGTTCTTCAATATGAAAGAAAAGGATGTTAATGAGCAATAACAAATCATCTGAAGGTATAAAACTTATTGGTAATAGTAAGCACACAGAAAAACACAGCATATTATAACACTAACTGTGGCAAACTACTTATATCTTCAGTAGAAATACTAAAAGATGAACCTATCAGAAATAATGAAGACAACGACTTTTCAAGACATAGACAGTAAAGTAAGATAAAAATAGGAAAAACAAAAAGTTAAAAAGAGGGGAGATGAAATTAAAGTGTGGAGTTTTTATTCATTTTCTTTTTGCTTGTTTATTTAAGCAATCAGTGTTAAGTTGTCATCAGTTTAAAACAAAGGGTTATGACATATTATTTGTAAGCCTCATGTTAACTTCAAATCTAAAATAATACAACATAACACAAAAAATAAAGGGCAAAAAATTGAAACACACCGTCAGAGAAAATCACCTTCACTAACAGGAAGACAGGAAGAAAAGAAGGAAGATAAGACCACAGAACAACCAGGAAACAACAAAAATGGCAGAAGTAAGTCTTTACTTATCAATAATAACACTGAATGAAAATGGACAGACTTCTCCGCTCAAAAGAAATGGAGTGGTGAAATAAATTAAAAACAACAACAACAACAACAATAATCAACAATTTCTTGCCTACAAGAAACACACTGCATCCATAAGGACACACACAGACTGAAAACAAAGGAATGGGAAAAGATTTCATGCAAATGGAAATCAAAAAAGAGTAGAAGTAGCTAAACTGATATCAGATGAAATAGATTTCAAGATACAAATTATAAAAAGAGACAAGTTCACTATATAATGATAAAGCAATCAATTCAGCAAGAGGATGTAACAATTATAAATATATATCATCCAACATTGGAGCAACCAGATATATAAAGCAAATATTATTAGAGCTAAAGAGATAGATCCCAATACAGTAATAGATGGGGACTTCAACACTCCACTTTCAGTACTAGACAGACATCCAGACATAAAATCAGCAAAGAAATACCAGACTTAATCTGCACTATAGCCTAAATAAACCTAATAGATATTTACAGAACAGTTCATCTAAGGGCTGCAGAATACAGATTCTTCTCCTCAGCACATGGATCATTCTCAAGGGTGAATCATATGTCAGGCCCCAAAACAAGTCTTAAAAAGTTGAAATTATATCATGTGTCTTCTCTGACCACAATGGAATAAAACTGGAAATCAATAACAAGAGAAATTTTGGACACTACACCAACAGATGGAAATTAAACAACATGCTCCTGGATAACCAGTGAGTCAATAAACATATTAAGAAGAAAATTTTAAAATTTCTTAAAGTAAATGTACATGAAAATACAACATACCAAAATCTATGGGATACAGCAAAAGCAGTACTAAGAGGAAAGCTTATAGCAGTAAGCGCCTACATTTAAAAAGACGACAAGTAGGTGGGAAAAAAAAGACAAAATTCTTCAAATGAACAACCTAATGATGCATCTTAAAGAACTAGAAAGGCAAGAAAAAACCAAAGCCAAAATTAGTAGAAGTAAAGAAATACCAAAGAGAAGAAATAAATAAAGTTGAATTAAATAAAACAATACAAAAGATGAACAAAGTAGAACAGAGGCCTCAGAAATACCACCACATATCTACAACCATCTGATCTTTGACAAATCTGACAAAAACAAGCAATAGGGAAATGATTCCCTATATAATAAATGGGGCTGGGAAAACTGGCTAGCCATATGCAGAAAGATGAAACTGGATCCCTTCCTTACACCTTATATAAAAATTAGCTCAAGATGGATTACAGACTTACATGTAAAACCTAAAACCATAAAAACCCTAGAGGAAAACCTCAGCAATACCATTCAGGACATAGGCATGGGCAAAGTCTTCATGACTAAAACCCAAAAAGCAATGGCAACAAAAGCCAAAATAGACAAATCGCATCTAATTAAACTAAAGAGCTTCTGCACAGCAAAAGAAACTGTCATCAGTGTGAACAGGCAAACTACAGAATAGGAGAAAATTTTTGCAATCTATCCATCTGACAAAGGTCTAATATCCAGAATCTACAAAGAACTTAAACAAATTTACAAGAAAACAAACAAACAACCCCATCAAAAAATGGGTGAAGGATATGAACAGACACTTCTCAAAAGAAGACATTTATGCAGCCAACAAACTTATGAAAAAATGCTCATCATCATTGGTCATTAGAGAAATGCAAATCAAAACCACAATGAGATATCATCTCATGCCAGTTAGAATGGCGATCATTAAAAAGTCACGAAATAACAGATGCTGGAGAGGATGTAGAGAAATAGGAACCCTTTTACACTGTTGGTAGGAGTGTAAGTTACTTCAACCACTGTGGAAGACAGTGTGCCAATTCCTCAAGGATCTAGAACTAGAAATACCATTTGACCCAGCAATCCCATTACTGGGTATATACCCAAAGGATTATAAATCATTCTACTATAAAGACACATGCACACATGTTTACTGCAGCACTGTTCATAAGAGCAAAGTCTTGGAACCAACCCAAATGCCCATCAATGATAGACTGGATTAAGAAAATGTGGCACATATATACCATGGAATACTATGCAGCCATAAAAATGATGAGTTCATGTCCTTTGCAGGGACAGGGATGAAACTGGAAACCATCATTCTCAGTAAAATAACACAAGAAGAGAAAACCAAACACTGCATGTTCTCACTCATATGTGGGAGTTGAACAATGAGAACACATGGACACAGGGAGGGGAACATCACACACCAGGACCTGTCGAGGGGTGGGGGGCTGGGGGAGGGATAGCATTAGGAGAAATACCTGACGTAAATGATGAGTTGATGGGTGCAGCAAACCAACATTGCACATGTATACTGATGTTAAAAACCTGCATCTTGTGCACATCTACCACAGAACTTAAAGTATAATAAAAAAGAAAGGATAAACAAAATCAACAAACCTTTAGCCACAACAACAGAAAAAAAAAAAAAAGAGGAGACCCAAATAAATAAAAACAGAGATGAAACAGAAGGTATTACAAAAGATATGGCAGAATTTCAAAGGATCATTAGAGGATACTACGAGCGTCTGTATTCCATAAATTGGAAAACCTAAAAAAAATGTACAAATTCCTAAACACGTAAAACTTACCAAGATTGAACCATGAGGAAATCCAAAACTTGAATAGACTAATACGTAATAATATGAAAACTGTAATAAAAAGTCTCCTAGCAAAGAAAAGCACAGGGCTCGATGGATTCACTAAATAATTTTATCAAACATTTATTTTTGTTATTTTATTTTATTACTTTGTTGTTATTTTATTTTTGAGATGGGATCTCACTCTGTTGCCCAGGCTGGAGGACAGCGGTGTGATCACAGCTCACTGCAGCCTCGACTGCCAGGGCTCAAGCAATTCTCCCATCTCAGCCTCCCAAGTAGCTAGGACAACAGATGTACGCCACCACACCTATCTACTCTATTATTATTATTATTATTTGTAGAGACAAGGTCTCACCATGTTGCCCAAGCTGGTCTCAAACTCCTGGGCTCAAGAGATTCTCCCGCCTTGGCCTCCCAAAATGCTGGGATTACAGGGATGAGCCATCATGCCTTGCAACGCAAACATTGGAAGTAGAACTAATACCAATCCTAAACAAACTATTCCAAAAAATAGAGGAGGGAGCACTTTCAAACTCATTACATGGTCAAGTACTATCCTGATACCAAAACCAGACAAAGACACATCAGAGAAAGAAAACTACAGATCAATAACCCTGATGAACATTGATATAAAAACTCTTAGCAAAATACTAGCAAATCGAATTTGACAATACATTAGAAAGATTATTTATCATGACCAAGTGAGATTTATTTCAGGGATGCAAGGATGGTTCAACATAAGCAAATCAATCAATGTGATACATCGTATCAACAGAATGAAGGACAAAAATCATATAACCATTTCAATTAATACTAAAAAAGTATGTTATAAAATTCAACACCCCTTCATAATAAAAACTCTCAAAAAAACTGAGTATATAAAGAACATACCTCAACACAATAAAAGCCATATACAACAGACCCACAGCTAGTATCATACCGAGTCGGGAATAAGTGAAAACCCTTCCCCTAAGATCTGTAACACGACAAGGATGCTCACTTTCACCACTGTTATTCAATATAGCACTGGAAGTCCTATCTGGAGCAATCAGACCAGAAAGAAAGAAAGGGCATCCAACTTTATTGGAAACGAACAAGTCAAATTATCTTTCCTTGCAGATGATGCAATTTTATATTTGGAAAAAACCTAAAGACCCCACCAAAAAACAAAACTGATACTGCACACATGGAAAGTTTTTCTCCCTAGTTCACTAGCTCCCCATCAACCTTCCACCCCATTCCCACCCAATCCCACATTTCTCCATGACCAAAAATATCATATCAGTAAGGAAGATGTGGGCTTCTTGTCTGGCCAAGCCTCTTTTGCATACTTATTCTTCTTGGGTTCATTTACAGTTTCAGGGTTATGGACTGCAAGGTTTGGTGCAGGGTTCGTGTTCACTGCTGCTGGCACAATGGGAGTCAAGTCCACAACAGGGGCAAGGTTTGGATATGGCATAAACAAGCCACCAATGAGTGCTGTCTTGTGGAAACTGGGAGCCTGCTTCACTGTGTGTAGGGCACAGGCCCCCGTAGAGTCCTCCCCTGAAGGCAAAGTTCTGCATGCGCCTTCTCCCTGATTCCTCCAGGCCCAAGGAGCCAGGGCCCTCCCCCAGCTTCTTCTTGACTGGGACCACTGCAGTTTGCACTATGTTCCTGAATCGACAAACTGAGGGATCCACATTCTCTGAGTTGATGATCTCATCATCCTCACTGAATGTCACCCGGGAGTTCTTCCTCTTCCTCTTTGGTCTTGGAATGTTAGATTTCCCTCCTCAATGGTAAAGGTGGAAATCCACTTGTTGTGGGCAGTGTTGAACTATGTCAGGTTATCAAGCTTAGTTTCCTCCTCTGGAAGCCCCAGTAAGCCCCTGAGTTAATCATCCTCTTCACCCGTCTTCTCAATTCCTTTCAGAGCCAATGGCAATGGCCCAAGTATCTCGCGCAAGGTGTATGCCCCTGTGGATGCGTCAAATGAGACCCTGGAATCAGTCGGAATTTGCTGAGGCTTGTGAGGCTCCAACTGAATGTGACCAAGAAAGTGCTGTGTGTACTGTTGAGATCTATCAGGAAAACTCTCCTCAGATGCTTGTGGTAGGCAAGTGCAGTATGGATCCAAGAGCAAGACTGGTGTTCAGTGGTAAAGTCACACAAATCAAGGTTTATCCCAAATAAGTAATACTTCTTTTCACCAATAATCAGTTTCTCAATTAGTTTGTCTCGTTTAACTAAATCCAGATGTCAACCAGAAGGGGGCTTACCTGCCCAGGTTGGGCAGTGGAGCAGCGGGAGGCTGGAGCCAGAGTCTGTGACTGCCACCATCTTGCATCTTCCCCTCCCATTTGGTAGGCCCAAAGGAAAAAATTAAAAATTAATCAGTGTACAAAAATTAGTTACATTTCTATTAACCAGTAACCTTCAGAGAGCCAAATTAAGAATTCAATCCCATTTTCAATAGCCACACACACAGAAATATACCTAAGAATACATTTAACCAAGGAGGTGAAAGAATTCTACAAGGAGAAATACAAAACACTGTTGAAATTGTAAGTGACACAAACAAATGGAAAAACATCCCATGCTCATGGTGCATTAGGATCAGTTATGTTAAAATGACCATACTACCCAAAGCAATCTACAGATTCAACACAATTCCTATCCAATTACCAACATCATTTTTTAAAGAATTAGAAAAAATAATCCTAAAGTTCATATGAAACAAAAAAAAAAAAAAAGAAAAAGCCTGAATAGCTAAAGCAATCCTAAGTAAAAAGGACAAATCTGGAAGCATCACATTATATAGCTTTAACTTATATTACAAAACTATAGTAACTAAAACAGCATGGTACTAGAAGAAAAACAGACACATAATCAATGGAATAGAATAGATAACCCAGAAATAAAGCCACATACCCACAATTAACTAATGTTGACAAAAACAAACAATGGGGAAAGGACACCTTATTCAATGAATAGCGCTGGGAGAATTAGCTAGCCATATGCAAAATTAAACTCGGACCCTTATCTCTCACCATACACAGTAATTAATTCATGATATATTAAAGACTTAAATGTAATACCTGAAACTATAAAAAGCCTGGAAGAAAACCTAGGGAAAAACTCTACTGAATATTGGCCTAGACAAACAACTTACGACAAAAACCCCAAAAGCAAATGCAACAAAAACAAAAATAGACAAATAGGACTTAAACTATAAAGGTTCTGTACAACAAAATATATAATCAACATAGTAAACAGACAACTTACATAGTAGGAGAAAATATTTGCAAACTATGTCTTTGACAAAGGACTAGAATCCACAAGTAACTCAAACAACTCCCACACACACTAAAAAAAGAAAAACCAATAAAAAACCAGGCAAAGGACCTGAACAGTCATTCCTCAAAAGAAGAAATAAAAGCGGCTAACAAACACACAAAAAAATGCTCAACATCACTAATCATCAGAGAAATGCAAATTAAAACCACAATGAGATATCATCTCACATGCATCAGAATGGCTACTACGAAAAAGTCAAAAAACAGCAGATGCTGGCATGAATGTGGAGAAAAGGGAACGCTTACACACTGTTCTTGGAAATGAAAATAATTCAACTTCTATGGAAAACAGTATGGTGACATGTTAAAGAATTAAAAATAGAATTACAATTTGAGCCAATAATCCCACTGGTGGGTATTTACCCAAAGGAAAATAAATAATTACATTAAAAAGGCATCTGTATTCATATATTCATTGCAGCACTGTTGATAATAACCAAGTCATGGAACTTGGGCAAAGAAAATGTGATGTATATATATACACCATGGAACACTATACAGCCATAAAAGGAATGAAATCATGTCCTTTGCAGCAACACAGATAGGCCAATGTCCTAAATGAACTAACTCAGAAACATAAAATCAAATACTGCATGTTCTCGTTTATAAGTGGAAGATAAACAATAGGTGCACTGGACACAAAGATGAAAAGAATAGACATTGGAGACTCCAAAAATGGTGGGGAGAAGAGGGCAAATATGGGTTGAAACATTATCTATTCTGCACAATGTTCACTATTTGGGTGATGTGGGTGATAATTACACTAGAACCACAATTTCCACATTACACCATATATCCATGTAACAAACATAGAATGTACCTCCTGAGTCTAAAATTTTAAAAAGTTTTTTAAAAACTCGATAAAAAGACAACCACATTTTTAAATCAGAAAATAATTTGAATATATATTTCTCCAAAGAAGATATACAAATTACCAATAAGTACATGAAATAATGCTCAAGATCATTAGTCAGAAGGGAAATGTACATCAAAACCCCAATAAGACACCACTTCATGCACACTAGGATGGCTATAATCAGAAAAGATAGCTAATAAAAAAGTTCAGCAAGGATGCCAGGTGAAAAGGCAAAATGGTAAGCCATTATAAATAATAGTTTGGCAATTCCTCAAAATGGTCAAAATAGATTTATCGCATAAATGTTGACAGTATTATTATTTTTTAGCAGCCAAAAAGTGGCAACAACCCAAACTAAATGATCCATCCATCAACTGATGAATGGATAAAAAAAAGTGTCATTATCTATACAATGTAATACCATCCAGCCATATAAAAAAGAATAAAGTGACATGTACTACAACCTGGGCAAGCCTTTAATATATTATATTAAGTATAAGAGGCCAGTCACAAAGACCATATATCATATGATTCAATTTATATGAAATGTGCAGAATGGGCATCTACAGGAATTGGACTTGTTGCTGCTTAGGAGTGGAGGAGAAATGAGGAGGGGGAGAATGGTACTTCACTCCCAATGGTTACAAAATATCTTCTCTGTGGGGTGATGAAATGTTTTGAAATTAGATGTGATTTTTTTGAGTATAGTAAAAGCCATTGAACTGTGTACTTAAAATGTGTGAATTGTATAGTAGGTGAATTATATCTTAACAAAGCTTTTTTAAAATAAAAAGCCTTTAGAATTGAGTAATAAGTGACATTATTAGTTTTCATTATCTCAAGTAGATACATCTATTTTACAGATAAAAGAGGGTAAATAATTCATTAATTTTGTACAGTGTTTTCTGGTAAGTATAGAAAAGATCTGAACACCATAATAAACATGAAATACCTGTACTTACACAGAATGCTTCCCTCTATATTGTACACTTGTTAAGAGTACATATTCTTAACAAGTACATACAGAATTACAAAGACTGACTATATGCCAGGTCTTGATGAAATATTAATACATTTCAAATAATTCAAAGTATATTCTCTAGCTGAGAAGAAATTAAAGTAGCTGTCAATAAGCAAAGGTGAGAGAATAACGAACTAAGAGAAAATTAAGAAATACATTTCTAAATTACCACAGAGCCAATGAAGAAATCACAATAGAAATTAGAATATATTTTGAAGTGAATAATACAAATACAACATAAAATTATTAGATGCATCTAAAGCAGTGGCGTAGAGGGAAAATTACATTCTTAAATGTATAGATTAGAAATGGCTTAAAATCAATAACATAAGCCTCTACTTTAAAGGACTAGAAGAAAAAGTAGAACATAAAACTTTCAGCATAAGTTAATGTAACAGAAAAAGACTTGTACCAGACAAGTAAAAGCGACACAAACTGTTATTCAAAAAGAATAATAAAATGAACAAATTCTTAAAACATAGGGGGACAAATTAAACTCGAATTACTATTATCATGATTGAAAAGGGAGATACTTATATGCTTATAAATTCTATACTTGTGTTTAAAAGTGGGCGGGGCCAATATGGCAGACTAGAAGCAGCTTGTGTGTGTCACTGTCATGGAAAGGAAACAAAAGGGCTGATGAACACAGATGCTGCAGGCCGCTCATATGAGAAACCACGTTGGAATCCATCAGGGCAGAGGAACACAGAGAGCACAAAGGAGTAAAGTTGGGCACCGCCCATCTGAGCTCAGCGCAGAACCAGGAGGACCCCTCCAACACTGGAAAGGGTGAGTGACAGTCCCCAGGGGAATTTACACTCTCCACAGGGACCTGTGCAAGACCAGGAACAGGAGAATCACCCCGTCACCCATCCTGCACCTTCCTCCACAATACTTCTAGACTGAGGCAGAGAGCCACCTGGACATTTTGCAGGGGGAACTTCTGAGTCCAAGAGGACTGCCACAAGCCTTGGGCCCTGGAGCAGACCAGCACCAGTACCACAAACCCAATAGAGGCTGCAGTCAGCTACGGTGCCAGGGAGCAGTAACATTGCTCCACCACTGCATGCCAGCCAGGCCTCAGCAGCAACTTCCAGCCCAGCAGCCGTACTTTGGTTCAAACTTGGTCAGCCAATCCTCCCACCCCCACCACTGGTAGCCAGCTGGACAATGCTTACTAGAGTGTCCAGCCCAGAGGTCCCACTTTTGTGTGAATTCAGCTGGAGGGTGTAGCCTCCTGTTGTCACATGAAACATCCAGACCACAGAGCATGAGACCCCAACAGCCCTAGTCACTGGTAGCCAGGCAGGTGACGCCTGCTAGAGCCTCTGGCCCAGTGGCTCCACTGCTGTGTGAGGTCAGCTGGAGGGTGCGGCTTCCAGTTATCACAGGAAATATCTGGATGGCAGAGCAAGAGATCCCAGCTACCACCACCACTAGTATCCAGGTAGGCAACAACTGCTAGAGCTTCTAGCCCAGCAGCCTTGCTTCTGTGTGAGCCTGGCTGGAGGGTGCAGCCTCCTGTTGTTCTGAGAAATGCCTGAATGGCAGTGTGCATGGCCCTATAACCCCTGCCAATCATAGCCAGGCAGGCAACACCTGCTAGGCTTTCCAGCCAAGTGGCCCTACGTTTGCCTGAATGTGTTGAGGGGCACAGCCTCCTGCTGCCCTGAAAAAGCCTGAAAGGCAGGGCTGGAAACCCCACCAATCCCTAGCTACCCATAGCCAGACAGGCAATACCCAGTAAGAGTTTCCAACCCAAAAGTCCCACATCCACCTGAACTCTGTGAGTAGACACAACCCCATCTTTCTCCCAGGAAGCACACAAACAGCAGACTATGGGCAAGGACACAGCTAGCTGGCCAACTGAAGGCCCAGCCTGAGGGAGCTCCATGGACCACAACCCCCAACAAAAGAAATGCAGAGAGGAAGACAGTAATTGCAGAGGGGGCTCCTCCAAGACCCAGTAGTAGACTAGAATAGAAGGCAGTCAACCAAACCCACCTTATACCATAATCAAACCCCCAAGGGCATTAAAGAAGAAAAAAGCAAAACAATCCGTTCAAAGGACAGCAAATTCAAAGACTGAAAGAACGTAAGACCACAAAGATGATAAACAGAAGAACTCTGACAACCCAAAAAGCCAGAGTGCCTTCTTTTCTCCAAACAACCACACTAACTCTCCAGCAAGGGTTCTTAACTGAGCTGAGATGGCTGAAATGACAGAAATAGAATTCAGAATATGAATAGAAATGAAGATCGTCGAGATTCAGGAGACTGCTGAAACCCAATGCAAGGAAGCTAATAATCACAGTAATCACAGGAGCTGACAGAAAAAATAGCCAGTATACAGAATATAACCAACCTGAAACAGCAAAAAGAAAAAAAAAAAACCTACAAAAATTTCATATATCACAAGTATTAACAGCAGACCAAGCTGATGAAAGAATCTAAGGGCTTGAAGACTGGCTTTCTCAAATACAACAGTCAGACAAGAATAAAGAAAAAAGAATTGAAAAGGAATGAACAGAACCTCCTGGAAATATGGGATTATGTAAAGATGCCCAATCTACAAGTCACTGGCATCCCTGAAAGACATGAGGAGAAAGGAAGCAACCTGGAAAACATATTTCACAGTATCGTCCATGAGAACTTCCCCATTCTAGCTAGAGAGGCCGATATTCAAATTCAGGAAATGCAAAGAATTCCTGCAAGATATTTCACAAGAAGATCATCCCCAAGACATAATCATCTGACACTCCAAGGTTGAAATGAAAGAAAAAATGATAAAGGCAGCTAGAGAATAAAGGGGAGGTCACTCACTAGGGGAACCCTATCAGACTGACAGAGGACCTCTCAACATAAACCCTACAAACCAGAAGAGACTGGGGACCTGTATTCAACAGTCGTAAAGAAAAAAATTCCAACCATGAATTTCATATCCAGTCAAACTAAGCATCATAAATGAAGGAGAAATATGATCATTTTCAATTTGATCCTATTCAAATGCTGAGGGAATTTGTTAACACGAGACCTACCTTACAAGAGCTCATGAAAGAAGTATGAAATATGGAAAGGAAAGACCATTACCAGGCACTACAAAAACGCATGTAAGTACACACACCAGTGACACTTATAAAGCCACCACACAAACAAGTCTAGCATAACAACCACTTAACAACATGATAGCAGGATCAAATCCATACATATCAATAAGAAACTTGAATGTAAATGGGTTAGGTGCCCCAATTAAAACGCACAAAGTGGCTGCCAGCTGGATAAAGAAACAGGACCCAATAGTATGCTGTCTTCAAGAGACCCATCTCACATGCAATGTCATCAACAGGCTTAAAATAAAGGGATGATGAAATATCTACCAAGCAAATGGAAAACTGAAAAAGGCAGAGTATGCCATCCTAATTTCAGATAAAAGAGAATTTAAACCAACAAACATCAAAGAAGACAAAGAAGGGCATTACATATTGATAAAGGGCTTAATTCAACAAGAAGACCTAAATTAATGTGTACCCAAAACAAGAGCACCCAGATTCATAAAGCAAATACTTACAGACCTTCAAAGAGACTTAGACTCCCACAGAATAATAGTGGAGACTTCAATACCCTGCTGACAGTATTAGACAGATAACTGAGTCAGAAAATTAACGAAGAGATGCAGGACCTGAACTCAACACTTGACGAAATGGAGCTAGTAGACAGCTACATAACTTTCCACCCCAAAGCAACAGAATATACATTCTTTTCATCGCCACATGGTACACACTGTAAGATCAGCCATGCAATAAGACATAAGACAATCTTCAACAAATTCAAAAACAGCAAAACCATACCACCACACTCTTGGACCACAGTACAATAAAAATAGAAATCAAAGCCAAGAGAATCGCTCAAAACCATACAATTACATGGAAATTAAACAACCTGCTCCAGAATAACTCAGGTTAATTATCAAATTAAGGCAGTGTGATGGTTAATGTTAAGTGTCAACTTGACTAGACTGAAGGATGCAGAGTATTGTGTCTGGGTGTATCTGGCTGTTACCAGAAGAGATTAACATTTGAGTAGGTGGACTGGGAGAAGGAGACCCATCCTCAAGAAGACTCACCAACAATGTGGGTGAGCACCATCCAATCATCTACCAGTGCGGCTAGGAAAACCAGGCAGATGAAGGTAGAAGAAGCTGATTTGCTGAGTCTTCCAGCCTTCATCTTTCTCCCATGCTGCATGCTTCCTGTCCTCAAACATCAGACTCGAAGTTCTTTGGCTTTTGGACTCTTGGATATACACCAGTGGTTTGTCATGGGGTCTTGGGCCTTTGGCCACAGACTGAAGGCTGCACTGTTGGCTTCCCTACTTTTGAGATTTTGGGACTCAGAATGAGCCACTACTGGCTTCCTTGCTCCTCAACTTGCAGACAGTCTATCATGAGACACCTTGTAATCATGTGAGTCAACTCTCCTTCATAAACTCTCTTTCATGTATACATATATCCTATTAGTTCTGTCCCTCTAGAGAACCCTGACTAATACAGTCAGGAATTAAGAAGTTCTTTGAAACTAATGAGAACGAAGACATAGCATATCAGAATCTCTGGGACAAAGCTGAGGCAGTGTTAAGAGGGAAATTTATAGCATTAAATACCTGCATCAAAAAGTTAGAAAGATCTCAAACCACGTAACATCACAACTAGAAGAGCTAGAGAAACAAGAGCAAACAAACTCTAAAGCTAGCAGAAAACAAAGAATAACCGAAATCAGAGCTGAACTGATGGAAACAGAGACATAAAAAAACATACAAAAGATAAACAAATCTAGGAATTGGTTTCTTGAAAAAATTAATAAGATAGTCAGCTAGACAAACAAGAAAAGAGAGCATATCCAAATAAACACTATAATAAATGACAAAGGGAATATTACTACTATTCCATAGAAATACCAATAACCATCAGAGATTACTATGAACACCTCTATGCACACAGACTAGAAAATCTAGAAGAAATGGATAAATTCCTGGACATATACATCCTTCCAAGACTAAACATGGAAGAAATTGAATCTGTGAACAGACCAATAACAAGCTTTGAAACTGAATCAGCAATCGATAGCCGACCAACCAATAAAAGCCAAGAATCAGGTAGATTCACAGCCAAATTCTACCAGATGTTCAAAGAAGAGCTGGTACCATTCTTACTAAAACTATTCCCCAAAATTGAGGAGGAGCTACTCCTCCTCAACTCATTCAATGAGGCCAGCACCATCCTGATACCAAAACCTGGAAGAGACACAACAAAAAAAAAAGAAAACTTCCACCCAATATCCTTGATGAACATAGATGCAAAAATCCTCAACCAAATACTAGCAAACTGAATCCAGTAGCAAATCAAAAAGCTTAGCCACCACAATCAAGTAGACTTTAATCCCTGGGATGCAAGGTTAGTTCAACATATGCAAATCAATAAATGTGACTCATCACATAAACAGAACTAAAAACAAAAACCA
The DNA here is from genome assembly GCF_000001405.40 of Homo sapiens. Taxonomy (NCBI): domain Eukaryota; kingdom Metazoa; phylum Chordata; class Mammalia; order Primates; family Hominidae; genus Homo; species Homo sapiens. The sequence continues at coordinate 48,334,536 of NC_000001.11, forward strand.
TATGATTATATCAATGAATACAGAAAAGGCTTTTGATAAAATTCAACAATCCTTCATGTTAAAACCCTAAAGAAACTTGGCATTGAAGGAATATAGTTCAAAACAGTAAGAGCCATCAATGACAAACCCACAGCTAACATCACACTGAACAGGCAAAAGCTGCAAGCATTCCACTTGAAAATCGGCATAAGACAAGGATGCCCTCTCTCACCACTCCTATTCAACATAGTATTTTAAGTCCTGGCCAGGGCAATCAGACAAGAGAGAGAAGCAAAAGGCATCCAAATAAGAAAAGAAGTAGTAAAACTATCCCTGTGTGTATATGACATGATTTTGTATTTTAAAAACCCCATGGTCTTGGCCCCAAAGCTCCTTGAACTGATAAGCAACTTGAGTAAAGCTTTGGGATACAAAATCAATGTACAAAAATCAGTAGCATTCCTATTCACTAACAGCACCCAAGCTAAGAGCCAAATCAGGAATGCAATACCATTCACAACTGCCACAAAAAGTATAAAATACCTACAAGTATGGCTAAGCAGGGAGGTGAAATATCTCTAGAATGACAATTACAAAACTGCTCAAAAAAATCAGAGATGACACCAAAAAATGGAAGAAAATTCCATGCTCATGGATAGGAAGAATAAATATCATTAAAATGACCATACTGCTCAATGCAATTTACAGATTCAATGCTATTCCTATCAAACTACCAATGAAAATTTTCAAATAATTAGAAAAAACTATTCTAAAATTCATATGGAACAAAAAAAGAACCTGAAAAGCCAAGGCAATCCTAGGCAAAAAAAAAAGAAAAAAAAGCTGGAGGAATCACATTGCCTGACCTCAAACCATACTACAAGGCTAGAGTAACCAAAATACCATGGTACTCATACAAAAGTAGACACATAGGCCAATAGAACAGAAGAGAGAGCCAAGAAATAAAGCCACTCACCTACAGCCATCTGATCTTTGACAAAGCTGACAACAACAAGCAATGGGGAAAGGACTCCCTACTCAATAAATAGTGCTGGAATAACTGGCTAGCTGAAGATTGAAACTGGACCACTTCCTTAAAACATATGCAAAAATCAACATAAGATTGATTAAAGACCTAAATGTAAACCCTGTAACTGTAAAAACTCTGGAAGATAACCTAGGCAATACCATTTTTGACATAGGAATAGGCAAAGATCTCATGACAGAAAATGTCCAAAGCAATTGCAACAAAAGCAAAAATGACAAATGGCGCCTAATTAAATGAAAGAGGTTTTGCACAGCAAAAGAAACTATTAACAAAGTAAACAGACAACTTACAGAATGGAAGAAACATATCTGTAAACGATACATATGACAAAGATCTAACATCTAGAATCTACAGGGAACTTAAACACATAAGCAAAAAATGAACAATCCCATTAAAAAGTGGGCAAAGGACATGAACAGACACTTTTGAAAAGAAGGCATACAATGCACCAAAAAGCATATGAAAAAATGTACAATATCACTAATCATTAGAGAAATTCAAATACAAACAACAATAAGATAGCATCACACATCAGTCAGAATGGCTATCGTTAAAAAGTCAAAAAATAACAGATGTTGGTGAGACTGCAGACAAAAGGAATGCCTATACACTGCTGGCTGGAGTGTAAATTAGTTCAACCATTGTGAAAGACAGTATGGTGACTTCTCAAAAACCTAAAACAGAACTACCATTCAACCCAGCAATCCCATGCCTGGGTATATATTCAAATGAATATAAACTGTTCTACAACAAAGATACATGCATGTGTATATTCACTGCAGCACCATTCACAATAGCAAAGACATGTAATCAATCTAACTGCCCATCAACAGTAGACTGGATAAAGAGAATGTGGTACATACATACCATGGAATACTACGCAATCCTAAAAAAGAAAGAGATCACATCCTTTGCAGGAACATGGATGGAGCTGGAGGCCATTATCCTTAGCAAAGTAATGCAGGAACATAAAACCAAATACCACATGTTCTCACCTATAAGTGAGAGCTAAATAAAGAGAATACATGAACAAAAAGAGGGCAACAACAGACAATGGGGCCTCCTCGAGGGAGGAGGATAAGAGGAGAGAGAAGTTCAAGAAAAAAAAAAGTCAAGTACTACGCTTGGTACCCCAGTGAGGAAATATTCTGTATAGCAAACCTCTGAGTCATGAATTTACCTATATAACAAATCTGTACATGTACCACTGAACCTAAAATAAAATTTCTTAAAATATTTAAGAAAAAATGCATAGGAAGATATCATGAAAATCTTCATATCATTCAGTTTGATAATATAAATGAAACAGGAAAATTCCTAATAAAACTGACCAAGTAATAGAAAACCCAAATAACTGATATTAAAGAAATTATATCCATTACTGAAAACTATCCCACAAAAATAGGCTTGTTCAAAACATTTAAGAAGGAAATAATTTTGCATAGAAGCTGCCTGAAAAAGGCTGGGAATATTTCCCAACCACTATTTCCTTTTTATGAGGTCAGCCAAAATCTGAGGAGAATATTACAAGAAAGGAAACTTGCAGACCAATCACTGTCATTAATTTAGATGCAAAAATCTTAGGTATAATATTAGCAAATTGAAACCAGTGATTATATTTTTAAGAAAACCATGAATAAGAGATTTGTTTCAAGAATGTGACCATGGTTTAAGACTTGAAAATCAAGTGATTTGCTATATTAAAATAAGGAGTGGTAGCAGAATAATCATCTCAGTAGATACAATGGAATAAAACCTTATATTTGTAATTTTTAAAAATAAAAAATATTAGAAAATAAGGAATTTCTGTAATCTGACAAAGAATACCCACAAGAAATCTACAAAAAGTATCATATTTAATTTCAAATTATAAAAACCTTTCATCTTTCATGTTGAATAAGACAAGAAACTGTCTATCACCACTTCTATTTGATACTATTTTAGAAACCCTAAATAACAAAACAAGAAAAATAAATAAAATGCATAAAGATTAAAGTGGGAGATTTAAAACTATCATTATTTACAGATTATATTATTATACATTAGAACACTCAAAAACTACAATCTATTAATATCAATGCGTGAATGTAGGTAGGTCAGTGGATTACAGATGACTAAAAGCAGGTAAATTATATTCATCATACCAAGAAAAAACAGAATTGTAAAAGGTATAATAGCATAAAAATATCAAACATCTAGAGCTAAATCTATAGAAAGACATGCTAGACCTATGAAATGAAAACTATGTCAAATTATTGGTGGAAATTAAAGATCTAAATTAATAGACACAATTTCATGAACTGGAAGACTGAATATTGTTAAGATGTCAGTTCTCCTCCAATCAAAGCATAGATTCAATGTAGTCTCAATCAAAAACTCAGTGGGTTCTGGCAAGCTGATGATTTTGACATACAGATGGAAATTAAAAGAACCAAGAATAGGAAAAGCAATTTTGAAGCAAGAACAAACGTGAAGGAGTTATGTCATTAGATATAAAGAGTTACTACAAACCTATAGTAAATTGAAAAACTACATTATTAGTACAAAAATAGATAATTAAACCAATAAAATAGAAGAAAATCAAGAATGACTCACATATATACAATTGCAATGGAAGAGAACAGAATCCAGGACTATCTCCGCATAAACACAGCGGAGGGGTAAAGAATAGCTTTTAAAGAAAGATGCTAGGTCATAATCATTTGACAAGCAATGCTTCTGTTGCCTGTACAAGGGTGGAGTGACAAAACGTGAGTTTTATGAGGCTTTAGATACACAGCCATTTTCACAATGATTGTATTTGTTGACTTATGAAGTTGCTTAGGACCAGAGGGTATAAAGCTACACCAAACACATCTGAAAAGCAAAATGCATCTTCCTGCTATCTCACGATACTTAAGAGATAAGGATCTATCAGGGCACAGGCCCTGAAAACACAAGAACCAAAACGTTGATTGCTGAGACTATAAAGGCTTTTAACCTGGAGATACTTGAAAATCTGGGACTAGCTAGGATAAAAAATTGGGTCTTGGCAACAGATGCAAAGGCTATCTCTAAGAATCGAGAAACAGGCAAGACTTTTTTGGTGTGAGAATCACACCAGGCTATAGAGGTAAAATTGAAAACAGGAAAGGCCTCAAATATATGAAAGGTTTTTGTCAAGATATTTTCTAAATTCTCAAGCTGTGCCAGGTTGGGGGTAAAATAAGCTAATCCAAAATCTCTGAAAAGCAAACAAAACATCTCTTACAATTATATGTTACTTAAAATGTATCACAAAGAATGACTTTAATAACATTTGAGAGTTGAAAGCCTTGAAAAGAACCGATGAGTTGACATTTGACTGCTTGCAAGCACCATTTACCCTGAGGACACTTGACTTCTGAGATTAGTAGAAGCTGGTCTCTGTCATAGAGCTGATACTGCTCAACATAACTGGTAATTATGCAGAGACACAGTGACAAAACCAGAGAGCAGGGGACTGAAATACATGACCAATTTCTGAAACTTCCTAGTGTGAAAATGTAATAAACTAAGCCTAAAACCTTTGTTAACAGGACAGAAATGGCCTCAGTCTCTCGGTACTGAAAAGATAAGGACCTAAAAGGTTAATAATTTGGAAAAACTGGAGGCTAATGCCCTAAAAAGACTTAACTGTGATTTATCAGGACTTTGATTAAGGTCAAATTGAGAATCACCAAATCATCAATATACACTGACCCTGGTTCAGTCCCTTTTGGATCAAGGTTATTAGCCTTTGACGCTACCTGCCTAGAAGAGGTATAGACATATAATATCTAGAATTTAACTCTAAAATAATAAGTGGTACACAAAGAGTCAGGACAATGTTATTGGTAAGTGAGAGTAAAAAAGACAAAGCAGATCACAAACAGAATCCAGGTATTAAGAGTTAGAAGATCTTTAAAGTAATTAGGATTAATTTGGTCAAGAAAATAGGTGAAAAGTTGGGCAAAATAGAGAAAGTTTAAGACTTGGAAAAATTGGTATCTATAAAAATGAATCAAGGAGACATTTTAGATCTAAAAAATATAATTATTAAAATCAATTACCTAATATAATAAATGAATTTAACAGCAGATCAGAATCAGTAGAAGACAAGATTAGTGAACTATAAGGTTCATAGTAAATATCCACAATAAAATAGCAAATAGAATGATAAAAATTGGAAAGAGCGCAAGAAACTTGCAGGACACAATCAAACGATCTAATAGAGGTAATTGAACACCCGAAGAGTAAGAAATAATAGTTAATAAGACATATTTGAAGAGATAATGAGCTAGAATGTCCCAAGCAATATAAGTCATGAATTTACAGATTCAAGATGCTCTGAATTGCTCCTCATCCTTTTGGCTATGATTGAGTGAAGAAAGTCTGAGTACACCAAGCAGGTTAATACATAAAACTACATCTCAGAAGAGCAAAGAAAGAAGCCAGAGATAAATGACATTACCTTCAAAAGAACAAGAATAAGACTAACAACACACTTCTCAACAAAATGATGGAAGATATCAGATAATAGAATAGTGCCTTTAAAGTGTAGGAAGAAAAACAGCTGCCAAAGTAGACATCTATACCCAGGGAGAAAAAATTACTCACAAATTTAGTAGATACTAAAGACAATTAAAGATGACAAAAATTATCCACAGTAGGCCTGCACTAAAAAAAAAAAAAAAAAAAAAAAAAAAAAATACAGAGAATTTTCCATGCAAATGAGAAATTATCTAAAATGGAAACAGAATCCAAAAACAAAGATCACCAAAAAAGATAAGTAAGTAAATATAAAATAATATTACTATACAATAGTAGCAATATACTGTGGAGTCAAAAATAGATGTAGAATTAAAATGTGTAATATCAATAACTTTAAAGAGGAAGGAATATAAATGGAATGCAAATGCTCTAATCTAGAATTATCAAAAAATTGGTAAAAAAAATTGTATTAGACTATAATAAAGAATACATGTTTTGTACAGGGTAACTATTAAAAAAATAAGCACTCTATAAGTTAGAAATAAAAAAAGAACAAAACTATCTTATTGTCAAATAAAGTATGAAGGAGATAAAAAAAGAAATATAAACAGATTTATCAGATAGTATACAAATCCAACAATATCAAGTAATTAAATGATTACAGTAAGTAAATCAAAAGAAAAGTTAAATAATATAAAACCTTCTTATATAAGAAACATACCTTAAATATAGGGATACAAGAAGGGTGAAAGTAAAAGGACGAAAAAGAAATACCAAGCAACATTATTCCAAAGAAAGTTGGTGTGACTATAAAATTGTCAGATAAACCACATTTGCAGACAAGAAGCTTTCCCAGAAACAAAGACATTTACAATAACAAATAGGTCAACAGACAAGAACAAAACACTTTCTAAACCTATATGTATCCAATAACACACTTTCAGAATGTGCAAAGCATAACCACGACACATTATCAATTCACACCCTGTGGAACACTAGTATTGGGAAAACAAAACAAAACAAAATAAAAATACAGTGTGCTAGCAAGGATGGGGAGAAATTAGAATTCTTAAACACTGATACTGGCACACTTTGAAATCTTTTTGGCATTATCTTCTGCAGATGAAGAGACAACTCCCTTATGCCTCAACTATTCCACTTTTAGGTATATTTCCAGCCAGAATACACACAGTAGTACCCCTAATCATCAGTTCCACTTCCCATGGTTTCAATAATCTGTGGTCAACAGTAGCCTAAAAAATATTAAATGGAAAATTCCAGAAATAAGTAATTCATAAGTTTCATTCTGAGTAGCATGATAAAATCTTATGCTGTCCTGCTCCGTCTGCCCAGGACATGAATCATCCTTTTGTCCAGCATACCCACGCCGTATACACTACTTGCCTATTTGTCACTAAGCAGCCATCTCAGCTATCAGATTGACTGTGGTAGTATTATAAAGCTTGCATTCAAGTTACCCTTAGTTTACTTAGCAATGGCCCCAAAGCACAATAGTGATGCTGGCCATTTGGATATGCCAAAGCAAATCAGTAAAGTGCTTCCTTTAAGTGAAAAGGTGAAAGTTCTTGACTTGGAAAGAAAAAAACATGGTTTCTGAGAGTGCTATAATCTATGGTAAGAACTAATCTTCTATTCCTGG